>NC_000003.12:51222121-51525151 GCF_000001405.40 Homo sapiens
AGGCACTGGTATGCAAACTAACCTCCAAAACCACTGCTCCAGCTTTCTCTTTCTCATCTTCATTGTAATGTGCCTGCCCTCATGCCTCTCTCTCCTGGTAATATTTCCTGGCAGTTGGTGCCAGAGTTTACAGGAGGCTCTTGGAAGCAGAGCCTTAACCCAGAGGCATGATCCCACTGGTAGGTTTTGTGAACACGTAACATGCAATAGGGACAGCTGAAGAGTGGGGGAACCATGGAAGGCTATCTATAAGGCAGGCAGGCAGGCCTGGGTCATTAGATCCCTGGAGCTTTTCACATTTGCTTCTGCTTATGCTTTCTCCTAGTTCCAAGAGAATTCGTGGAGAGCTTGATTGAAGTGATCCCCCAGAGAGATTTTGACAAGAAGCCTCTCCCTCCCAGCAACATTCATTTTCACAAATTGCCACTCTTGAAATTGAAACCATAATCGCATAATTGCAACCCATAAGCCCAATAGCCTAATACCTAACCTGACTGAGAATAGTTCTAGTCTAGCTAGGCAGGTCTGTTCTCCAAATAAAGAGCAGCTAAAGACCTGATGAAAATAAACTGCTTCAGTCTGTAACTCAGAGGGTACAATTACTTGTATTGATAAATTTTCTCAGCTAGATGATCACCAAAGGCATTCTGTTTTTTAAAAAAATGAAAACTACAGGAATATGTAGCTTAATCCTTCCGTTTTGAAACTGGCATTTTACCTTAAAATGCTCTGCCCAGAAACTGTGAGCATATCTCTGTATAGTCAACACAGATCAAATTCTGTCATTAACAATCTCTAAGACACTAATTTTATTTATCTGTTTATTTATTTTTAAAAGACAATGTCTCACTCTGTCACCCAGGCTGAAGTACACTGGCATGATCATAGCTCACTGCAGCCTCAAACTCCGGGGCTCAAGCGATCCTCCCTCCTCAGCCTCCTGAGTAGCTAGGACTACAGGTGTACACTACCATGTTTAGCTAATTTTAAAAAATTTGTTTTGAAGAGCCTCACTATATTGCCCAGGCTAGTTTGGACTCTTAGCCTCAAACAATGTGCTCACTTCAGCCTCCTTATAATCCATAGCAGGAATTACAGGTATGAGCCACCATGCTCAGCCCCTAGTTTTATATTAGTATTTTATATAATATATAACTAGGAAAAGTTTGAAAATGTTTCATTTGAAGGACATGTTTATTGATTAACCTGTGTATAGAGCCACAGAAACTAAAAACGTTTGTATAACCTAGAATAATATTGCTGGTAGCCAACAGATAACTGCTTTTAAAAGCCTCATAGATTATTTTCAGAATAACTTCCAGAGAGTTCAAACCAGGGTAATATTTAAATGAAGCACCTATTCTTTAGATTAAGCATTAAAATTTTCTAGACTATTTGACTCAGAAAAGGATAAAAATTAAAATTTTAGAATAAATAATAAAAAAAATCTAGACTATTCACCTTGTGCTATATCAGTCTACAAATTTAAGTATTACTTAAATTCCATAGGAAAACTAATGTGCAATTAAAAGACTTTTATAAGAAGCCTGTTTCAATTGTTAAAAATTCCAGGTATAACTATGATTTATCCCACCATAATAGCAATAACCTGACTTTAAAGGAGAAAGTTAAAATGAAGAAAAATAGCAATAAGCCATAGTGAAGTTCTGTTAAGTTTGGATTTTACTTTCAGGACTGACTTTATTCAGCCTTTGTCCTGACAGTAGCAGACTGATGAATTTGAGCTTCCTTTCTCATTCTACCTGTCTTTCCCACCCAAACCTACCCTGTACACCTGAGTGCTCTAAATAATGTACCAGGAGGGCCCAAGCAGCAATGTCCAAAGGAAGCGGATTAAGATTCCAGACTCATCAGAATTCAAAGCAGAGGCACTTCCCAATCCAAGGGTTTGTGCAGATGTGGTCCTCCAGGATATCCTACATATGCAACAGTGGCATTTTGGTATGATTTTCAAAACACATTTTCTTCTTCCTTCATGGTAACCTCAAGGTTGCTTGTTTAGGAAAGAAGATGGCTTTCACACATTAGGGAAAGTTCTTAGGGCTCTTGAGGAATAGTTAATTGCTTGTCATGAACTTTTCTTACCCACTTTAGCCACAGTATTTTGAGAACCTTCATTATGCAACCAAATAACCATGATTGCAAGATTGCATACCTGGGATAGGAAAATGACCTGAATAATGGAAGGACTAGTCACGAAGACCCTGAAATCCTCAAATATGTGCCAGTCCTGGTCTATTCCTGTTTCATGCATGAGAGAAGCTCAGATGCTTCCATTATTAGAGAGGTAGTCAGTGCAAAAAAGAGAGCATTGTCATTTATCTCTGACCAAACCAGAAAGCCCACTTGCTAACCAAAAACAAACCCTGCTTCTATCATTATGATTCCAGGTGGTAACATATTTGAATGTACTAGTTTTTCTAAGAACTGAAGTAGAAAAAATTACCTGGTTTCTGAATTGGCATGTTTTGCTGTTGTTTCATTACCTCTCATTTGGTTTCTTCAGGCTGCTAACACATCTTCACTTTGGTCTTACCCATTTTCCTTTGCCATTTTCTCCCTTTGAAGTTTGTTGCCCCCACAGCGTTTTACTATTTTTTTTTTTAAGTCAGAAGCCCTTCTTTAGTTCATGTGAATAAAACTGGTCATGTTAAAGGTTTAGGAATTTAGAGCAGCCTAAATACACTCTTATACATGAACAGGCAATGCTGTCTCCCCTCAACTCATCACCCTAAAAAGGAAGATGTAACTTAGGTCATTTTAGACTTGAAGTTTGAGCTTCTCTTCTCCAGTCTTGAACAACAGAGTTGGGCAAATTGGGCTGGTCAGAGCACAGGGAAGCAAAAAAGCACAACAGGTTGTTGCCTCATTGCCTTACTACCTATGCTTCTGGCAAGTGATCTCCCAGTGCACTTGCAAACAAAAAGAAGAAAAAGCGACAGGTAGTCCAGTGACCTCTACCTGTCACTCCAGCAGGGAATGGGATTTGGAACAAAGCCTCCAGGAGGAAGGAAAAGTAATATATCCTCTAGTCAGACTCAGAAGGGATGGGGATTACAAAAAGAAAGCATATAAAAAGTATAAATCTATAAAAGAGAAACCCTTCTTGAGGGAAAAGAAGAGGGATTAGTAGTTAAGACATAGGCATGTTAAAATGTTATTCCTTTTGATTCTAGAATCTTCCCTCTTTGGGAGGCTTAGATTACAGCCATTCTCCTGGAGGGGAGAAAGACTGAGCAGTCTGAGCATCTACAATCTGAAAGATTCTCCACCCTTGACAAGGTGTGGTGAACATCTTTAGAATTCAGACTTAGAGAACACATGACTAACCAACCTGGGTGCTGCTGCACTGATACTGGTAGAATGTCCATCATTATTAACCAAGCTTGGAATGCCCTGAACACCCACCCAAGCCCCAGAAGATCCAAATGCTAGCCTAGTTCTCTGTGAAAATGGGGCAGTATGGCTTCTGGAGTCATAAGGATGTGGCATTTCTTTCCCCGCAGGTGATATCCGCAATGACCTGTACCTAACCCTGGAGAAGGGGGATTTCGAGAGAGGAGGAAAGAGTGTACAAAAGAATATTGAAGTGACCATGTATGTGCTTTATGCAGATGGAGAAATCTTGAAGGTAAGGCTTGCCAGTCAGTCATTTGGGTTGGAGGATAATCCTATAATAATTCTCTGTGGACTTTATCCAGAGGCCCATTCTCTTCAAGCAGGATTAAAATCACCCCATCAGCCTTTTTCTCTGCCTTTTTCTTTCTTGAAGAAAACTCTAAAGTGTGCTTTGATAATGACTTCCAGTATTGTACAGCCATTGCAGAAATTTATCCTAGTGTCTGACCTGAATCCCTCTTGCTCCAGTTTAGATTTATTCCCTCTAGTTCTATCCTACATGTTACCTCTCCTGTCATTCCACCTAGCATAGAGCTGCCTACTTTTGGTAACTGTTATTAGGTCCCATTCTGCCTTTTTATTCCTTGAGCTAATACAGAAAGTTATATTTACACTTTGGTCAAGTGTGGAACTTAGACAATCACTTCCTGGTACCAAGTTATAGGACAAAGAACAGCAGACTCAGGCCGTGGAAGATTTAAGCCAATGTAGTACAAGTGTCCTCTGTTATTCTTCACTGAAAATGAAGACTTCAGTGCTGTTTTTCTGTTGCATGTGAGTTTTTTCTTCAGTCTAGTCATGGTAAAGTCTGCGGTGAATAACAAGGCATCATTTGCAGCCCACTTTGTAGAAGACAAATCGGTGTTGTACGAACCTTGCTTCTGTGTGTTGGCAGCAGCCCTGTGAGATAGAACAGGAATGATCATTCCCATTTGACAGAGGAAAAGGGTAAAATTAGTCAAAATCATTTCCCAAATCAAGACAGAAATAGAGGAGAATGTTGAAATAGTAGTAGAAACAACGATTTGTATGTCATTTTAAAAACTTAACTCAAAAACCTAAGCCTGTTCACTGTTTGCATGGAGCATGCCAGTGGCAGGAGAATGGTCAGCTGATCACATCACCCCTGTGTGGACAGGGACCTACTCTGGCTTATGTGGCCCAAAGCTTCCTGTTGTCCAGACAAGGGCATGGGCAGTACTGAGACAGCATCTTCATGGCAATATTTGGGAGATGGGTTAAGTTAAATCTGGACTAACTTGTTTATATCTAAAGAAAGTCAGCCAGGGGTGACCTAAAATGCCAGTCCAATGTAGGACTGAGGACAATTAGAAAACAGGCTGTCTCCACTTTGTAATTTAATTTTTTTTCTGATCTGGTAAAATGTTACATAGAGTTGGCTTTTCTCATGCAGCTTGTTGTTTCTCTTCTTAGTGAGGATGAGGAGCCTACCTTGGTGATTTAGATGCACCACCCTGCTTCTCTCTGTTTTTGAGGAGTACATGTGGTTACGTTCACCCCAAGGAAAACAAGGAGCATTGTGACTGCTGATTTCATATACCATCTATGTAACTGCTTCCAAAAGCATTGAATTTAAATCAAATGCATTTTCTTATCTCATAGATTTTGCTTAGAGCAAAAATGAGACCTTTAGACAAGAGAAAGAAAAGTGTCCTAGTGACACAGAAATCCAGACATTCCTACCAGGAAGATGACATCTTATTTTGTTTCTTTCTTCCAGGATTGCATCAGCTTGGGTTCAGGAGAGCCAAATAGGAGTTCCTACCACTCCTTTGTCCTCTACCACAGTAATAGTCCTCGCTGGGGAGAAATTATCAAATTGCCTATCCCCATTGACCGGTTCCGGGGCTCCCACCTGCGCTTTGAGTTCAGACATTGTTCCAGTGAGTTAGACTTCCCCCCCTCCACATTCCCTTGAGAATATAAATATAACTCTCTCCTCTCTTGAACAGAATTAAGTGGATTCTTATTTGGGCAAGAAAATGAAGAGTTAGGAATAAACAGCTACTCAGAGATGGGATGTCACCAGAGGCTGTTCTTGGGACTATAAAAGCAGTGATTCAAAACCACAAAGTCTTGTGTTGGCCCTTCCTGGTGTCTGACCTAGTGTCTGAAATTATTATCCATTGTCATTCTCCTTTGAGTATTCCTTTGTACCATTATTAAACTGCTTATTAAAGAGACCCTAGTTCATCAAGACCAGCAATTTAGTTTCTTTTTGGGTCTAGGTAGCCTATATGCCTTGAGTATGAATGGAAACTCATTTCAGCACATTTCTCATCATTCCTGCAGTCAGGTTGCCACCTAGTTAATGAAAGAGGCGAGGAACAAAAGAGCATAGGTGATAAGCACAAGGAGAATTTCCATGAGGAAGCAGAGTGGAAGGCAAAAAACAACTAATACTTGGCTCTGATTACAGCAAAGGACAAAGGGGAAAAGAAACTCTTTGGCTTTGCATTCTCAACCCTGATGCGTGATGATGGCACCACCCTCTCAGATGATATTCACGAGCTTTATGTGTACAAGGTATGAAGCCTAGCTGCCTTTCATCCCCACCCCTTACCTGCCCTGAGGCCACTCTCACACATGGTTCTCAGTTAGGTGGTTTTCACTGGGCAGGCCAGAAGACCAAGGGAAGTGCACTGGTGGGTGACAGTGGGACATCTGTGGGCAGGCTTCTGTCTTCTAAGTGCGGTGGCCGTCCTCCCACAAGTAACGCCAACAGGTTCTTTGTTTTCTACTTCTCACTTCACTGGATGGAAATCCATTACCAACCCCTCATTGCCATTGTGGTCTTGTTTAGTACATTCTTAGACCTGCTATTTGAGATCATGGTACTGTCAACTGTCATAGCATAGCTGCCACCCAAGGTTACTTGCACATCAGGTGGCAACCACATGCCCCACCATATTCTGTTTAAAAGGCACATGAGCTGTTCTAGGGAGTTTCTGAACAGAAAGTACTCTTCCAAGAGGACCTGAGGCCCAACGTTCAGCCTTAGGAAGATGAGAGCAAGTATCAGCCCAGAAATTCCTAGGACCTGGTTTTTGCATGTTGCATGGCTCAGGGGACATTTTTTTCTCCATTTTTGCCTACAGTGTGATGAGAATAGCACGTTTAATAACCATGCTCTGTACCTGGGCCTGCCCTGCTGCAAAGAGGACTACAATGGCTGCCCTAATATTCCTTCTAGCCTCATCTTCCAGCGCAGCACCAAAGAGTCTTTCTTCATCTCCACTCAGCTCTCCTCTACCAAACTCACCCAGAATGGTAGGTGATAATGCCTGCAGGGTGGTGCCCTCCACCCTCCTCCATTGTTCACTCCACACTACTAGCGCATGTGAAGGGAGAGATAAATTATTCCTTCTTGATGCCATAATAATGGGCTTCTTTTCATTTGAAGTTGAAGCGATCACTCAGCAATAGCAGCCTACAAGGTTTTTCATGGTTTTAGTAGCTCCACAGTACATCCAGAGTTTACAGATGAGTCTTTGGCCTTAGACTCAGTCTGTGGTGATGCTTGCAGCTAGTTCTGTTCCTCTAGATTCCACCTGTCCTTGACTGGGAGAGTCTGGGCCTTGCTTGACCTTAGAATAGCCAGGGTTTGGCCATGTGCGGTGGCTCATGCCTGTAATCCCAGCACTTTGGGAGGCCGAGGCGGACAGATCACTTGAGGTCAGGAGTTCAAGACCAGCCTGGCCAACATGGTGAAACACCATCTCTACTAAAAATACGAAAATTACCTGGACATGATGGCGCATGCCTGTAATCCCAGCTACTCAGGAGGCTGAGGCAGGAGAATCACTTGAATTCGGGAGGCGGAGGTTGCAGTGAGCTGAGATCATACAACCGCACTCCAGCCTGGGCAACAGAGTGAGACTCCGTCTAAAAAAAAAAAAAAGAATATCCAGGTTTCAAGGGTTCCTCATCTTTTGGGCTTGCTTTCTAGTGGACCTCCTAGCTCTGCTGAAGTGGAAAGCCTTCCCCGACCGGATCATGGATGTACTAGGGCGGCTGCGGCATGTCAGTGGGGAGGAAATTGTTAAGGTATGTCTTCCATATAATTTAAACATACTGCATGAGGAAGAATCTGGGCAGAAGACCTTACTTTGTCATGATTTTTGCCAATAACCGTCTGAGACTGTTTCATCAGATTTTTGTTGTTGTTGTTGTTGTTGTTAGCTTCCTTTTCCTCTTTTGGTATGCTTTTATTTTTTATTTTATTTTTAACTGACAAATAATAATTATTTATCTGTATGGGATACAATATGATGTTTTAACAGTGCAGAATATATGTTCACAAAGTAGAATGATTGCAGAATGACCACAACCTTCCCTCAGCCTCTGGTATTCCTCATTGCACGTTCTACTTCTATGTGTTCAGTTTTTTGTATTCCGCATATAAGTGTGATCGTGTGGTCTTTCTGTGCCTGACTTATTTCACTTAGCTTAATGTCCTCCAGTTGTATCCATGTTGTCTCAAATGACAAGATCTCTCCCATTTTAAGGCTGAATAGCATTCCATTGTGTTTATATGCCATGTTTTCTTTTTTTATTTTATAATTTCAGCTTTTATTTTAGATTTAGTGGGTACATGTGCAGGTTTGTTACGTAGATGCATTACATGATGCTGAGGTTTGAGATACAAATGATCTGATCACTGAGGTAGTAAGCATAGTACCCAGCAGTTTTTCAACCCTTGTCCCTGTCCCTCCCCACTCTAGTAGTCCCCAGTGTCTACTGTTACCATTTTTATGTCCACGAGTACCTAATGTTTAGCTCCCAGTTACAAGTGAGAACATGCAGTATTTGGTTTTTCTGTTCTTGCTAGTTTCTGTAGAATAATGAGCTCCAGCTGCATCCATGTTGCTGCAAAGGACATGATTTTCTTTTTTTTTATCTGCATGGTATTCCATGGTGTACATGTACCACATTGTCTTTTTGTTGTTGTTGTTGTTTTGTTTTGTTTTTTTGAGACAGAGTCTCACTCTGTCGCCAGGCTGGAGTGCAGTGGCGCAATCTCGGCTCACTGCAACCTCTGCCTGCCCGGTTCAAGCGATTCTCCTGCCTCAGGCTCCAGAGTAGCTAGGACTACAGGCGCGTGCCACCACGCCCAGCAAATTTTTGTATTTTTAATAGAGATGAGATTTCACCATGTTGGCCAGGATGGTCTCGATCCCTTGACCTCGTGATCCATCCGCCTTGGCCTCCCAAAGTGCTGGGATTACAGGCATGAGCCACCGCGCCCGACCTATGTACCACATTTCCTTTATCCAGTTCACTGTTGATGGGCACCTAGATTGATTCCATGTCTTATGTTATTGTGAATAATACCGTGATGAACATTTGAGTGCATGGGTCTTTTTGGTAGAATGATTTTTTTTTTTCTTTTGGATATATACACAGTAATAAGATTGCTGGGTCAAATGTTAGTTCTAAGTTTTTTTTATAAATCTCCAAACTGCTTCCCACAGGAGCTAAACTAATTTACATTCCCACCAACAAGGTATAAGAGTTCCCTTTTCTCTGCAGCTTCGCCAGCATCTGTTATTTTTTGACTTTTTTTTTTTTTTTTTTTTTTTTTGAGACGGAGTCTTGCCCTGTTGCTCAGGCTGGAGTGCAGTGGCATGATCTTGGCTCACTGCAACCTCCGCCTCCTGGGTTCAAGTGATTCTCCTACCTCAGCCTCCCAAGTAGCTGGTATTACAGGCATGTGCCACCATGCCTGGCTAATTTTCATATTTTTAGTAGAGACACGGTTTTGCCATGTTGGCCAGGCTGGTCTCCAACTCCTGACCTCAAGTGATCTGCCTGCCTCAGCCTCCCAAAGTGCTGGGATTACAGAAGTGAGCCACCACACCCAGGCTTTTTGACATTTTAATAGTCACTCTGACTGTTGTGAGATAGTATCTCATTGTGGTTTTGATTTGCAGTTCTCTGATGATTAGTGATAATCAGCATTTTTATATGTTTATTGGCCACTTTATTGTATGTCTTCTTTTGAGAAGTGTCTGTCCATGTCTTCTGCTCACTTTTTAATGGAATTGTTTTTTGCTTGTTGAGTTGTTTGAGTTCCTTATATATTCTGGATATTAGTCATTTGTCAGATGCATAGTTTGCAAATATTTTCTCCCATTCTGTAGGTTGTCTGTTTACTCTGTTGATAGTTTCTTTTGCTAGGCAGAAACTCTTTAGTTTAATTAAAGTCACGTTTGTCAATTGTTTTTGTTGCAATTGCTTTTGAGGACTTAGTGATAAGTGATTTCCTAAGGCCAATGTCCAGAATGGTGTTTCCTAGGTTTTCTTCTAGGATTCTTATAGTTTGAGATCTTACACTTAAATCTTGAATCCATCTTGAGTTCATTTTTGTTCATAGTGAAAGTAGGGGTCCAGTTTCATTCTTCAGCATGAATAATGTACTAGCTGCAGCATGTCAGTGGGAAGGAAATTGTTAATTTCCACACAATGTAAATATACTGCCTGAGGAAGAATGTTCTTACCTCTACCTTAACTGTTTCTAGCCAGCTATCTCAGCACCATTCATTTTTTGCCAATTGTTACACTCTCTTTTTTATGTTTTTTTTTATAGTTATTGGGATACAGGTGGTTTTTGGTTACATGGATGAGTTCTTTATTTGTGAATTCTGAGGTTTTGGTGCACCTATCACCCAAGCAGTGTACACTGTACCCAATATGTTGTCTTTTATCCCTCACTACCTTCCTAATGGTTGGTTCCATATCCTTGCAGATGCGAATTGTGCTGCCATAAATATGCATGTGCGTGTATCTTTTTCATGTAATGGCTTCTTTTCCTTTGGGTAGATTCCTAGTAGTGGAATTGCTGGATTGAATGGTAGATCTACTTTTAGTTCTTTAAGGAATCACCATACTGTTTTCCATAGTGGTTGTACTAATTTGCATTCCCACCAGCAGTATAAAAGTATTCCCTTTTCACCACATCCACACCCACTTCTGTTGTTTTTTGACTTTTCAATTATGGCCATTCTTGCAGGAGTAAGGTGGTATCTCATTGTGGTTTTAGTTTGTGTTTCCCTGATGATTAATGATGGTGAACATTTTTTCATATGTTTGTTGGCTGTTTGTATATCTTCTTTGGAGAAATGTCTATTCATGTCCTTTGTCCACTTTTTGATGGGATTATTTGTGGTTTTTTGCTGATTTGTTTGAGCTCCTTGTAGATTCTGGATACTAATCATTTGTTGCATGCATGGTTTGCAAATATTTTCTCACACTGTGAGGGTTGTCTGTTTACTCCACTGATATTTCTTTTGCTGCTAGCACCATTTATTGAGTATGGAGTCCTGTCCCTGTTGTTATTTTTGTTGATTTTGTCAAAGACCAGATGGCTGTAGGTAGGCCATTTTATTTTGAGGCTCTCTGTTGTGTTCCATTGGTCTGTGTGTCTTTTTTTATACCAGTATGATGCATTTTTGGTACTGTAGCCTTGTAGTATAGTTTGAAATGGGGTGATGTGATGCCTGCAGCTTTGTTCTTTTTGCCAAGGCTTGCTTTGGCTATTTGGACTCTTTTTCAGTTCTGTATTAATTTTAGAATAGTTTCTTCTAATTCTGGGAAAAATTATGTTGGTAGTTTGATAGGAATAGTGTTGAATCTATAGATTGCTTTGGGCAGTATGGCCATTTTAACAATATCGATTCTTCCAACCCATGAGCACGGAAGGTTTTTCCATTTGTTTGTGTCATTTATTATTTCTTTTAGCAGTATTCTTTCTTTCTATCTATCTATCTATCTATCTATCTATCTATCTATCTATCTATTTATTTATTTATTTATTTATTTGAGATGGAGTCTTCCTCTGTTGCCCAGGCTGGAGTACAATGGCGTGATCTCGGCTCACTGCAACCTCTGCCTCCCAGATTCAAGTGATTCTCCTGCCTCAGTCTCCCAAGTAGCTGGGATTACAGGCATGTGCCACCACGCCTGGCTAATTTTTTTTGTATTTTTAGTAGAGACAAGGTTTCACCGTGTTAGTCAGGCTGGTCTTGAACTCCTGACCTAAAGTGATCCTCCCATCTCGGCCTCCCAAAGTGCTGGGATTTCAGGCCTGAGCCACCACGCCCATCCTCTTTCAGCAGTACTCTGTAATTATGCTTGTAGAGGTCTTTCACCACTTTGGTTAGATGTATTCCTAGGTATTTTTTGTGTATGGCTACTGTAAACGCAATTGCATTCTTGATTTGGCTTTCAGCTTGAACGTTGTTGGTGTAGAGAAAAGCTACTGGCTTTTTTAACATATACCACATTTTCTTAATCCATTCATCTGCTGATCAACACCTAGATTGTTTCCATATCTTAGCTATTAACAATTTTGCAGTGAACATGGAAGTGCAGACCTCTCCCATGTTCTGAAGATGTCCAAGACATCTTCAACATACTGATTTCAATTTCTTTGGACATATACCCAGTAGTGGGATTGCTGGCTTATATGGTAATACTATTTTTAGTTTTCTGAGAAACCTCTATACTGTTTTCCATAATGGCTGTATTAATTTACATTCTCATCAACAGTGCATAAGAATTCCTTTTTCTCCACATCCTCACCAACACTTGTTATGTTTTATCTTTTGGTAATAGCTCTCCCAACTGGGATGAGGTGACATCTCATTGTGGTTTCAATTTGCATTTCCCTGATGATTAGTGATGATGAGCATTTTTTCATATATTTGTTGGCCATTTGTGTATCTTCTTTTGAGAAATGTCTACTTAGGTCCTTTTTCCCATCTTTTTGATTGCGTTGTTTTCTTGCTAGTGAGTTGTTTGAGTTCCTTATACATTTTGGATATTAGTTCCTTATCAGAGATACATGGTTTGGAAATATTTTCTCCCATTCCATGAGTTGTCTGTTTCCTGTATCAGTTTTTGTTTTTGTTGCCTTTGCTTTGGGGGTCATACTCAAGGAATCATACTTTGGGATTTTTTTGTTAGCTCCTTTTTTAAAAAGGTATATAGCATATCAGTTTATTAACTTTTAAAAACTATATTTAAGCCTGATATCTTTCTGGCTCTACTCTCCTGATTTTAAGAACTCTAAATACTGCTCATTAACTTGTACCTGCTGATTTTGTCTAGTCTCTCACTTGGAGTCCATAATACCTTCCTTCCTTACCCCTATGTTAACTGCCTTCTCCAAGTACCTTTGTGACATTTCCTATCTAATGGCTTTAGCAGGCTGACATCAACACTGCCAGTCCCCAGTTGCCTTCATAGGGCTTTTCTGGGCAGAGTGTTTCCCCTTAGCTCAATAAAAACCCCAGGCACTTCCTGGTGGTGAAAGCCCATCAGGTGAATCCTACACAGTGGACTGAATTCTACTGAAGAAAATGGAAGTATTTTTGGTTATCAGTAAGAGTAATGGAATGTAGGCTAGAGATTAAATCTGGAGAAGGCATCCTGTCCATAATGAACATTCTTAGCTTTGCCATCACAAGCGTCAAATGAATTAGCACAAATGCACCACCTAACTTTGCTTTCACAGCTCCATTAACTCAATAATACACAACACAGTGTTTCCAAGTCAGGAACAGTTTTAAAGTCTGTGTACCACTGTGTACTTTCATGAAGTTGATGTATGAATTTTGTTTTAATTATGTGATCAGATTATCATAAAAATTTTTTAACTCTTCAAAGCAATCTAATGCTAGTTTTGAAACTTAAGATAAATTCATACTCATATTTTCCTTCTAAGAATATTGAAAATATCAACCAGTAAACGAGGTATTAAGAAGTCTGTTGTCTTTTCAAGGGTGAGCTTTTATATTCCTGAGAAGAGAACATCCTACCAGCATATCTAGTTTTAGCATCAATAATTTGTCTCCAGCTAGCTAGAAGACAATGTAAAGAGAATGTGATAGCATTTTGAAATATTTTTTACTTCTTATTGGAAGATTTCAAGCATATGCAGAAGTATACAGAATAGTATAAAGAACCTTAGATGTATCTCTGACCCAACCCCAAAGACCATTAACCCATGGCCAGTCTTGACCCATCATTATTACCCCTATCTACACCTTCTACCTCATATTTTTCAGAAATGAATTGTAAACATTGTATCTTTTAAACTGGAGGAAGGATAGACTTGATTTTTGAAGGCTGCAAGTGTCCATCAATATTTATTATTCTCTTCCTTTGTTTTTGCATCTCAGAAATAGGCACATGTTGAAACAACAACAAAAATACTGCCACATTTTTTACCCCCATTGACAGCCCTCATTGACTGCATTCTCCATTCTTCTGTAATACTAATTCTTAGACCAAAAAATAGTGTCTGTAGGTAAAGCCTAACTTGCCACACCCTTATCAAATATACTCTATATTGTTAGGCCACAGTAGAGAGCAAGAGACTACTGAACTTTTGGGGATACCAGTAAGCTCTTTTTCTCAAAATAAATTTGGCATCAGTATCACTTAGATTGTTTTTATATCAAAATTGCTATTCTGCATAGGTGTCCTATGGTTTTTAGGGCATTGCCCTTTCCTTAGAAATGTATCACTCACCCAACAGGAAGAGCCTCTCTAAGTCTTTCTTGGGGCCCTTTGGGCTATAAGCCAACACCTCAAGTGCACCTAGTTATCACTTAGCTGGGTGGAGGGTCAGGGTACTAGTACGATGATTTTTAAGTGGTATTTTGAGATCCTAAGAGATCTTTCACTTTTTTATTGGAAGTTAAATTCATTGATTTATGGAAGTTTGTGCGTGTAAGGTCCTGAGACCTGAGCCCTCTGCTTTTTATGTTGTTTTAGTTTCTGCAGGACATCTTAGATACACTCTTTGTGATTTTGGATGATAATACAGAGAAGTACGGCCTGTTGGTTTTTCAGTCTCTGGTAAGTCACCTTCCTGACTCTTTACTTTTATTAATTATTCCTGTCATATATTTCAGAAAATTTAAGGGAAGCAATTTATTAGAGTGAATCAGCACAAGATATAGATGTTTCCAATAGAAAAGGGACTAAGGACTGTCACCCAAGGAAGACCAAGCAACCAACCAGGCAGATCAAACTTGAAGAATCCAACACAATCAAGTCCAGACCTTGACTTTATAGTTTCTGGATCTTCCATCTCATCACTATTGCAGTATGCCTGGCCCATGAAATAGTGACCTCCATGAGGTCAGAAACCCAGAGAGTAATACAAGAAATCAGATGGCTCATTTTTTCACTTACAAAGTAGGATATAACCATCATGAAAAGCAGAGACTTACCCATGCTGGTCTCTAGAGACCTGTGCAGGTCCAGAATCTATGCAGTTGTTTCAGAACTAGAGTCTCAGAAGGTTGGTTAATGAAAATGGACAGTGATTTGAATGTTTAGTGCATTTTGCCTAATATATCCAGTCCCACAGAGAGCCATACATTCAAGAAGAGTCAGATACTCTCATAGATAAGGAGCAGAGGTGAGAGTTGCAATGAGTACTTGCATAGTTTGCCCCTCCGGCTCTTCTTCTTCCTAATTTGCCTGTCCACCAGCCCCATTTCTGAAGGATACAGAGTTTCATAGGCTGATTTGGCTCAGAGGACAAGCTTTTTTTCCTCTCTTTTCCACGTTTTTGGGAATACCTTATTGTTTATGCCATCTACACGCATATTGTTTTGCCTTTCCCTGATCTGTATTGTACCACCCAGCATTATTGTGAAGGGAGAGGCTCACAGTAAATACAGGAAGAGACTGATGAGCCCGGGTCTGAATTAGGAGGCTGGGGTGTTAGAGAAAAGACAAGACAGAAATACAGACACAGAATGGAAATCTTACATTCACTACCCATGGGGAATGCTAGAGGACAGCACTGACAATTTGCCATTATTTGGAGAAGGAAGACTCTGTTTCCTGCTGGGGATAGATCTGAGGCCTCCAGTGAACCCTGATGGCTTACTCTCCATATCTCCCAGGTGTTCATCATCAACCTGCTCCGAGACATCAAGTATTTTCACTTTCGACCTGTGATGGACACGTATATCCAGAAGCACTTTGCTGGAGCTCTGGCATACAAGTAAGTTCCATTTGGTATCATCATTAGGACTCGTGTTTGAGTAGAAATATAGGCTTTAAAAAAGTTTAGCTGCAACCAGCATTTAAAAAGTTCAGCTGACTTTTTAAAAATTTTATATTTTTAATTGTGATAAAATACACATAACACAAAATTGACCATCTTAACCATTTTCTGAGTGTAGGGTTCAGTGACTTTAAGTACATTCACATCATTGTACAACCATCACCAGAACTCTGTCCATCTCCAAAACTCTTTTCCTGTTACAAAACTGAAATATTGTAATCATTAAAAATAACTCCCCATTCTCCCCTCCCCTATCCCCTGGCACCCACCATTCTATTCTACTTTCTGTCTCTATGAATTTGACTACTTTAGGTACCTCATGTAAGTGTAATCACAATATTTGTCCTTTTGTGAGTAGCTTATTTCACTCAGCATAATGTCTTCAAGGCTCATCCATGTTTTAGCATGGGTCAGAATTTCATTCCTTTCAAAGACTGAATAATGTTCCATTGTATATATTTACCACTTTTTTTTTTTTTTTTTTTTTTTTTTTTTTTTTTTTTTTTTGAGATGGAGTCTTGCTCTGTCACCCAGGCTGGAGTGCAGTGGCGCAATCTTGGCTCACTGCAAGCTCTGCTTCCCGGGTTCACACCATTCTCCTGCCTCAGCCTCCCGAGTAGCTGGGACTGCAGGTGCCCACCACCACACCTGGCTAATTTTTTGTATTTTTAGTAGAGTCAGGGTTTCACCATGTTAGCCAGGATGGTCTTGATCTCCTGACCTCATGATCCACCTGCCTTGGCCTCCCAAAGTGCTGGGATTACAGGCGTGAGCCACCGCGCCTGGCTGGGTTTTTTTGTTTGTTTTTTAATTTTATTTTAAGTTCAGGGGTACATGTGCAGGTTTGTTATATAGGTAAATTTGTGTCATGGAGGTTTGTTGTATAGATTATTTCATCACCTAGGTATTAAGCCTAGTACCCATTAGTTATTTTTCCTGATCCTCTCCGTCCTCCTACCCTCTACCCTCCGATAGGCCTCGGTGTGTTTTGTTCCCCTCTATGTGTCCATGCATTCTCGTCATGTAGCTCCCACTTATAAGTGAGAACATGTGGTATTTGGTTTTCTGTTGCTGTGTTAGTTTGCTAAGAATAATGGTCTCCAGCTTCATCCATGTTTCTGCAAAAGACATGATCTCATTCTTTTTTATGGCTGCATAGTATTCCATGGTATATATGTACCACATTTTCTTTATCCAGTCTACCATTGATAGGCATTTAGCTTGATTCCATGTCTTTGCCATTGTGAACAGTGCTGCAATGAACCTATGCAAGCATGTGTCTTTATGGTAGAACAATTTATATTACTTTGGGTTTATATACAGTATTGGGATTGCTGGGTCAAATGGTAGTTCTGTTTTTACGTCTTTGAGAAATTGCCACACCGCTTTCCACAATGGTTGAACTAATTTACACTACCATCAACAGTATATAAGCATTCATTTTTCTCTGCAACCTTGCCAGCATCTGTTATTTTTTGACATTTTAATCATAGCCATTCTGGCCGGTGCAGGATGGTATCTTGTACCCCAAAGATAAAGCGTACTTTTTATTTATTTATTTATTTATTTATTTAGAGACAGAGTCTCACTCTGTCACCTAGGATGGAGTAGAGTGGCGCAATCTTGGCTCACTGTAACCTGCGCCTCCTGGGTTCAAGCGATCCTTCTGCCTCAGCCTCCTGAGTAGCTGGGACTACAGGCATATGCCACCACACCTGGCTAATTTTTGTATTTTGAGTAGAGACGGGGTTTCACCATGTTGGCCAGGCTGGTCTCCATCTCCTGACCTGCCTCGGCCTCCCAAAGTGCTGGGATTACAGGTGTAAGCCACTGTGCCCAGCCACTGGCCTCATTTCTTTGTGCATTTGGTACAATTTGGCTGTGAATCTGTCTGGTCCTGGGTTTTTTTTTTGTTTGTTTGTTTTTTGTTTTTTTTGTTTTTTTTTAGTTGGTAGGCTGTTACTGACTCAAGTTCACAGTTTATTATTGGTCTGTTTGGGGATTCCATTTCTTCTTGGTTCACTCTTGGGAGAGTGTTTGTGTCCATGAATTTATTTATTTCTTCTAGATTTTTTAGTTTATGTGCATAAAGATGTTCATAATATTCTCTGATGGTTATTTGTATTTCTGTGGGGTCAAAGGGAATATCCCCCTTTTCATTTCTGATTGTATTTATTAGAATATTCTCTTTTTTCTTCTTTATTAGTCTAGCTAGCAGTCTATTAATTGTTTTCAAAAAATCATCCCGGATTCATTGATCTTTTGAATGGTTTTTTGTGTCTCAATCTCCTTTGGTTCAATTCTGATTTTGGTTATTTCATGTCTTCTGCTAGTTTAGGAATTGGTTTGCTCTTAGTTCTCTAGTTCTTTTAGTTGTGATGTTAGGCTGTTAAATTGAGATCTTTCTAACTTTTTGATTTGGGCATTCAGTGCTATAAATTTCCCTCTTAACAATGCCTTACCTGTGTCCCAGAGATTCTGGTATGCTGTATCTTTATTCTAATTAGTTTCAAAGAACTTGTTGATTTCTGCCTTAATTTCATTATTTACCCAGAAGTTATTCAGGAGCAAGTTATTGCATTTCCATGTAATTTTATGGTTTTCAGTGAATTTCTTAGTCTTGATTTCTAATTTGATTGTGCTGTGGTCTGAGAGAGTATGATTTCAGTGATTTTGCTGAGGAGTGTTTTGTGTCCCAATTATGTGGTCAATTTTAGACTATGTGCCATGTGGCAATGAGACAAATGTATGTTCTCTTGCTTTTGAGTGGAGTGTTCTGTAGATGTCTATCAGGTCCATTTGATCTAGTGCTGAGTTAGGTCCTGATATCTTTGTTAATTTTCTGTCTTGATGATCTGTCTAATACTGTCAGTGTGGTGTTGAAGTCTCCCTCTATTATTGTGTAGGAGTCTTAAGTCTCTTTGAAGGTCTCTAAGAACTTCCTTTATGAATCTAGGTGCTCCTGTGTTGGGTGCATATATACTTAAGAGAGTTAGGTCTTCTTGTTGAACTCTTCAACATTATGTAATACCCTTCTTTGTCTTTTGCAGTCTTTGTTGGTTTGAAATCTGTTTTGTTTGAAATCAGGATTGCAACCCCTACTATTTTTCTGTTTTCCATTTGCTGGGTAGATTTTTCTCCATCCCTTTATTTTGAGCCTATCTGTGTCACTGCATGTGAGATGGGTCTCTTTGAAGACAGCTTATGAATGGGTCTTGGTTCTTTATCCAGCTTGCCACTCTATGCCTTTTAATTGGGAAATTTTATCCATTTATATTCAAAGTTAGTATTGATATGTGTGGATTTGATCCTGTTATGATGTTAGCTGGTTATTTTGCAGACTTGTTTATGTAGTTGCTTTATAATGTCACTGGTCTGTGTACTTGTGTGTTTTTGTCATGGCTGGTATTGGTCTTTTCTTTGCGTATTTTGTGCTTCCTTCGGGAGCTCTTGTAAGGCAGGTCTGGTGGTAACAAATTCCTTCAGCATTTGGTTGTCTGAAAAGGATCTTATTTCTCCTTCGCTTATGAAGCTTAGTTTGGCTGGATATGAAATTATTTATTGGAATTTCTTTTCTTTAAGAATGTTGAATATTGGCCCCCAGTCTCTTCTTGCTTGTTTCTACTGAGAGATCCACTTTTAGTCTCATGAGCTTCCCTTTGTAGGTGACCTGATCCTTCTCTCTAAATGCCTTTAACATTTTTTCTTTCATTTTGACCTTGGAGAATCTGATGAATATGTGTCTTGGAGATGATCTTCTTGTGAAGTATTTTACTGGGGTTCTCCGCATTTCCTGAATTTGAATGTTGCCCTTTCTAGCTAGGTTGGGGAAGTCTTCATGGATGATATCCTGAAATATGTTTTCTAAGTTGGTTCCATTCTCCCCGTCTATTTTAAGGACACCAGTGAGTTGTAGATTTGGTCTCTTTACATAATCCCATATTCCTCGGAGGTTTTGTTCATTCATTTTCATTCTTTTTTCTCTGTTCTTGTCTGACTGTCATATTTCAGAAGGCCAGTCTTCAAGCTCTGAGATTCTTTCCCGAACTTGGTCTATTCTGCTGTTAATACTTGCAATTGCATTCTGAAATTCCTGTAGAGTGTTTTTCAGCTCTGTCAGGTCAGTTACATTCTTTTCTATACTAACTATTTTGTCTGTCAGCTCCTGCATTGTTTTATCATGATTTTTAGCTTCCTTGGATTAGCTTTCAGTGTACTCCTGTAGCTCAATGATCATCATTCCTATCCATATTCTGAATTCTATTTCTGTCATTTCAGCCCTCTCAGCCCAGTTCAGAACCCTTGCTGGAGAGGTGATGCAGTCATTTGGAGGAAAGAAGGCTTTTTGAGTTGCCAGGGTCCTTGTGCTGGTTCTTTTTCATCTTTGTGGGCTTGTCACTCTTCAGTCTTCGAGGTTGCTGTCCTTTGGATGGTTTTTTTTTTCCCTTTTATCCTGTTTGATGACCTTGAATGTTTGATTATGGTATAAAGTGGATTCAGCCAGCTGGATTCATTTCTGGAACATTTTAGGGGACAGTGCTCAGCTCTCAACTCCTGGACTGTGCACTCTAACACAACTTGGGGACTGGTATTGGGCCCCAGCTTTGTTCTCTGGCTCCTTAAGGTTAGGAATCCACTGTACTGGGTAGGCCGAGATGCTCCCAGACTGCTGGCCATTCCACTTTGGCTGGGTGGTATAAGCCAAAGTGGTTCATAGTGCAGTGACAGCTGGATCTATCCCTGTTCACATGTGCCAGCAGCAGTGGGTACAGCAGCTGTGGCAGAGTCACCTGTGGCAGAGTGCTAGCAGATGCCAGTGTCAGGGTACCTGCCTCCCTGCAGGCATTGACCAAGGTGGCAGAGGCAACATGGCTGGGCAGAGCTGGGGCCCCTACTGGCAACTTTTGTGCAGTCACGGTAGAGATGGTGATGGCTCAGGGTTGGGACACTGAAGGTCTGGGTGCCTCCTCTGTGTCCTGCAAGCAGAAGTAGTCACTCAGGATAGGGGAGGATCTGCTATTCTCTGCACAGTGTTAGAGCAAGGGTGGGGCACTGACAAGGACGGGGCTGGCTGGCTCTGTGCCCACCAAGGCTCCATCTGCAATGGTGGTGGGAGCAGGGGACAGGCTGCACTCTTACATGCTAGCCCACTTTTTAATGGAAAAAGGAAAGCAAAACCTGCCAGTACAGACACAAGCCAGTAAAGCATTGTGGAGAGTTGCAGTGGGTCCTGGGGAAGCTGCAGTATGGGGAGGGGGCATGCAGGCTAGTGCGTGGCATAGGGTCGCACCAGTGGAGCTCTCCCCCATCAAGCATGGTCTGTGTAGAAGCTATGACATGGGGCCCCCAGGTCACCTGAGGCTGCCCTGCAAGCAGGTATGGCCAGACTTGGGCCCTAGGAGAGGCCAGCCAACCAAGGGGTGCTCAGGATAGACCAGCCCCATCTGATGGGCAAGACCGCCCTGCAGAGTTCAGGACCAACAGTTCCCCTAGGACTGAAGTCTCCCACGGGAGCAAGTCAAGCCTAGGGGGATGGCCATCCCTGGCTGTGCACCACTACAGACACTCCCATACCAAACCCCCTGGGCTCCACATCATCTGGTTTGCTACCCCTACCACTTCTCTAAGCAGCTCTCCCTGCCAACTCAAGTATCTGTGGTGGTTGAGGGCTCTCCTTCTGCCAGGGTTCCAGAGGCCATTAGTAAGAGCAAGTTGCTTCTTAATAGTTCACTCACCTTTCCTCCAGAGCCATCGAGGGCCAGGCTATTTTCTGGGTTTTTTTTTTTATAGTGGCCACCCTAATGGGTGTAAAGTGATATTTCTTTATGTTTTTTATTTGTGTTTCCCTAATTATCTTCCTTTGAGAAATGTGTATTCAAGTCCTTCACCCATTTTTTAAAAAGAGGTTATTTGTTTTATTGTTGAGTTATAGGAGTTCTTTATATATTCTGGATATTAACCCCTTATCAGTTATATGATTTATAAATATTTTTCCCAGTCACTTGGTTGCCTTTTCACTCTGTTGATTGTGTCCTTTGAGACACAGAAGTTTTTAAAGTTTTGATGTAGTCCACCTTATTTTTTGTTGTTGCCTGTGCTTTTGGTGTCATTTTCAAGAAATCATTGCCTAATATGAAGCTTTCACCTATCTTTTCTTTTAAGTGTTTTATAATTCTAGCCCTTAGATTTAGGTCTTTGATCCACTTTGAGTTAATTTTTGTATATTGTATAAGATAAGTGTCTGACTTCATTCTTTTTGCATGTGGATATCCAATTTCCCAGTTCCATTTATTGAAGCTGTCTTTTCCCCCACTGAATGGTCTTGGCATTCTTGTCAAAAGGGTGATACCCTGGCCCCTTGACCATATATGTGAGGCTTTACTTCTGGCCTATCTTTTCCCATTGTTTTATAAATATGTCTTTATGCTAATTCAACATTGTTTTGATTGCTGTAGCTTTGTGGTAAGTTTTGAAATCAGGAAGTATGAGACTGCAATTTTGTTCCTCTTTTTCAAGATGCTTTTGGCTATTCCAGGTCACTTGTGATTCCATATTAGGATGGATTTTTTTTTTTCTGCAAAAAATGCCATTGGAATTGTGTTAGGGATTGCATTGAATCTGTAGATCACTTTGGGTAGCATTTACATCTTTAATAACAATATTAAACCTTCTAATTAATGAATATAAGACGTATTTCCATTTATTGCTATCTTTTATTTCTTTAAGCAACATGTATAAAACTTTTGTCTCCTTAGTTAAATGTATCCTAAGTATTTTATTCTTTTTGATGCTATTGTAAATGGAATTGTCTTAATTTCATTTTCAGAATGTTCATTTTTAGCATATAGAAATGCATTTGATTTTTTGTGTTGATTTTGTGTCCTGCAACTTTACTGAATTTATTTATTAGTTCTAACAGGTTTTTTTGGGGATTCTTTAGGGTTTTCTACATATAAGATTATATCATTTGAAAACAGAGCATTTTATTCTTCCTTTTCAATTTGAATGTCTTTGATTTCTTTTTCTTGCCTAATTTCACTGGCTAGGATTTCCAGTGCTATGTTGAATAAAAGTGTCAAAAGTGAGGATTCTTATCTTATTTCTGATCTTAGAGGAAATGCTTTCAGTCTTTTACCATTATGTTTGATGTTAGCTGTGGGCTTTCAGCTGATATTTCAGACTATAGTTTGTTACATAGTTGCTATACTTCTACTTCTAGGAAATGATGGTAAAGCTGCTAAAGATGTCTTGGTTTTTCCATGAGAAACATTCGAATAGCTAAAATAGCACCCACAAAAAAATGTCAAAGAATATAAAAAGACAGTCCATAAAAGAGATTATATAACTAATAAACAAATATGAGAAACACAGGTTATCTAAGACCATTAAAGCAAGCCAGGCATGGTGGCTCATGCCTGTAATCCCAGCACTTTGGGAGGCTGAGGCGGGTGGATCACTTGAGGCTAGGAGTTCGAGACCAGCCTGGCCAACATGGTGAAATCCCATCTCTACTAAAAATACAAAAATCAGCCATGCATGGTGCTGCATCCTCCCCTTCCTGTAATCCCGGCTGCTTGGGAGGCTGAGACACAAGAATTGCTTGGACCCTGGAGGTGGAGGTTACAATGAGCCGAGGTCGCGTCACTGCACTCCAGTCTGAGCGATAGAGCAAGTGTCTGTCTCAAAGAAAAAAATAAATAAGACCATTAAAGCAATAAGAAATCACCATTTTCTTTCTTTTTTTTTTTTTTTTTTGAGACGGAGTCTTGCACTGTCGCCTGGGCTGGAGTGCAATGGCCTGATCTTGGCTCACTGCAACCTCCGCCTCCTGGGTTCACACGATTCTTCTGCCTCAGCTTCCCAAGTAGCCGGGATTATAGGCGCACACCACCACACCCAGCTAATTTTTTTGTATTTTTAGTAGAGATGGGGTTTCACTATGTTGGCCAGACTGGTCTCAAACTCCTGACCTCGTGATCCACCCGCCTCAGCCTCCTAGAGTGCTGAGATTACAGGCGTGAGCCACCATGCCCAGCCAGAAATCACCATTTTCTTATACAGAATTAGCATAATTATTGAAAATATAAATAAAACCCAGTGGTGGCAAGGCTGTGGAGTCACTGAAACTCTGATACTTTGATGTCACTTTGGAGAGTGGACTGTTCTATGTGCTTTATATGCGTCTTTCTATTAGTATTTGTGATAACTTTGAGATGTACTATTTCCCCCATATTTTCATTGAAAAGAACGTGACACAGGGGATTAAATAACTCATTCAAGGATACAAAACTAGATATTGATAGGCCCCAGATGTGACCATGGCGTATACTCCTGACCTCTGTGCTTTGTTGCCATATAAATATGCAGACCTTCTGACCCAGTAATCTCATTCCATTCAGATGACTGAGTCCTAAGGAAATAAGATAGATGAGATAGAGCAGGGGTTGTGAACAGGGACTCCTGGGACTGCATACTTTTATTCAGAATCTACTATTTACTGGCTGGTGTCAGATGTTCTGAAAACCTAGCAATTTAAGACAAAACAAAAATACACATCCAGTCCAGGTCTTTAGGAAAACTTTTTTTTTTTTTTTTTTCAGATGAGATATTGTTCTGTTGCCCAAGCTGGAGTGCAGTGGCGCAGTCATGGCTCACTGCAGCCTTTACCTCCTGGGCTCAGTTGATCCACCTGATTCAGCCTCCTGAGTAGCTGGGACTACAGGCACGCACCACCATGCCTGGCTAATTTTTCTATTTTTTTGTAGAGATAAGGTTTCGCCATGTTCCCCAGACTTGGGTGGAAACTTTCTTGTAATCAAAAAGAAATGTATGTCAGAGAGAGTGGGAAAAAGTTATTTTAGTTGCTGATTAAAATGTGGCAACTCCTATGGACAAAGAGTGTTGTTTGTTCTCAGGTGACCTGAATAGTCCAAAGCTGTAATGGATCTATCACTCCTTTCTAGCTCATCAGCAGAATATTATTTCCTATTTGCCTAATTCAGGGCTACAGATGTTTCAAGCTGCATTACTTTTGAATTAAAGTGGGGTTTCTGGAACTGTTCTCTTTCCCAGGGAGCTCATCCGCTGTTTGAAGTGGTATATGGACTGCTCAGCAGAACTGATTCGACAGGACCACATTCAAGAAGCTATGCGGGTAATGTACTAACCTCTCCATACATAAGAGACCCACTCATGCAATTATTTGTGAGTAATCTCAGTGATACAATGTGCAGGACAAATGTAGACATCGCAGTACCTGGCCTGCTTTCAGGAATGACTGTCTTGATCCACATAATTTCTCTTTCCTTACCTTGATTTTGCCCCAGAAAGCTTTTATTCCTGATAATTTTAAAGAAGGAGGGAGAGATGATATGCACATGGCTCCTGGCTATCCTCCCCTGCCTGATTGTTACCCATAGTATCAGTCCTTTCTACCACTGGCTAAAGTATAGTAACTCCTTCTAAGCCAATGTTGGTGGCAACGTTGATTGAATTAGGATCCTCTAATAGTATTCTCTTTTTTGGTAGTTACTAAGCATAGATTTTTTGAACTGTTTTAAGTAAAAAGAGCTGAGTGGATGCACTGTATGTGGGTTTGTTCAGAAGAAGGGAATCTTAAAACTGTGGCCTTAGGAAGAACCTGTGGTCTTCCATGGTCGTGACCATTGTCAGCATCCCTGCTTGGACAGGTTCCCTGACAAGGCAGCCCTTTGTATTGCTGGGTAGCTCCAATTGACAGGGGACTGTTCTCATTTTGAGTTAACTCCACTGTCTGGTAACTTCTTTTCATGACTACTGTTCTGCTGTTAAAACAAACAAACAAACAAACAAAAAACAGTTTTGCTTTATTTCTGTCCTCTTTTAATATCACATCACCTGCAACAAGTACTGGACCTGTGTTTTTGTCCTTTTCCACATGTTTAACAGGTAACAGAATGTTTTCTCAAGCATTATCAGACTGAAGGGGCAAAATCAAATCATAGATTTGCATTTAGTCTTCCTCTTCTTTGCACATTCCGTAAAAATCTGAGGCTGCAAGGCTCATTTCTGTCCTCTTTCATACAAATGCCTACTGAGCATCTGTCCTAGGGGCTAAGATGCAACGATGAATAAGACCAGCCCATCTTCTTGAAGAACATATCCGCAGTATCCTAAGGGGAGGCACGAACACAAGTGTAGGGCAGGGTGCTGAGGCATGTGAGGAAAGGGCCTCGGTTCTCTTCTTCTCAGAACCCTAGCACCTGTCAGGTGCCTAACACAATATTTGAGTGGATAAAAGTTGAGTTAAATGCAAAAGATTCTATATGAGCCTGAAAAATAATTGCTTAAGGATACCGGAGAAGGCAGCGCAGAAGTTGTTTTCTCCTAAAAATCATTCGTTTAATCATTCAGTCAATGTTGCTTGATACCTACCATGCTTCAGACACTGTTCTAACCACTGGAGATTCAGCAGGGGCCCAAACAAAAATGGCTAGGGCTTCATAGTACTTTCATTCAAGTGGGGAAACACATACAATATATGTAAAACAGATAAATACATGTATTTATTCTAATCAATGTTGACACCAACATTGGCTTACAAAGTCAGTTTAAAAAACAAAACAGGACAGAGTGAGACTCCATCTTAAAAAGAAAAAGAGCTGATTCTCCTGCCTCAGCCTGCGGAGTGCCTGCAATTGCAGGCGCGCGCTGCCACGCCTGACTGGTTTTCGTATTTTTTTGGTGGAGACGGGGTTTCGCTGTGTTGGCCGGGCTGGTCTCCAGCTCCTAACCGCGAGTGATCCACCAGCCTCGGCCTCCTGAGGTGCTGGGATTGCAGACGGAGTGTGGTTCACTCAGTGCTCAATGGCGCCCAGGCTGGAGTGCAGTGGCGTGATCTCGGCTCGCTACAACCTCCACCTCCCAGCCGCCTGCCTTGGCCTCCCAAAGTGCCGAGATTGCAGCCTCTGCCCGGCCGCCACCCCGTCTGGGCAGTGAGGAGCGTCTCCGCCTGGCCGCCCATCGTCTGGGATGTGAGGAGCCCCTCTGCCTGGCTGCCCAGTCTGGAAAGTGAGGAGCGTCTCCGCCCGGCCGCCATCCCATCTAGGAAGTGAGGAGCGCCTCTTCCCGGCCGCCATCACATCTAGGAAGTGAGGAGCGTCTTTGCCCGGCCGCCCATCGTCTGGGATGTGGAGAGCACCTCTGCCCCGCCGCCCCGTCTGGGATGTGAGGAGCGCCTCTGCCCGGCCGCCACCCCGTCTGGGAGGTGAGGAGCGTCTCTGCCCGGCCGCCCCATCTGAGAAGTGAGGAGACCCTCCGCCCGGCAGCCGCCCCTATGAGAAGTGAGGAGCCTCTCCGCCCGGCAGCCGCCCCGTCTGAGAAGTGAGGAGCCTCTCCGCCCGGCAGCCACCCCGTCTGGGAAGTGAGGAGCGTCTCCGCCCGGCAGCCACCCCGTCCGGGAGGGAGGTGGGGGGGGTCAGCCCCCCGCCAGGCCAGCCGCCCCGTCCGGGAGGGAGGTGGGGGGGTCAGCCCCCCGCCAGGCCAGCTGCCCCATCCGGCAGGGAGGTGGGGGGGTCAGCCCCCCGCCCGGCCAGCCGCCCTGTCCGGGAGGTGAGGGGCGCCTCTGCCCGGCCGCCCCTACTGGGAAGTGAGGAGCCCCTCTGCCCAACCAGCCGCCCCGTCCGGGAGGGAGGTGGGGGGTTCAGGCCCCGCCCGGCCAGCCGCCCAGTCCGGGAGGGAGGTGGGGGGGTTAGCCCCCCGCCCGGCCAGCCGCCCCGTCCGGGAGGTGAGGGGCGCCTCTGTCCGGCCGCCCCTACTGGGAAGTGAGGAGCCCCTCTGCCCAGCCAGCCGCCCCATCCGGGAGGGAGGTGGGGGGGTCAGCTCCCCGCCCGGCCAGCCGCCCGGTCCGGGAGGGAGGTGGGCGGGTCAGCCCCCCGCCCGGCCAGCCGCCCAGTCCGGGAGGGAGGTGGGGGGGTCAGCCCCCCGCCCGGCCAGCCGTCCCGTCCGGGAGGGAGGTGGGGGGGGGTCAGCCCCCCACCCGGCCAGCCGCCCCGTCCGGGAGGTGAGGGGCGCCTCTGCCCGGCCGCCCCTACTGGAAAGTGAGGAGCCCCTCTGCCCGGCCACCACCCCGTCTGGGAGGTGTGCCCAACAGCTCATTGAGAACGGGCCAGGATGACAATGGCGGCTTTGTGGAATAGAAAGGGGGGAAAGGTGGGGAAAAGATTGAGAAATCGGATGGTTGCCGTGTCTGTGTAGAAAGAAGTAGACATGGGAGACTTTTCATTTTGTTCTGTACTAAGAAAAATTCTTCTGCCTTGGGATCCTGTTGATCTGTGACCTTACCCCCAACCCTGTGCTCTCTGAAACGTGCTGTGTCCACTCAGAGTTAAATGGATTAAGGGCGGTGCAAGATGTGCTTTGTTAAACAGATGCTTGAAGGCAGCATGCTCATTAAGAGTCATCACCACTCCCTAATCTCAAGTACCCAGGGACACAAATGCTGCGGAAGGCCGCAGGGTCCTCTGCCTAGGAAAACCAGAGACCTTTGTTCACTTGTTTATCTGCTGACCTTCCCTCCACTATTGTCCTATGACCCTGCCAAATCCCCCTCTGTGAGAAACACCCAAGAATGATCAATAAAAAAAAAAAAAAAAATTAAAAAAAATAATAAAAAATAAAAAACAAAACAAAACAAAACAAAACTTGGCTGGCCGTGGCAGCTCACGCCTATAATCCTAGCACTTGGGGAGGCCAAGGCGGGCGGATCACCTGAGGTCAGGAGTTCAAGACCAGCCTGGCCAACATGATGAAACCCCATCTCTACTGAAAATACATAAATTAACCGGGCATGGTGGCATGCACCTGTAATCCCAACTACTCACGAGGCTGTGGCTCAAGAATTGCTTGAACCTGGGAGGCGGAGGTTGCAGTGAACCAAGATTGTGCCGCTGCACTCCAGCCTGGGTGACAGAGCAAAACTCCATCTCAAGAGAAAACAAACAAACAAACAAACTCGATGAGTACTATGAAGGAAATAAACAAGATTATGGAACAGACTGGCTGGAAAGGAGGGTTTACTTCAGATCAAGGATTTGGGAAAGCTTCTCTGAGGAGGTGATCTCTGAGCTGAAGTCAGTGTTAACAGTTAGGGAGTGAGCACTCCAGACTGAGGAAACAGAATATTTAAAAGCCTAGATGGGAAAGGGCTTGGGTTTTGTTTTTGCTTTTGTTTTTGTTTTTTTATTATTGTTATTATACTTAAAGTTCTAGGATACATGTGCACAACGTGCAGGTTTGTTACATATGTATCTATATGCCATGTTGATGTGCTGCTCCCATTAACTCGTCATTTACATTAGGTGTATCTCCTAATGCTATCCCTCCCCCATCCCCCAACCCCACAACAGGCTCCAGTGTGTGATGTTCCCCACCCTGTGTCCAAGTGTTCTCATTGTTCAGTTCTCACCTATGAGTGAGAACATGTGGTGTTTGGTTTTCTGTCCTTGCGATAGTTTGCTCAGAATGATGGATTCCAGCTTCATCCATATCCCTACAAAGGACATGAACTCATCCTTTTTATGGCTGCATAGTATTCCATGGTGTATATGTGCCACATTTTCTTAATCCAGTCTATCATTGATGGACATTTGGGTTGGTTCCAAGTCTTTGCTATTGTGAATAGTGCCGCAGTAAACATACATGTGCATGTGTCTTTATAGCAGCATGATTTATAATCCTTTGGGTATATACCCAGTAATGGGATGGCTTGGGCAAATGGTATTTCTAGTTCTAGATCCTTGAGGAATCACCACACTGTCTTTTCCACAATGGTTGGACTAATTTACACTTCCACCAACAGTGTAAAAGCGTTCCTATTTCTCCACATCCTCTCCAGCACCTGTTGTTTCCTGACTTTTTAATGATCGCCATTCCAACTAGTGTGAGATGGTATCTCATTGTGGTTTTGATTTGCATTTCTCTAATGACCCGTGATGATGAGCTTTTTTTCATATGTTGGTTGGCTGCATAAATGTCTTCTTTTGAGAAGTGTCTGTTCATATCCTTCGCCCACTTTTTGATGGTTTTTTCTTGTAAATTTGTTTAAGTTCTTTGTAGATTTTGGATATTAGCCGTTTGTCAGATGGATAGATGGCAAAAATTTTCTCCTATTCTATAGCTTGCCTGTTCACTGTGATGATAGCTTCTTTTGCTGTGCAGAAGCTCTTCAGTTTAATTAGATCCCATTGGTCAATTTTGGCTTTTGTTGCCATTACTTTTGGTGTTTTAGACATGAAGTGCTTGCCCATGTCTATGTCCTGAATGGTATTGCCTAGGTTTTCTTCTAGGGTTTTTATGGTTTTAGGTCTAACATTTAAGTCTTTAATCCATCATGAATTAATTTTTGTATAAGGTGTAAGGAAGGGATCCAGTTTCAGCTTTCTACATATGGCTAGCCAGTTTTCCCAGCACCATTTATTAAATAGGGAATCCTTTCCCCATTTCTTGTTTTTGTCAGGTTTGTCAAAGATCAGATGGTTGTAGATGTGTGGTATTATTTCTCAGGGCTCTATTCTGTTCCATTGGTCTGTATCTCTGTTTTGGTACCAGTACCATGCTGTTTTGGTTACTGTAGCCTTGTAGTATAGTTTGAAGTCAGGTAGCGTGATGCCTCCAGCTTTGTTCTTTTGGCTTAGAATTGTCTTGGCAATGCAGGCTCTTTCTTGGTTCCATATGAACTTTAAAGTAGTTTTTTCCAATTCTGTGAACAAAGTCATTGGTGGCTTTATGGGGATGGCATTGAATCTATAAATTACCTTGGGCAGTATGGCCATTTTCACAGTATTGATTCTTCCTATCCATGAGCATGGAATGTTCTTCCATTTATTTGTGTCCTCTTTTATTTTGTTGAGCAGTGGTTTGTAGTTCTCCTTGAAGAGGTCCTTCGCATCCCTTGCTAGTTGGATTCCTAAGTATTTTATTCTCTTTGAAGCAGTTGTGAATGGGAGTTCATTCCTGATTTGGCTCTCTGTTTGTCTGTTATTGGTGTATAGGAATGCTTGTGATTTTTGCACATTGATTTTGTATCCTGAGACTTTGCTGAAGTTGCTTATCAGCTTAAGTAGATTTTGGGCTGAGACAGTGGGGTTTTCCAAATATACAATCATGTCGTCTGCAAACAGGGACAATTTGACTTCCTCTTTTCCTAATTCAATACCCTTTATTTCTTTCTCTTGCCTGACTGCCCTGGCCAGAACTTTCAACACTATGTTGAATAGGAGTGGTGAGAGAGGGCATCCCTGTCTTGTGCCAGTTTTCAAAGGGAATGCTTCTGGGTTTTGCCCATTCAGTATGATATTGGCTGTGGGTTTGTCATAAGTAGCTCGTATTATTTTGAGATACGTCCCATCAATACCTAGTTTGTTGAGAGTTTTTAGCGTGAAGGGCTGTTGAATTTTGTCAAAGGACTTTTCTGCATCTATTGAGATAATCATGTGGTTTTTTGTCTTTGGTTCTGTTTATATAATGGATTATGTTTATTGGTTTGCATATGTTGAACCAGCCTTGCATCAAAGGATGAAGCCCACTTGATCTTGGCAGATAAGCTTTTTGATGTGCTACTGGATTCAGTTTGCTAGTATTTTACTGAGGATTTTCGCATCAATGTTCATCAGGGATATTGGTCTAAAATTCTCTTTTTTTTGTTGTGTCTCTGCCAGGCTTTGGTATCAGGATGATGCTGGTCTCATAAAACGAGTTAGGGAGGATTCCCTCTTTTTCTATTGATTGGAATAGTTTCAGAAGGAGTGGTACCAGCTCCTCTTTATACCTCTGGTAGAATTCGGCTGTGAATACGTCTAGTCCTGGACTTTTTTTGGTTGGTAGGCTATTAAATACTACCTCATTTACAGAGCCTATTATTGGTCTATTCAGGGATTCAACTTCTTCCTGGTTTAGTCTTGGGGGGTTGTGTGTGTCCAGGAATTTATCCATTTCTTCTAGATTTTCTAGTTTATTTGCGTAGAGGTGCTTCTGGTATTCTCTGATGGTAGTCTGTAGTTCGTGGGATCGATGGCGATATCACCTTTGTCATTTTTTATTGCATCTATTTGATTCTTCTCTCTTTTCTTCTTTATTAGTCTTGCTAGTGGTCCATCAATTTTGTTGATCTTTTCAAAAAACCAGCTCCTGGATTCATTGATTTTTTGAAGGGTTTTTTGTGTCTCTATCTCCTTCAGTTCTGCTCTTAGTTATTTCTTGCCTTCTGCTAGCTTTTTTAGAGAAGCAAGTGTTTGCTCTTGCTTCTCTAGTTCTTTTAATTGTGATGTTCGGGTGTCAATTTTAGATCTTTCCTGTTTTCTCCTGTGGGCATTTGGTGCTATAAATTTCCCTCTGCACACTGCTTTAAATGTGTCTCAGAGGTTCTGTTCTGTTGTATCTTTGTTCTCATTGGTTTCGAAGAACATCTTTATTTCTGCCTTCATTTTGTTATGTACCCAGTAGTCATTCAGGAGTAGGTTGTTCAGTTTCCATGTAGTTGAGCAGTTTTGAGTGACTTTCTTAGTCGTGAGTTCTAGTTTGATTGCACTGTGGTCTGAGAGACAGTTTGTTAAAATTTCTGTTCTTTTACATTTGCTGAGGAGTGCTTTACTTCCAACTATGTGGTCAATTTTGGAATAAGTGCAATGTGGTGCTGAGAAGAATGTATATTCTTTTGATTTGGGGTGGAGAGTTCTATAAATGTCTATTAGGTCCACTTGGTGCAGAGCTGAGTTCAGTTCCTGGATATCCTTGTTAACTTTATGTCTCGTTGATCTGTCTAATGTTGACAGTGGGGTGTTAAAGTCTCCCATTGTTATTGTGTGGGAGTCTAAGTCTCTTTGTAGGTCTCTAAGGACTTGCTTTATGAATCTGGGTGCTCCTGCATTGGGTGCATATATATTTAGGATAGTTAGCTCTTCTCATTGAATTGATCCCTTTACCATTATGTAATGGCCTTCTTTATCTCTTTTGATCTTTGTTGGTTTAAAGTCTGTTTTATCAGAGACTAGGATTGCAACCCCTGCTTTTTTTTGTTTTCCATTTGCTTGGTAGATCTTCCTCCATCCCTTTATTTTGAGCCTATGTGTGTCTCTGCATGTGAGATGGTTCTCCTTAATACAGCACACTGATGGGTCTTGACTCTTTATCCAATTTGCCAGTTTGTGTCTTTTAATTGGAGCATTTAGCCCATTTACATTTAAGGTTAATATAGTTATATGTGAATTTGATCCTGTCATTATGATGTTAGCTGGTTATTTTGCTCGTTAATTGATGCAGTTTCTTCCTAGCATCTATGGTCTTTACAATTGGCATGTTTTTGTGGTGGCTGGTACCAGTTGTTCCTTTCTATGTTTAGTGCTTCCTTCAGGAGCTCTTGTAAGGCAGGCCTGGTGGTGACAAAATCTCTCAGCATTTGCTTGTCTGTAAAGGATTTTATTTCTCTTTCACTTATGAAACTTAGTTTGGCTGGATATGAAATTCTGGTTTGAAAATTCTTTTCTTTAAGAATGTTGAATATTGGCCCCCACTCTCTTCTGGCTTGTAGAGTTTCTGCTGAGAGATCCCCTGTTAGTCTGATGGGCTTCCCTTTGTAGGTAACCCAGTCTTTCTCTCTGGCTGCCCTGAACAGTGTTTCCTTCATTTCACCTTTGGTGAATCTGACAGTTATGTGTCTTGGAGTTGCTTTACTCGAGGAGTATCTTTATGGTGTTCTCTGTGTTTCCTGAATTTGAATGTTGGCCTGCCTTGCTAGGTTGGGGAAGTTCTCCTGGATAATATCCTAAAGAGTGTTTTCCAACTTGGTTCCATTCTCCCCGTCACTTTCAGGTACACCAATCAAATGTAGGTTTGGTCTTTTCACATAGTCTCATATTTCTTGGAGGCTTTGTTCATTTCTTTTTACTCTTTTTTCTCTAAACTTCTCACTTCATTTCATTCATTTGATCTTCAATCACTGATACCCTTTCTTCCAGTTGATCGAATCGGCTACTGAAGCTTGTGCATGCATCACATAGTTCTCATGCCATGGTTTTCAGCTCCATCAAGTCATTTAAGGTCTTCTCTATGCTGTGTTTTCTAGTTAGCCATTTGTCTAATCTTTTTTCAAGGTTTTTAGCTTCTTTGCAATGGGTTCGAACATCCTCCTTTAGCTCGGAGAAGTTTGTTATTACCGATAGTCTGAAGCCTTCTTCACTCAACTCGTCAAAGTCATTCTCCATCCATCTTTGTTCTGTTGCTGGCGAGGAGCTGTGTTCCTTTGGAGGAGAAGAGGCCCTCTGATTTTTAGAATTTTCAGCTTTTCTGCTTTGGTTTCTCCCCATCTTTGTGGTTTTATCTACCTTTGGTCTTTGATGATGGTGACATACAGATGGGTTTTTGGTGTGGATGTCCTTTCTGTTTGTTAGTTTTCCTTCTAACAGTCAGGACCCTCAGCTGCAGGTCTGTTGGAGTTTGCCGGAGGTCCACTCCAGACCCTGTTTGCCTGGTTATCACCAGCGGAGGCTCAGCTGGAAATGCAGAAATCACCTGTCTTCTGCATCGCTCACGCTGGGAGCTGTAGACTGGAGCTGTTCCTATTCAGCCATCTTGGAACCTCCTCCTTGTTTTGTTTTTTGAGACACAGTCTCACTTACTCTGTTGCCCAGGCTGGAGTGCAGTGGCCTGATATCTGCTCAGTGCAACCTCTGCCTCCTGGGTTTAAGTGATTCTCCTGCCTTAGTCTCCTGAGTAGCTGGGATTACAGGCGCATGCCACCATGCCCAGCTAATTTTTGTATTATTTGTGGAGATGGGGTTTCACCATATTGGCCAGGCTGGTCTCAAACTCCTGACCTCAGGTGATCCGGCTGCCTTGGCATCCCAAAGTTCTGGGATTACAGGTGTGAGCCATCGCACCCAGCGAAGAGCTTGAGTTTTCGTTTTTGTTTTTTTTTTTTTTTTTTAGATGGAGTCTCACTCTTGTTGTGCAGGCTGGACTGCAGAGGCACAATCTTGGCTCACTGCAGCCTCCACCTCCCGTGTTCAAGCGATTCTCCTGTCTCAGCCTCCCAAGTAGCTGGGATTATAGGCTTATGCCACCACAGCTGGCTAATTTTTTGTGTTTTTAGTAGAGACGGGGTTTCACCCTGTTGGTCAGGCTGGTCTCAGACTCCTGACCTCAGGTGATCCACCCACCTCCACCTTCCAAAGTGCTGGAATTACAGGCATGAGCCATTGCACCCATCCCCAAGAGCTTGGGCTTTTAAGGAACCAAAAGGCAACTGATGTGACTAAAGCAAGGGCTTTCAAATGCTAGACCGGATGTAGAAGATGATAATAAGGGAGAACTGTGGCTGTTTCCAAGGGGTCTTGCTAGATCAGCTGAGTTGATGGCAAGGCCATTTATGGAGGTACAGAATTCTGGGAAAGATAAGGTTTGGGTAGGGAGAAGGAAGAATTCCCTTTGGGGGAGCATTTTTCTGAGGTGTTTTCATATTTGTTCTCACCACTTCACACTTGTTCTGTAATACGTCCAACACTAAGGTTTTATCAGGTCATTTCCTCCTCTTCGTCAGATTTCAGCTTATAAGTCTCCTTCACCAGATTAGTAAGTTTCCATCTAATCCTGTTTTCCTTCTTCTTCATAGGATGCATGCTCCTGGCCTGATACTTCTCATTCCAGTATCAAAAGCTATGAACCAGGAAACTTCTTCCTTAATACTTTTGATTCAATATATCTTTCCACTCATAACCTTATCTCCTTTTACCTTCAGAAGCATGACCTTAAGAAAAGTTCTATTGAAGAAGGTGAAAATAAAAAGTTTATTATTTCTTACTTGGTTATATTGTTTGTTCACAATGTGAGAGGCATGTAGGGGGTGTCATTGTGGGTTTTAGGGTGGCTCTTCACAAGGCATTCCAAAACAATAGCACACTTCACTGCTGAGCTGTATCAGTTCCTTAGCAGGTAGCCACAAGGAGGAAAGAGAGGGCACGGTGGATCTTCTTGGTGATACAAACATGGTAATAACTTTTAGGATCTCTTTTTCTTACAGGTTTATTAACTTAAACAAAAATGGACAGGGCAGCTGCTTCAGCCACAGTTAAGTGCTCCATTGTCTCTACACAGTATTAGGAGCACCTTTAAACCTTGAACAAATTCCACAGGCTCCACCTCTCACCTTCTATTCCACTCCTCTGCCCCGCTCTCCTTCCCCAGTTGAATCTGTCAGAGGTGGCCAGCATCACCTGGTCCTGACCAAGATGGTGCTGATCCAAAACTTCAAGAGGAATGGGGAAGAGGGAAGTCAGGTACTCAGAGATGACTGGAAGTGGGTTTATGTTCCATGTCCTCATCCAGGTTTTCATGGAGACTTCTCTGACATCAGCCTTGTGCTCCTCTGCTAGTTGTCTTATATTGTGTAACCTAATAGAGGAAGCAAGCTCTCATGCCCAAAAGGTGCAAGTCACTTCGCTGTCTGGTTCTGCCTCCCTGAAACTGGTGAATGTTTCATGCCACTCATTACATCTCTTGTGATAACTGTTTCAAACTTAAAAACCAAACAAAAAAACTTTTTAAAATTAGAGGAGTAGTATGGAGCACATAATTAGATTTGCCTACCTCTCAGGAGACCTAAAATTCCACTTCTCAAAAAAAACTCATTTATTTTCCTGTCTTTACTTCCAGTGCTCCACGTAATTGCCGATCCTTCCTGCATCTTCCGGGGCTTGGGCATATGACAGTAAGATGCTCAACAAGTTCATTTTCTACTTCTATGCATAATACATTTTTGGTGAATCTTTCCAGGTCTTAATTCTTTTCATTTTCTGTGTGACCTAACTGAGGAAACCATCCTGGCTTTCTTTTTTTTTGGAGACGGAGTCTTGCTCAGTTCACCAGGCTGGAGTGCGGTGGCGTGATCTCGGCTCACTGCAAGCTCCACCTCCTGGGTTCACGCCATTCTCGTGCCTCAGCCTCCCGAGTACATCCTGGCTTTTTAGGCTGCTCCAAGAAGTTCTGTTCTATCCTTTACCTATAGGGATTCTAGTCCCTACCTATAAGGATTCCAGGGTGTCAGTTCTGACCTTGTCCCTCTTTTGTCCTCTGCTGAGCCCAGCAAGCCATCATCTTAATCATACAAAACCAAAATACCTAAAGGGGAAGGTCAGACCTGCTACCTAGCCATTTAGTTTGGAAAATGCAAACATTTATTTTCTTTGTTCCGATAGAAAATACCTCCTACTTCAGTGACTTCAAACTGGCATAAGCTAATAAATGAAGCTAGCTCAGAAGTGTATACTTTCTGCTTCATGGGCCTGAAGAGTCACCACAATATAGACATACTAGAGCAGTGGCAGAGTCCAGCCTGCAAGTGTCTGGGTTTAGAAACTAACAGATATTTCAAGTTCTTTATAGACTAGGCATTAAAAAGCTACTAGAACAGAGGGTGTAGCATTTATGGAGATGAGGCCGCACACTAAATCCTTCTACAGAATCATCTGGTACAAGCCCTGTAAGACACATTTTTCTAAACTGGCATTCCCCAGTGCCAACTGAATTTTGTATGGGCCACAAAATATTAAGTTCTGCTTTTCCAAACCATCTAACAGCTGGATAGATCATGAAAGGTAGTTTGGGAATTGTTTCCTGTTTTATATTTCAAGTACCTGACTTCTGTTTGTTTCAGCCTTGCATAAGTTTCTCTCCATTATTTCTGGCTTTTCAGTGTCTGGGAAATCTGTGGCATTTTTTTTTTATTAGAAAACATAGTATTGGGTCTTGAATTTGTTCTCTTAAAAGAAAATTACTCTGTAAGCATGGGCCAAGCGTCAGGAACTCCTCAGAATCAGATTCTGCTCCCAAACATTTTTGCAGAAGCTTCATCTTGTACCATTTATGAACTGCTTATAGCAGATGTCTTGGTGGGAAGAGGGTGGATACTGGATGTATCAGGCCTATCAGCTGCTGTGCAGCCTGGGACAGGTTTTCTTCAGATTTCTGTGACCCCTGGTGAAAAAGGAGGAACTGTGTCAGGCCCCAGCTATATCTTAAAGATGTAGGAGACTCCTAAGTCTGAGGATTCCTCAGTCCTTTAGGACACTTCCTTCTTGCAGTAAACTTGAGTCTTTCTTACATCCTTGCCTTGTGACCCTTTTATTTCCAGACCTGAAAAAAAATACAGAGAAACTTATTTTTTAAACTCTGAGTGGTCTTGAATTCAACTATTTCTATAACAGTCTATGGCTCCTTAATTCCAGAACCTCAGAAAACAGTTGTGAAATTATTTGATGATTCTTTCAGTAAGAAGGTAGCTGCTGCTTAGTGACAATTTGGATATTTGAGAAAAAATTTTTAAAAATAAAGTACCTATCTATCTCCATAGTTAGAATTGCCCAACACCTGATTTTGGTATAGAAACTGCTGTTACTTTGCCCCTTGTTTCCTGCTATGTGAGTTCCTGAGCATCTTCAACATCTCTCCATCACTTTTTCTCCCACACTTTTCAGGCCTTGGAGTACCTTTTCAAGTTCATTGTACAGTCACGGATCCTGTACTCACGAGCCACTTGTGGAATGGAAGAGGAACAATTCAGATCCAGTATCCAAGAACTTTTCCAGTCCATCCGGTTTGTGCTCAGTCTGGACAGCCGAAACTCAGAAACACTCCTTTTTACTCAGGTTCGCACACTGCAGGGAAGCTTTGATGCTGGGTTCCTCTTTCTCAGTGGGTGGTTTCTTTGTCCTCTGGTTTTCAGAGATGAAGAAGCCCTGCCAGGATCATGTGTGTTGGGTAAGGGATTATTTACAAGGAAATACCTGATACAACAAAATGCTGCTTTTACTGCAAATCTGGCTGTGCCTCAGCTGCCAGATGTAAAACAGCTCAGTGGCTTTATGTTGGAGAAGAAGCACAAATTTGTTCTGTGAACAGTCTTTAGACCAAGTTTATTTAGCTACCATACTACTTAGTTTTTTATGAACACCTTATTCATAGGAGATATTGAGAATGTATGGGGAATTTTATTTCCAGATTAATCATTGTATTAATGAAAATTGAGCACAGTGGCTCACACCTGTAATCCTAGCACTTTGGGAGGCCAAGGTGGGCGGATTGCTTGAGCTCAGGAGTTCAAGACCAGCCTGGGCAACATGATGAAACCCCATCTCTACTAAAAATACAAAAAAATTAGCTGGGTGTGCTAGCATGCACCTGTAGTCCCAGCTACTCAGGAGGCTGAGGCAGGAGAATTGCTTGAACCCGGGAGGCAGAGGTTGCAGTGAGCCAAGATCGCACCACTGCACTCCAGCCTGGGCAACAGACTGAGACTCTGTCTCCAAAAAGAAAAAGAAAAAAAAAGAAAATTTAGATTAGCTTTTATCCATTCCAGAAGTTGAATGAAATAATTTGAAAAACAGTAGGAGTAACTAGGAATCTTTGGCTAAGAATTAAGATTAAATTAGGATCAGAGGGCTGGCAAGATGGCCAAATAGGAACAGCTCCGGACTGCAGCTCCCAGCGAGATCAACACAAAAGGCAGGTGATTTCTGCATTTCCAACTGAGGTACCCGGCTCATCTCATTGGGACTGGCTAGACAGTGGGTGCACCCATGGAGGGCAAGCAGAAGGAGGGTGGGGCGTCGCCTCACCTTGGAAGTACAAGGGGTTGGGGAACTCCCTCCCCTACCCAAGGGAAGCTGGGAGAGACTGCCTTGAGGAACAGTGCATTCCGGCCCAGATACTACGCTTTTCCCATGGTCTTTGCAACCTGCAGACCAGGAGATTCCCTCAGGTGCCTACACCACCAGGGCCCTGGGTTTCAAACAGAAAACTGGGCCACTGTTTGGGCAGACACTGAGCTAGCTGCAGGAGTTTTTCTCATACCCCAGTGGAGCCTGGAATGTCAGCGAGACAGAACCGTTCACTCCCCTGGAAAGGGGGCTGAAGCCAGGGAGACAAGCGGTCTAGTTCAGTGAATCCCACCCCCACGGAGCCCAGCAAGTTAAGATCCACTGGCTTGAAATTCTCACTGCCAGCACAGCAGTCTGATGTCGATCTGGGACACTCAAGCTTGGTCAGGGGAGGAGCATCCACCATTACAGAGGCTTGAGTAGGCAGTTTTCCCCTCACAGTGTAAAAAAAAGCTGACAGGAACTTTGGACAAGGCAGAGCCCACCACAGTGCTGCCAAGCCACTGTAGCCAGACTGCCTCTCTAGATTCCTCCTCTGTGGGCAGGGCATCTCTGAAAGAAAGACAGCAGGCCCAGTCAGGGGCTTCTAGATCCAACTCCCATCTCCCTGGGATAGAACACCTCGGGGAAGGGGCAGCTGTGGGCACAGCTTCAGCAGACTTAAATGTTCCTGCCTGCCGGCTCTGAAGGGAATGGGAGATCTCCCAGCACAGTGCTCGAGCTCTGCTAAGGGACAGACTGTCTCCTTAAGTGGATCCCTTACCCCCGTGCCTCCTGACTGGGAGACATCTCCCAGTAGGGGATGACAGACGCCTCATACGGGAGAGCTCTGGCTGGCATCTGGTGGGTGCCCCTCTGGGACGAAGCTTCCAGAGGAAGGAATAGGCAGCAATCTTTGCTGTTCTGCAGCCTCTGCTGGTGATACCCAGGCAAACAGGGTCTGAAGTGGACCTCCAGCAAACCCCAGCAGACCTCTAACAGAGGGGCCTGACTGTTAGAAGAAAAACTAACAAACAGAAAGGAATAGCATCAACATCAACAAAAAGGACATCCACACAGAAACCCTATCCGAAGGTCAACAACATCAAACACCAAAGGTAGATAAATCCAGGAAGACAAAGAAAAACCAGTGCAAAAAGGCTGAAAATTCCAAAAAACCAGAACGCCTCTTCTCCTCCAGAGGATCACAACTCCTAGCCAGCAAGGTAACAAACCTGGACAGAGAATGAGTTTGATGAATTGACAGAAGTAGGCTTCAGAAGGTGGGTAATAACAAACTCCTCCAAGCTAAAGGAGCATGTTCTAACCCAATGCAAGGAAGCTAAGAACCTCGAAAAAAGGTTAGAGGAATTGCTAACTACAATAACCAGTTTAGAGAAGAACATAAATGACCTGATGGAGCTGAAAAACACAGCACAAGAACTTTGTGAAGCATACAGAAGTATCAATAGCCAAACTGATCAAGTGGAAGAAAGGATATCAGAGATTGAAGATCAACTTACTGAAATAAGTCGTGAAGACAAGATTAGAGAAAAAAGAATGAAAAGGAACAAACAAAGCCTCCAAGAAATATGGGACTATGTGAAAAGACCAAACCTATGTTTGATTGGTGTACCTGAAAGTGACAGGGAGAATGGAACCAAGTTGGAAAACACTCTTCAGGATATTATCCAGGAGAACTTCCTCAACCTAGCAAGACAGGCCAACATTCAAATTCAGGAAATACAGAGAACACCACAAAGATACTCCTCGAGAAGAGCAGCCCCAAGACACATAATCGTCAGAATCACCAAGATTGAAATGAAGGAAAATATGTTAAAGGCAGCCAGAGAGAAAGGTCAGGTTACCCACAAAGAGAAGCCCATCAGACTAAGAGCAGATTTCTCTGCAGAAACCCTACAAACCAGAAGAGAGTGGGGGCCAATATTCAACATTCTTAAAGAAAAGAATTTTCAACCCAGAATTTCATATCCAGCCACACTAAGCTTCATAAGTGAAGGAGAAATAAAATCTTTTACAGACAAGCAAATGCTGAGAGATTTTGTCACCACCAGGCCTGCCTTACAAGAGCTCCTGAAGGAAGCACTAAATATGGAAAGGAAAAACCGGTACCAGCCACTGCAAAAACATACCAAATTATAAGGATCATCGACACTATGAAGAAACTGCATCAACTAACGGGCAAAATAACCAGCTAGCATCATAATGACAGGATGAAATTCACACATAACTATATTAACCTTAAATGTAAATGGGCTAAATGCCCCAATTAAAAGACACAGACTGGCAAATTGGATAAAGAGTCAAGACCCATCAGTGTGTTGTATTCAGGAGACCCATCTCACATGCAAAGACACACATAGGCTCAAAATACAGGGATGGAGGACTATTTACCAAGCAAATGGAAAACCAAAAAAAGCATGGGTTGCAATCCTAGTATCTGATAAAACAGACTTTAAACCAACAAAGATCATAAAAGTCAAGGATATTACATAATGGTAAAGGGATCAATGCAACAAGAAGTGCTAATTATCCAAAATATATATGCACCCATTAGAGGAGCACCCAGGTTCATAGAGCAAGTTCTTAGAGTCCAATAAAGAGACTTAGACTCCCACAGAATAATAGTGGGAGACTTTAACATCCCACTCTCAGTATTAGATCAGTGAGACAGAAAATTGACAAGGATATTCAGAACTTGAAATCAGCTCTGGACCGAGTAGACCTGATAGACATCTGCAGAACTCTCCTCCCCAAATCAACAGAATATACATTCTTCTCAGCACCACATTGCACATATTCTAAAACTGACCACATAATTGGAAGTAAAACACTCTTCGGCAAATGCAGAAGAACAGAAATCATAACAGTCTCTCAGACCACAGTACAATCAAATTAGAACTCAGGATTAAGAAACTCACTCAAAACCACACAACTACATGGAAACTGAACAACCTGCTCCTGAATGACTACTGGGTACATAACGAAATTAAGGCAGAGGTTCTTTGAAACCAATGAGAACAAAGACACAACATACCAGAACCTCTGGGACACAGCTAAAGCAGTGTTTAGAGAGAAATTTATAGCACTAAATGCCCACAGGAGAAAGCGGGAAATATCTAAAATTGACACCCAAACATCACAGTTAAAAGAACTAGAGAAGCAAGAGCATACAAATTCAAAAGCTAACAGAAGACAAGAAATAACTAGCCGGGCTTGGTGGCTCACACCTGTAATCCCAGCACTTTGGGAGGCTGAGGCGGGCAGATCATGAGGTCAGGAGATCAAGACCATCCTGGCCAACACGGTGAAACCCCGTCTCTACTAAAAATACAAAAAATTAGCCGGGCATGGTGGCGGTTACGTGTAGTCCCAGCTACTAGGGAGGCTGAGGCAGGAGAATGGCCTGAACCTGGGAGGCGGGGCTTGCAGTGAGCCAAGATCGCGCCACCACACTCCAGCCTGGGTGACAGAGCGAGACTCAGTCTCAAAAAATAAATAAATAAATAAATAAATAAATAACTTAGATCAGAACAGAGACACAAAGAATCCTTGAAAAAATTAATTAATCTGGAAGCTGGTTTTTTGAAAAGATTAACAAAATAGATAGACTGCTAGCCAGACTAATGAAGAAAAGAGAGAAGAATCAAATAGACACAACAAAAAATGTGATAAAGGGGCAATCACCACTGATCCCACAGAAATAGAAACTACCATCAGAGAATACTATAAACACCTCTGTGCAAATAAACTAGAAACTCTGGAAGAAATTTATAAATTCCTGGACACATGCGCCATCCCAAGACTAAACCAGGAAGAAGTTGAACCCCTGAATAGACCAATAATAAGATCTGAAATTGAGGTAGAAATTAGCAGCGTACAACCAAAAAAATCCCAGGACCAGACGGATTCACAGCCAAATTCTACCAGAGGTACAAAGAAGAGGTGATACCATTCCTTCTGAAACTATTCCAAACAATAGAAAAAGAGGGACTCCTCCCGAACTCATTTTATGAATCCAGCATCATCCTGATACCAAACCTGGCAGGGACACAACAAAAACAGAAAATTTCAGGCCACTATCCCTGATGAACATTGATGCGAAAATCCTCAATAAAATACTGGCAAACCGAATCCAGCAGCACATCAAAAAGCTTATCCACCACAATCAAGTCAGCTTCATCCCTGGGATGTAAGGCTGGTTCAACCTACACAAAAAAATAAATGTAATCCATCACATAAACAGAACCAATGACAAAAACTACTTTATTATCTCAATAGATGCAGAAAAGGCCTTCAATAAAATTCAACATCACTTCATGCTAAAAACTCTCAATAAACTAGGTATTGATGGGACGTATCTCAAAGTAATAAGAGCTATTTATGACAAACCCACAGCCAATATACTGAATGGGTAAAAGCTGGAAATGTTCCCTTTGAAAACCAGCACAAGACAAGGATGCCCTCTCTCACACTCCTATTCAACATAGTATTGGAAGTTCTGGCCAGGGCAGTCAGGCAAGAGAAAAAAATAAAGGGCATTCAAATAGGAAGAGAGGAAGTGAAATTGTCTCTGTTTACAGATGACATGATTATATATTTAGAAAACCCCATTGTCTCAGCCCCAAATCTCCTTAAGCTGATAAGCAACTTCAGCAAAGTCTCAGGATACAAAAAGCATTCCTATACACCAATAATAGACAAACAGAGAGCCAAATCATGAGTGAACGCCCCTTTACAATTGCTACAAAGATAATAAAATACCTAGGAATACAACTTAGAAGGGATATGAAGGAACTCTTGAAGGAGAACTACAAACCACTGCTCAAGGAAATAAGAGAGGACACAGACAAATGGAAAAACATCCCATGCTCATGGATAGGAAGAATCAATATCGTGAAAATGGCCATACTGCCCAAAGTAATTTATAGAGTCAATGCCATCCCCATCAAGCTACCACTGACTTTCTTCACAGAATTAGAAAAAACTACTTTAAAGTTCATATGGAACCAAAAAAGAGCCCGCATTGCCAAGTCAATCCTAAGCCAAAGGAACAAAGCTGGAGGCATTATACTACCTGACTTCAAACTATACTACAAGGCTACAGTAACCAAAACAGTATGGTACTGGTACCAAAACAGATATATAGACGAATGGAACAGAACAGAGGCCTCAGAAATAACACCACACATCTACAATCATCTGATCTTTGACAAACCTGACAAAAGAAGCAATGGGGAAAGGATTCCCTATTTAATAAATGGTGTTGGCAAACTGGCTAGCCATATGCAGAAAATTGAAACTGGACCCCTTCCTTACACCTTATACAAAAATTAACTCAAGATGTATTAAAGACTTAAACATAAGACCTAAAACCATAACAACCCTACAAGAAAATCTAGGCAATACCATTCAGGACATAGGCATAGGCAAAGATTTCATGACTAAAACACCAAAAGCAGTGGCATCAAAAGCCAAAATTGACAAATGGAATCTGATTAAACTAAAGAGCTTCTGCACAGCAAAAGAAGCTATCATCAGAGTGAACAGGCAAGCTATAGAATAGGAGAAAATTTTTGCCATCTATCCATCTGACAAACGGCTAATATCCAAAATCTACAAAGAACTTAAACAAATTTACAAGAAAAAACCATCAAAAAGTGGGCGAAGGATATGAACAGACACTTCTCAAAAGAAGACATTTATGCAGCCAACCAACATATGAAAAAAAGCTCATCATCACTGGTCATTAGAGAAATGCAAATCAAAACCACAATGAGATACCATCTCACACTAGTTAGAATGGCGATCATTAAAAAGTTAGGATACAACAGATGCTGGAGAGGATGTGGAGAAATAGGAATGCTTTTACACTGTTGGTGGAAGTGTAAATTAGTTCAACCATTGTGGAAGACAGTGTGGTGATTCCTCAAGGATCTAGAACTAGAAATACATGTGACCCAGCGATCCCATTTCTGGCTATAAACCCAAGGGATTATAAATCATTCTACTATAAAGACACATGCGCACGTATGGTTTTTTTCTTTCTTTTTTTTTTTTTTTTGAGATGGAGTTTCACTCTTGTTGCCCAAGCTGGAGTGCAATGGAGCGATCCCAGCTCACTGCGACCTCCACCTCCCGTGTTCAAGTGATTCTCCTGCCTCAGCCTCCTGACTAGCTGGGATTACAGGCGCATGCCACCATGTTCAGCTAATTTTTTCATTTTTTATTAGAAATGGGGTTTCATCCTGTTTGCCAGGCTAGTCTCGAACTCCTGACCTCAGGTGATCCACCTGCCCCAGCCTCCCAAAGTGCTGGGATTACACGCATGAGCCACCGCGCCCAGCCACACACATACGTTTATTGCAGCACTGTTGACAATAGCAAAGATTTGGAACCAACCCAAATGCCCATCAGTCATAGACTAGATAAAGAAAATGTGGCACATATACACCATGGAATACTATGCAGCCATAAAAAAGGATGAGTTTATGTCCTTTGCAGGGACATGGATGAAGCTGGAAACCATCATTCTCAGTCAACTAACACAGGAACAGAAAACCAAACACCACATGTTCTCATTCATAAGTGGGAGGTAAACAATGAGAACACATGGACACAGGGAGGGGAACATTACACACCTGGGCCTGTTGGGGGTCGGGGGACTAGGGGAGGGATAGCATTAGGAGAAATACCTAATGTAGATGATGGGTTGATGGGTGCAGCACACCACCATGGCACGTGTATACTTATGTAACAAACCTGCACATTCTGCACATGTATCCCAGAGCTTAAAGTATAATAAATAATTAAAACTTCAAAAAAAGATTAGATTAGATTCAATATTAGAAATATCAGTATGGGAAGAAAATTTGCTTTCTTATATTAAAACTACCTGACCAATCACCTGAGCCCAAGAAGTTAAGGCTACAGTGAGCTGTGATTGCACCACTGCACTCCAGCCTGGGCAACAGAGTGAAACTCTGTCTCAAAAACAAACAAAACTGCCTGGCCAGCTAATCTGTTACCTTTCCACACAGCCTTACCCTAGAACAAATCAAGAATTCATTACCCCAGTCAAAAGGGAGATATTTTTCCTTACAAATGAATGTCAGAATTTTTATGTAATAGTGTATAGTTCTTCAACTTTTTGAAGCTAAATATTACACCAAAACCTGTCAGCAAAGATCAGACAGCCTCTCTCATGTCCAGTCATTCAGTCACTGCCAGGTATATTGTTAGCCCAAGTATATATTTAAACTCTGCCTCATTTAAGATTAAAATAGTCTACTTTTTTGTTTTCCGCTTGCCTCTGTGTTGCCTCTTGATACCAGTTGCCTATAGGTTTCTCAGCCCAGAGGACAGGTGATCAACTGGGAGTACCTTAAGGCTTCCTTGACTCTGTAAGGGAGTGGACTCTATAAGGGAGTCTATAAGGAACTCTATAAGGGAGTACCTGAAGGCTTCCAGGTGCTTCTGTAAGAAAGACACCTGTGATCTCCCCTTCTAAGTACCTTAAGCTGCTCATCTTCCTTTTTGATTCCCCTCCCACAGCCAAAATATGGAGAGATTAGAGGTAGCTAGCAAAGCAATGCAGATATGCTTTCTGGGAACTTTGTAACACAATAATGCCCTGTACTGAGTGGCACACTCCTACTACATCAAGATAAATAGCTTAGATCTGGTCTCGGCTAAGACCTGTGTGAGAATCAGACCTTCTTCTTTGGTGCAAGGCTCATGTTTCCTGAGTTTCACAACTCTCTCTCTCTCTCTCTCTCACTGTCTCTCTCTCTCTCTCTCTATATATATATATTTATTTATACGTATAATAATATACATATAATAATATACATATATATGCATATATATACATAATATATATATGTATATTATTCAGTTAGACTTTATATCTTTGATTATGACCACTAGAAGATGTCAGGGTGTGAGAGTCCTTCTGTCCTGGTGTCTAAGTACAGGATATTTTACCATTTAAGAGAGCAAATGAGTTACTGTTTGTTATTGATTATAAAGCACCTACTTTACCACTGCTTTGTCTTTTATATCTAAGCTGCCAATGATATGTTTTGTTCTGATTCTAATTACTGCAAAACAATCTCCTTGATATTCCAGGGAGTTATAAATCTGCAGATAGAATTCATATAAGTTCTCCAATTGGGCCTGGCCTGAATAAAGACCACAGCACAAGCCTGTTTTCCATGGCATAAATTTTCACTCACTCTAAGCCAGTGTCTGTTGCCTGATGGAGCAGTCAAGAAAACAGCCTTCCCTCCCCAGCCTGCCATTTGGGAAGGGTGCATTCTCACCTTTTTGTCTCAAGATGGCACTCCATTTCTCTTTGTAAATCCTGAGTTAATGGCATAAGGGGACTGAGAAGTGAAAAGTCTTCATGCTGCTTCCACTTAGACAAGAGAAAATAATAAGAACCAGCATGTATCAAAGGCCTATTGTGTTCCAGGCACTCTACTAGAAACTTTATGTAAAAATTTCCCTCATACCAGTATCAAGACATAAGTAATAGCATCATCCCCATTTTATAGATGGGGAAACAGAGAATTAGGCAGTAACTTGCCAAAGTTTGTGTGTCAGGTAAGCGGTAAAGCTTGGATTTGAACTCGTGTCTAATTCCAAAACCCATTCTCTTTTTCCTATAGTGCTCTGCCTCCCAAAGGCTGTGGAACTGTTCTATTATCAGATTGTTCTCAAGAAACTACCTTATGGTCTGCCAGAGCTTACATCCTAGAAGAAAAGCCTAACATGCACACTCCCACTCCCCTTGCTTGGGTGTTTAGGTGGCTGAACTCTAAGCCCACGTCAACAGTCCTCAAGAGTTTATGGCTAACTAAATACACACATTTCCCATCCTCTTGAATTTACTCTTGAGACTACCAGGCATCACTTATGAAGAAAATAATTTATGAAGTCTTCATATTTCATGGTTGCAAATGAGAATCTCTATTCTGGGGAAATGGTACAGCTCTCAGAACTGGATCACTGGCTGCAGGGCTGTGAGCAGAGTTCAGCTGGTGCTGCTTGAAGGAACTCAGCTCTCTCTGCCATACTTTCTTGAGTTTGGAACCAAAATTGGAAAGTTAAGAACTTGATCATAGAGACAAACAAAAATCTAAATCCATTTTATGAACAAAAACAACTGTGGATCTTAAGCCACATTGAGCAGATTTTTCTTTATACCCCATTCTCTTGCCAGCAAATGCTATATGCAAGTTATGAAAGCCTCCAATTGCCTGGATCCCAGTAAATTATCTTGTTTTGGTTTCCTTTTTGGTTTTTCTTGCTCCATGCCTGAGTGCTGTAGTCAGTGGCCAGGGAGGAGCCCACCGAAGGCAGAGATGCTACAGTGCCTTCTCAGCCTCTCACCACCTTGTATCATTGTCTGAGCATGAAAGATAGACACACACCCTAACTCTGTGCTAACCACAGCTTCATTTGCTTCTGCAGGCTGCACTCCTCAATTCTTTCCCAACCATCTTTGATGAGCTTCTGCAAATGTTCACCGTGCAAGAGGTGGCAGAGTTTGTGAGAGGGACACTGGGGAGCATGCCCAGCACTGTGCACATTGGGCAGTCAATGGACGTGGTCAAGCTGCAGTCCATTGCCAGGACAGTGGATAGCCGCCTGTTTTCTTTCTCAGGTAAATCAAGTTGGGATGAGAGTCCTCCTTCCTTCCAGGGGTGTCCTCCTTCCTTCCAGGGGTGATAGCAAAGTGATAATCAAAGGATCAGTTTCCTCAACGATTATGCAAGAAACCAGTAACCCTTAAGATACAGAATTTTTTGATAAACTATAATAGAGAATGCAGCCAAGACCTAGGCCTACTGCCTTACTCACAGTTTATTCCTAGGAATCCACACATAGGGGCATGTCACTGGGGTGGTGCTGAGTCCATTCAGGCTACTGTAACAGAATACCATAGACTGGGTGGCATGTAAACAGCAAACTTTCTCATAGTTCTGGAGGTTAGGAAGTCTAAGATCAAAGCACCAGTAGATTCAATGTCTGGTGAGGCCCACTTCCTGGTTCATAGACAGCTGTCTTCTCTCTGTGTTCTCACATAGCAGAAGGGGCAAGGCAGCTCTCTGGGGTCTTTTTTTTTAAAAGGTCGCTAATCTTGTTCATGAGGGCCCTGCCTCCAGGCCCACAGCTTCCAAGAACAGAGCCTGCTATACCCTCAGGAAAGGAAGGAGAGGAAAAGAGAAGGGACTATCTCAAGGAAATAAGGATAAGCCAAGAAAATAAAAGAGGCCCTACAGATCACTTGAGGTCAGGAGTTCAAGACTAGCCTGGCAAACAGGGTGAAACCCTATCTCTACTGAAAATACAAAAAATTAGCTAGGCATGGTGGCAGGCACCTGTAATCCCAGCTACTCAGGAGTCTGAGGCAGGAGAATTGCTCGAACCCAGGAGGCGGAGGTGGCAGTAAGCCAAGATCACGCCATTGTACTCAAGCCTGAGCAACAGAGCGAGACTGTCTCAGGAAAAAAAAAAAAAAAAAAAGGCCCTGAAAGGGGCCCTGAGGACCCTGTGCTTTCTTGTTTCCTTGCCATACCATTCGATACCTTTCCAGTCTTTGGAGAACCAACAAGGATTAGAGAGAGAAATGGACAGGGAGCTCTTTATGCTCCCCAAGGGGTCAGGACAATCTAATATACTAGCAGCCTAGTCTGTCTTTCACAAAGAACTTCTGGTTTTATTCCTGAAGACACATCATATGTGATCAAGTTCTGCCTTGCAGGGACAACCAAATGCTCAATGGCCATATATTAAGATCAATATGAGCCTGATTCTTTAAGAATAATATCACTGTGCTAGGATAAACTTCTGAGGCACAGAAATAAATCTGAAACACCAGCAAAACAATTATTAGAATTTTTATAATTTTTGGTGGTTAATTTTTTAGGTTTGACTTTTTTTTTTTTTTGAGACGGAGTCTCGCTCTGTTGCCCAGGCTAGAGTCCAGTGGCATGATCTCAGCTCACCGCAGCCTCCGCCTCCCAGGTTGAAATGATTCTCCTGCCTCAGCCTCCCAAGTAGTTGGGACTACAGGCATGCACCACCATGCCTGGCTAATTTTTTTTTTTTTTTTTGTATTTTTAGTAGAGACGGGGTTTCACCATATTGGCCAGGCTGGTCTCGAATTCCTGACCTCATGATCCACCCGCCTCAGCCTCCCAAAGTGCTGGGATTACAGGTGTGAGACACCGCGCCCGGCCAGGTTTGACTTTTAATGTGTAAGAACAAAAATTTCTCAGCCCACTGCTACACACATTTGTAATACTAAATAGATGTTCCCTTTGACTTAGCTCTGCCAGCGTATGATATTGCTAGTAGTAGTAAAGCTGCCACCAAGAAAGTCATCTTTTTTCCACCAGGAACTGTTTATGCTGGTAAACAGTTCTCTCTTCTCCAGCTCCTATACTGAAGATTTTATTAATGGTTTGGGGCACACTGTCACTGAAGGCCACTGTACACACTTGAGCTTTGTGCACTGCTTAAAGAAAATGCTTTTGGCCGGGCACGGTGGCTCACGCCTGTAATCCCAGCACTTTGGGAGGCCAAGGTGTGTGGATCATGACATCAGGAGATCGAGACATCCTGGCTAACATGGTGAAACCCTGTCTCTACTAAAAATACAAAATTTAGCCAGGCATGGTGGTGGGCGCCTGTAGTCCCAGCTACTCAGGAAGCTGAGGCAGGAGAATGGCGTGAACCCAGGAGGCAGAATTTGCAGTGAGCCGAGATCACGCCACCGCACTCCAGCCTGGGCGACAGAGTGAGACTCTGTCTCAAAAAAAAAAAAAAAAGAAAGAAAATGCTTTCAAAATATATGGGAAGGGGAACAGCAGACTGCTCTCACTGACATACTTTATTTCTAATATCTCTGCATGTACTTGCTGCTTCACACAAACACTTCAGAAAAATTTTCTTAATATTTATGTGGCCCTGGACTATGTAATTGGATTTTAGATGACAAACAGCACCAAAATTTCATTTGCATCTCACTTTCATTGAATGCCTGAGTTGCAGCATCTTCCCTGAAGCAAAAGGTTCTTTACCAGTGATGTCCTTTAACCAGCACTGGTATTCTCAAAGTATAAGTTTGGTCTCTTCTTCAGCAGGTTCTAGTAACTAACCACTGTTTTTTTCTGTAAGCAGCTATTGGTTGTTACAAAAACTAAGTATGTTGGTATTTTCATCTACATAGTGCAGTATCAACTTTTTTTATTCAAGCAGCCTTTTAAATCTAGACTAGCTAGTATTCTATTCTGTTTGAACATATTCTAAGCATTTGACAAGGCAGTGCCCAAATCTCTTATATGTCATGTACTTTGTCTTTGACTGAAAAAGATTTGCTGTCTGAATTTCATATGGAACTCTTAACAAAGGACAGATATGAACGATAAATCTAAAATGCCATGGCTTGTTTGTGTTACTGATAATCTGACTAAATCATGCTAGCCAGATATGATGGGACCTGCAGAGTCACACAATCACTGACCACGTAGGAATACAGGGTGCCAGAAACGCATTCACACTTGTATTTCACATGTCTCCTAACCTTCCTTGTGAAGTAAATGTATTATAGAAGAGGCCCTTACACCCCATTCTACAGATGAGGAAAATAAAGCTCGTGAGAGGAGTCAACTTGCCTGAGGTCTCAGAACGGGTTAATAAGGGAGCTTGAAGTAGGACAGCCTTCCTGAATTTAGGATTGTAAATATAGTCAGCTCCTGATGAAAGTGCTATTCGGTAACACTGGGAGAAATCATTTGAAGTGTTCAGTAGGATTGGTGATAAATGTTGGCTAATTATCAAAGTCTTGTGACAAGACAAAGGTCATGCTTCAATTGTGTTCATTGCTGTATACACACTGAGCAGCAATCTAACAAGCCTGTGGGGGAAAGGGAGCAGGCCTGTTGGCTGTGGCAAGGTAAACACTCACAGGGGTGGAAGTGTCAGACTACCTATCTAGCCAGGGCATAAAGAGGGACAATCTATAATCCATTTCAAGCCTGTGAGTTCAGTCAGCGTAGTTCATACTAAGTATACCATTTAAATGGAATTTTCACTGTAAACTGTGCTTCTAATTTGGAGTCTAATCATTAAAGAGATTTCATTTGGGACCAGGTGTGGTGGCTCACACCTGTAATCTTAGCATTTGGGGAGGACAAGGAGGGAGGATCGCTTGAGCCCAGGAGTTCAAGACTAGCTGGGCAGCATAGTGAGACCTCATCTCTACAAAAAATTAAAAAATTATCCGAGTGTGGTGCCATACACCTGTGGTCCCATATGCATGGGAGGCTGAGGAAGGAGGATTGCTCTAGCAATCCTAGAAAGTTGAAGCTGCAGGGAGCCATGATTATGCCCCTGCATTCCAGCCTGGGTGACAGAATGAGACCCTGTTTCCAAAAAAAGATACTTCATTTAGAAGCAGACTCCTAACATTCATCCTGCACAAAATGTCATGGATGCTTGGTATTGAAATGAGAACAAAGGAAAGATGGAAGAATAATGTCATGTGATGGCTTATAATCTCCAGGCAGTGAGCTTTCAGGCCCTTGTAAGGTAAGGAGATTACCTTCACTTTTGCTCTAGTCTGAACCCCACCTGCTTTGAGAATAGCTAAGTCCCACAATGCCACTGGCTTCCTGCAGTAGCTAGTTCTCCTCTAAAGTTTTCTTCACCTTTGTATTTTCTCTCCCAGAATCCCGCCGCATCCTGCTTCCTGTGGTTCTCCATCACATTCACCTTCACCTGAGGCAGCAGAAAGAGCTGCTAATTTGCTCAGGGATTCTTGGCAGCATCTTCTCCATCGTCAAGACCAGCTCTCTGGTAGTGGCCCCACACCCACTCCACCCTGTTCAGCTCTTCCCTAGTCTTGTGTTACTTTAGCCAGAGGCAGACCAACAAAGATCGCTTTGTACACTTTTCAGTCACAGATGCTTTCATCAGTGACAGGAAGGTGCCCAAGTGAATGGAGCCCTGTGTGTTCCCAGCAGGTTTGTCAGTACAACACATTCTTGCTATTTTTAAAGGTTGCACTACCATAAATCTACCCAGAAATATAGTTATCTGTAGTACCACAAAGCCCAATTCTGTGTCATGCTGTTTCCATCAATAGGTTTTAATTCTGGATTCTTGGGAGTTTTCTGAGAATATTCAGGCATGAGCACAGGGAGGCAGACCCAGACTTGAGAGGTAGCTTGCTTATTCAGGCTCTTCTGTTAGCTTCCTGACAGCTTGATTCCACCCATATGGCGTTCCTATACTGTGCCAAATGAGGTCAGGGCATACGAGAGGTTAATGTTGCCCACCAGAGCTCTGAGCCTCAGAGGATGGTAGAATTGTGCTTTAGGGGTCGGGTTTCAACTGATATTGCTTTTACCCATTTTCTTTCCTCTCTATTTTTTCTTTTTAAAAGAAATCAGTGGTAAGAGGGGATGAACTGAGGTAGGGAAAGAGAGAAGGAAAGATATGAATTAGGCACGGGTGAGGGTAGGAATTTATTTTAATGATACTTATTTCATGTACTTTTGATAATAGAAGAAAGGCATATTACTTATAGAAAATTCAGAAACTATAGAAAAGCATAAGGAAAGAAATGTAGAACAAAAATGGATTTTTAAATTATACCATTTTATTAGGTTGCTAGAGAATAGAATTTCACATGCATTTAAAATGAAGGGCAGTTGCCAGGTGATAAGAATATACAAGGATAGGCTATCCACATGGAGTGGGAGAGGCACCTTAAAAAAAGAGTATATTTTGTTCGAGCAGGGGACAGGGACTCAATAGGATACTCTGATGTTCAAACTTAAAGTGCCATCTGGTGACAGGGGTCTAGCTTGGCAGAGAGTGACTATGATGGTGATAATGGCCCTATTATTTGATCTTGGCTCCAGGTAAGACTTGGCAGCTCTTCTTCCCACCAGGCCTCAGAGAAGCCACACCAAGCACATAAGATCTACTCATAGCCCAAGGTTGTATTGAGGGGGTGGACAGCTTATTGCTAAAGGAAGGAGAGAAATTGAAGCAAAAAAAGAGGAGGAATGGAACACAAGTGGGAACCAGTAAAAACTTGGAGGTGACGGTTTGGTTGTGTTTGTGGGGCTAGAGTCAGTGTAATTAGTTGCTTATAACTACCCAAAGATACATCACTGGTAAGTGTTATGATCAGTTCGACAGATAGGAAAGATGACTTTGGTCCCAAGAGCTGCTCAAATTCTTCATGTGGAATGGGGCAGAGTATAGTTAAAATGGATGGATGGGTAGAGGGACAATGAAACTGAAGCTCAATGAGAGCAGAGATATTATCTCTCGTTCACCTCTATATATTCAGGTTCTCAAACAGTGACTGGCACATGGTAAATGTTTAGTGAATGATAAATCGATGGATGGGTGAAAGATAGACACCAGGACCAGTAGTAGTATAAACATCTTAGACGAGGGGCAACAGGAATCTCTTTGTGAGATAATTAAAATCATGCTACAGAATTTGAGATGAATGTGAGAAGTCTATAATAGGATAATAGACTCTTCCTAAATTAGGAAGTGGCCCTTAGTGAGGAGACATGCTCCATTGTTTTTGTGAGGTGGCCAGAGAAAGATGCACTGAGGCTGGAGTCCTTCAAATGGACCCTGTAACACGAGCAAGAGAGCTGAGGAGCTAGAAGTGGACCCAGGCATATCTAGGCAGCAGTCCCGGCTGGCAAAAATTGAGGGCACCCAAGGGGAAGACCCTGAGGAGAAAACAGCGTGCTTAGAAAGATGAGCTACTTCTGTGCATTAGTGCTATGCACTAGTGAAGGTGCAGCTGCCACACCCTGTAGTGTGAATTTGTCACCATTTCTCAAACTTTATCATTCCAAAAGTGTCAGCAGAGTTTTGCCTTCTCCTGACTATTCTAGGGAAATCAAAGAAAACATTTAACTCAAGATCTTTGCTTCTGCCCTGTATATCAAAATTAATGTATCTGCTTGAGATTCAAAGTTGCAGGTGGTGTTGAGTTAGGGTAAGGCCCCAGCCACCATGCCTGGGCAGCAGTGGCAGTTGTGCCTCACCTCCTGTCAAAGCCATTGTCCTGGGTGCCTTGACACTGCATGTTGGTGAGACTGAGAGCTTGGTGTTGGGAATCCAGAAGACTACTGCTGATGTGGCTGACCTAGTAAGTGCTGCCAGCTGTACTTCAGCCTGGCTTGCTGCTAATGGTGTGCTCTCTTGCTGCTCGCTCCAGGAGGCAGATGTCATGGAGGAAGTAGAGATGATGGTGGAGAGCCTCCTGGACGTGCTCTTGCAGACTCTGCTCACCATCATGAGCAAATCGCACGCTCAGGAGGCGGTAAGAGGGCAGCGGTGCCCGCAGTGCACAGCCGAGATCACTGTTAGTAACTAACATCCAGGTTTTCTTGCCTTCTTTTCTAACCCGGGGCTTCTCCACAACACTCCCCCTCCATCTTACCATCCCACCACCTTCATCTCAGCCTTCCCTCCTGCATGGTTGTCAGCATGCTGCCCTCTTCCCTTCTTGAGTCTGACTCTCCTCTCTACTCTGAAAGCTCTAGGTTCACATTCCCAGGACTCTTCTTTAGGGCAGATCTGGGGAATGTTTCTTGTCCTGTTTTCCTGCATACTTTGAGCCAAGTCATTTTCTATATTGTAGAATGAAGCTGGGATGTATGTAAGATGTAGTAAGAGGTTGAAGGTGAAAAACAGACTATTTCTTCTAGGAACCCCCTCATACAGGTTCTCCTAAATGATGTACAGGACAGAATAATTTTCTCAGAATTGGCTTCTATCTACAAATTAGTTGCTTTTGTCCATTATGTTTGTATCTAAATTTTTAGCATTTGGAAAAATATGATGAGGTAAATTTCACTGGCATTAGTGAATAACGATTTTTCTGTGATCTAATTAGAAGAGAAACAAACTGGGAAGGCTTCTCAGGAGGGGCAGAGAGACAATACCTTGGGCCCCTCATGCACCCCAACTCCAGAGTAGACTTACTTCTCAGCCCTGAGGTGGGGATGTGATAAACAGTTTTCGTGGAATCTTTCCATTGGCAGATGGGAGATTACAGTGATCTCTCTGAAGAAAACCCTCTGGAGCAAGCCAAGCTACAGCGTGCTAGGGAGAGCAGGGAGCACTCAGGGAGCAGGTATGTGTTCTGGAGCACTGGGCTTGGAAAGAGTGTCTGCTCCTTTAGGAGCCTCTGTTGAAGGCACTCTCACTGTAAGTAAAAAACATATATATATATATATATGTACCCTGGCATTTCCTGGTAACCCAGCCTTCTAACCAACACTTACACAGTGCTTGCTGTGGGCCAGACCCTGCTTTAAGCACTTGTCCAATATTAGCTCATTTAGCAATACTAAGGAAGTGATTCATTTTATGTAGATTATAATGAGGATGATAATAACTATAATTTATTCAGTACCTTTTTACATAATGGACTTTATTCTTAATGCTTTATGTACATTAACCCATCTGACCCTCATGACGAATTACCTATAGCTTATTATGCCCATTTTTCAGATAAAAATGAGGTTCATGAACATATATATTTTGCACACATGTATTTTTAATAATTTCAGGCCAGGCGTGATGGCTCATGCCTGTAATCCCAACACTTTGGGAGGCCGAGGCAGATGGATCATCTGAGGTCAGGAGTTCGAGACTAGCCTGGCCAGCATGGCGAAACCCTGTCTACTAAAAATACAAAAAAAAAATTAGCCGGGCATGGTGGTGGGCGCCTGTAATCCCAGCTATTCGGGAGGCTGAGGCAGGAGAATCGCTTATACCTAGGAGGTGGAGGTTGCAGTGAGCCAAGATCATGCCATTGCGCTCCAGACTGGGTGATAAGAGCAAAACTCCATCCCAAAAAACAACAATAATAATAATTTCAGAGACCTAGAAAGGGTTTGAGAGACTAAAACCTGTTGTCACTTTCTCATGAGTTTATAAACATTTGAAAATTGCCCAAGTGAAGTAAATGTTCTCCCTCCCTTTTAAGGAGGCAACTAAGAGGAGGCCATGCTTGACTGCCTCCTGCCAAAAGTTGCTGTAAGATGGTTTTTGAAGTCCTTAAAGCAGGATTTTATTCCATGTATTCCAATTGGAACTTGAAGACATTTTGAACATTGATATTTCTCCTTTAATTTCTACTTGTCTTAAAGCCCATAGCTTGTCCCCTCAAAAAGGTCAGTTTTAACTCCTCTGCCTTTCAGACAGGCATATTGATCTGCGCTGTGTTTTGTTTGCCCAGTCCAGTAACCCTGTGCAAATTCTAGGAGGTTCCAAAGAAGTCCTTGTAGAAGGGCTGCTCTAGTCCAGCAGGATCGGCAGAGTCCAAATTCTGTCCAGAGAGGGTTAAGCTCTCCCCTTTTCCAAGTATCCTCTATAGACTTCAGTACAGTGCCCTGGCAGCAAAGGACTATTTAGCCAAAACTTTCCTAGGAAAAAAAGGGAGAATATTTGTCTCACTTTGCAGTACTACTTTATTATAGTTTAAGGTTTTTCAGTAGCCCCATGCTGCAGAGGGTTTATTTCCCCCTAATCCCTCCAGGCTTTCCTTAGCAGAAAATAAAGCTTTAGAGGGCTAGATTTGTCATCTTTCTTCCATGATCATTGGGGCCATCTCAGACCCTCCCTTCTCTCCTTGCCCTCTATGGATTGGGGGAACACAGCCCTTGCAATTGGCCATGCTAAGTGTTTTTTTGGGTTGGTCCCTAGGGCGAGTATGTGTCCTGCCTTCTCTCACTGCTCCGCCAGATGTGTGACACCCATTTCCAGCACCTCCTGGACAACTTCCAGAGCAAAGATGAACTCAAGGTAGGCAGTAGAACACCTTTCCTCTGGGAGAGGAAGTGTGCAGCCAGCACTCCCCAGGGGCTTTTTCCCTGTCAGGGGGATGAATGCAAGTGACTAGCATTGCCACGGGTGTAGGATTCACCAGCCCTGCTTTACAGCTGAGTGTTGGCCTCCAGAAGCTGAAAGCCAGCAGTGTCCCCACACAGCTGGACCCTCGTAACACTGCCAAGTTTTCCTTGACTATTAGCGGCCCTGTGATCATGTGCCTCTATTAGAGGCTACTCTGTCCCACACTGGTTGTCAGACAACCAGGACTCCTTCCTTTCTTAGTAACTTGGCAGTTACCCTTATATTTTGTACCTGCAAATTAGGATTTGCTGTTTTAATACCTTTAATAATAATAATGGTGTCAATTTTTTTCATTTAAATATATTTGTGGAAGATACCTTTAGAGAGCAAGGGTGTGCACTGCTCATTTGCTGCCAAACTCTGGGTCTGGAGCACTGAGGGTCTTATTTTTATCACAGATTGCTATACATAATTTAAAAAGCCAAAGCATACTACAAAGTTCATAATATAAAACACCTGTAGTCCTAGCTACTCTTGAGGCTAAAGTGAGAGGATCGATTGAGCCCAGAAATAATTTTTTTAAAAAATACAGTGGTTTCCTGGCTCAGCCTGACTCGTGTCCAGTCCCTACTCCACAAAGGCAGCCACTTTCAATTCTTTTGCTATTCTTCAGGAAGCTTCTACTACTATTTTTAGCTATTGTTAGTTATTATCTATTTTCCTCTTTCTATGGAAAATGAAGATGATTCTCCAGAATCATTCCTCTCTCACACACACATCCTTCCTCCCATTTTCCCAATGTAGTTTTCATATATTTTTGTTTGCATTGATTATATTGTTTATCTTTTCTTTATTACAGCTAAATAAGTACTGTGGTGAGCCAAGACTGTCCTGGGATTATATTTCTTTTCTTGTAGAACAGTGATGTCCAGTCTTTCGGCTTCCCTAGGCCACATTGGAAGAAGAATTGTCTTGGGCCACACATTAAATACACTAACACTAACGATAGCTGATGAGCTAAAATATATATATATATATATATATATATATATATCTCATAATATTTTAAGGAAGTTTACAAATCTGTGTTGGGCTGCATTCAAAGCCATCCTGGGCTGCATATGGCCCATGGGCCGTGGGTTAGACAAGCTTGTTGTCGAACTTATTGTTTTTATAAAAATTAATTGCCTCTTTTTTTATTTGCTTATGCTTTGTTTTGTTTTGGTCATCAAATCTGGTGAGGATTTCCCACTCTTGCTATCATCTTTCTAATATATCTCTTCTTCCAGCTTGCCTTATGGTCAAATCTATCAGATGTCAGGTCACTTTTTTTTCCTAGAGATTTGCTCCCCCACTGCTTTTATTTGTTTCAGTCACTATCTTTTGTGTTGGAGACTCTCCTCCTACAGACTTTCCTATAGAGACTCCTGGATGATAGTGTGTATCTAAAAGTGAAGTCCTTCAGTGCTGATTACAAACTCTATGTATAGGCAGGGCTTTCTCTAGCAGGCTTCCCTGTAGATGGCCAAAGAGATCTGCCCTTTTGGTCAGAGCATTCCCCAATTCCTGTGTCTGGAGGACTTGGACTTGTTCATTCCCCAGAGAGGAGTCTTCCACTTCTCCTGTGTTGGGCACAGGAGTTCGATGTCGCAAAAGATCTACACTGAGACAAAGGATTCCTCAGCAAGGCTAGTTTACTTTCTGCGGAAAGGGTGCACTCGCCAGCAGTCCAGCCACAAGAGCACACACAAACAAAGGAGATAGGGTTATTTATAACCTGATGCATTCACCCTACTGCTGTGTCTGGTTTCCATTGGCTGGAACGGGACCTCACATTCTATACCCGACCCAATTGGCTAGCAACTTAGAACTTCCCAAAAGAGTCAAAGGCAGAGGAGAACAAAGGAAGAGAGGAAGTAACTTGTGGAATGCTGAGAGAGGCAAAAACACTTCCAAATAAGGGAGAGGAATAGGCTATGGCCTAATTAAGCTATAATTATGCCATAAAATTCATACTTTTAAAGTGTACAATTTAATGCTTCTGATTATATCCATCTTAAAAAGACTCATCACAAATAGTGACATCAAGTTAATAATTTAAGATTTCCAACCAGGTGCAGTGGCTGTCACCTGTAATCCCAACACTTTGGGAGACCAAGGCGGGCGGAGGCAGATCACCTGAGGTCGGGAGTTTGAGACCAGCCTGACCTGACCAACATAGAGAAACCCTGTCTCTACTAAAAATACAAACTTATACGGGTGTGGTGGTGCACGCCTGTAATCCCAGCTACTCGGGAGGCTGAGGCAGGAGAACCGCCTGAACCTGGTAGGTGGAGGTTGCGGTGAGCCAAGATTGCGCCATTGCACTCCTGCCTGGGCAACAAGAGTGAAACTCTGTCTCAAAAAAAAAAAAAAAAGAAAAGAAAAGAAAAAAGAAAAAAAACTTCCCACAAAGAAAAGCCCAGGACCAGATGCCTTAATTGGTGAATTCTACCAAATTTTTAAATAAGAATTAATATCAGTCCTTTGCAAACTATCCCAAAAAGTAGAAGAGGACAGAACATTTACCTACTCATTGTATGAGGTCAGTAATAAATACTGTGATAAGAAACCTGGACAAAGACATCACAAGAAAAGCAAACTACAAACCAATACCCCTTATGAATATAAACACAAAAATCTCCAGCAAAATACTAGCAAACTGAATCCACCAACATAGTAAAAGAATTATATAACATGATCAAGTAGGATTTATCCCAGAAATGCAAGTTTAGCTTAACATGTGAAAATTGTCAAGGAATGACGTGAGCCACACAGAAAAATATGAAGCTCCTGACTTTCCCTCTACCCACAGACACCAAATAAACATCTATTCATGAATCACTTCCCTCTGAGAGAAGGAGACCCATTGAAAGATCCTTACCCACCAGGCAACTGAGGAAACATCCACATTGAATGGGTAGGAAAAGCTGAGAGGCACACTCAGGCACAGACCCCACCCCTGGCACTGCACCATAAAATCAGGAAAGGAATCCTTAACATTTACTTGCTCCCTGTGGAGAGGAGGGTTTGGACCTCACATATACCACCCTAATTCTAAGATTTGCCATGGTTTGGCTCCTAATTCACCAACTCTGGGAGGGGAGGAAATTTGTATCTCTAGATCACAGGGAAAAAGCAGCAATTTTATATGGGCACACAAGGACTTCCAGGGCTTTATCCTCTAGAAGCAATGCAGAGAAAGGGCTCCAAAAATGCAGCTCCATGTGTCTCTCAGGAACAGACAAACTCTTTCAGTGGACATGTGGCAGTCTGGCTTCTTACTGACTTAGACTGGGGAGTTAAAGGAGCAGACAAGTAGTAGCTTGCTGCTAGCCTGAGCAGCAGATTGGCACTTCCTGAGCCTCCTCCCCCAGCTCACCCTAGTGATAATTTCAGACAAACTCCTCTCCTGGAAGGAGTTTGTCCATACATTGAGCATCCCAGCTTTTATAGCTTCTACCCAAGGGACTGCATCCTAAACCTCCCCGTTCTGGGAACAAAGGGGACTGGCATATGTGTGTCCATAGACTACATGAAAAAGGTTGTGGTTTCGTATGGGCATGTAAGCACTTCTGGGGCTTGATCCTCCTGAAACAGTGCAGAGAAGGGGCTTGAAAACACAGTTCCTCTGTTTCTCCCTGGAAGGGGTGTATAACTACTTGGTGGTCTGGCTTCTTGAGTTAAAGGGACTTTACACACTTACATTCGTGAGTTAAAGGGACAGGCAAGTATTGGCCCACCAGCAGCCTGAGAAGCAGATTGGTACTTCACAGGCCTTCTCCCCTAGCTCATCCCAGGAACAACTGCAGGCCTATTAATCCCTCCTGGAAAGAATTGTCCACATATTGAGTGCTCCAACTTTTACAGCTTCTACCCGAAGGACTGCATCCTAAACCTCCTAGCATTGGGAGCAAGAGAAGCTGCATATATATGAGTCTGTCTAGACCTCAGGAAAAAAAATTGCAGTTTTATGTGAGCACATAAATACTTCCAGGGTCTTCATCTGCCAGGATCAGTGCAGAAAAGTGGCTTTAAAAACTCACCTCCCTGTTTCTCCCTGGAAGGGGTTTATGCCATGCATCAAGTACGCCAACTTTTACAGTTACCTCCCGAAGGACTCCATCCTAAACCTCTTAGTTCTAGGAGCAGAAAGAACTAGGCATTTATTAATCTCCCTAGATCACAGAACAAAGAGATGGTTTTAAATGGGCACACAAACACTTCCAGGAGCTAACACCCCTTTGGAGCAGTGCAGAAAAGGGGCAGGAACATGCAGCTCCGATTTTTCTCTTTAGAAGGGTCTCATGGCACATAATTCCAGTGGCTGCTTTATGGCTTGGCTTATATTGAACTTGTTTCAGGGAGCTAATGGAGCAAACAAACAATAACCATTTAGCAGCCTGAGCCAGAGCTCAGCACTTCATGAGCCTTTCCTTTGGCTCACCACAGTGATAAGTCCAAGTGTACCCATTCTTCCTGGAAGGCATTTGGCCACACATTAAGTGCCACAACTTCTATAGCTCCCACCCAAGAGACTATCTCCTTAATAACCTAATTCTGGGAAAATGGGGCTTTGCATTCCTGAGTGGCCCTAGATCACAGAAAGCCAAGAGGTAGACATACAACGTTTGCAACAGATCCTCTTCCCCAGCTTAATGCAGCGACAGTGGGATATAAATGCCCATGTTCAGCTTTATCATGAAGATACAATGAACTGGAGCATGCATCCAACACTTTTAACATTTGCAGCTACATAACAAGAGTCTGGCTCCTAAGTTGTCAGTTTCAGAGTATGGAGAGGACATGGCACATCTTAAGCTCCAGGAGGCCACCCAAAACAGAGACAGCAGTCTGGACAAACACAAAGATTTGAGAGGCACCTTAGAATCTCTGGATGGATGAATTGGTGAGATCCTTCTACACAAGGCCAACCTGACAAGATTGGGAGAAATAATTGTCTGATCTCATATGCAGAAATGAACCACAGAGCATCAAGGAAAATAAATAGGAGTATATTTCAAACAAAAGAATAAGATAAATGTCCAGAAACCAGCCCAAGTGAAGTGTAGGTATGTGATCATCCAACAAGGAATTCAAAATAATGTTCATAAAGATGCTCACTGAGGTCGGGAGAGCAATGAAAGAATAAACTGAGAATTTCAACAAAGAAACAGAAAGTATACATAAGTACCAAACAAATCATAGAGCTGAAGAATACTCTAAACTGAAAATTTCAATAAAAGGATTCAGCAGCAGACTAGATCAAGCAGAAGAAAGGATTACTGAAATCAAAAACAGGTCACTGAAAATTATATAATCTGAGGTACAAAAAGAAAAGAAATTTTAAAAAGAGGGTAAGGCCAGGTGCAGTGCCTCACACCTATAATCCCAGCACTTTGGGAGGCCAAGGTGGGCAGATCATGAGGTCAGGAGTTTGAGACCTATCTGGCCAACATAGCGAAACCCCGTCTCTACTAAAAATAAAAAAAAATTAGCTGGGTGTGGTGGCGGGCGCCTGTAATCCCAGCTACTTGGGAGGCTGAGGCAGGAGAATCGCTTGAACCCAGGAGGCAGAGGTTGCAGTGAGCCAAGATCACGCCATTGCACTCCAGCCCAGGCAACAGTGCATGACTCCATCTCAAATGAAAAAAGAGTTTAGTCTGGAAGTTCTAGCCAAAGCAATCAGGCAAGAGAAAGAAAACGCATCCAAATAGGAAGAGAGGAAGTCAAACTATCTCTATTTACAGATGTTATAATTCTATACCTAGGAAACTCCATAACCTCTTTCCAAAAGTTCCTAGATCTGATAAACAACTTCAGCAAAGTTTCAGGATACAAAAATCGATGTAAAAAATCAGTAGCATTTTTATACACCAACAACATTCAAGCTGAGCCAAATTAAGAACGTAATTCCATTCACAATAGCCACAAAAAGAATAAAGTATCTAGGAATAAAACTAACCAGAGAGGTAAAAGATCTCTACAAGGAGAATTACAAAACTGCTAAAATAAATCAGAGATTACACAAACAAATGGAAAAACATTCCATGTTCATGGCTAGGAAGAATGAAGAATCAATATTGTTAAAATGACCATACAACTCAAAGCAATTTACAGATTCATTGCTATTCCTATTAAATTACCAATGACATTTCTCACAGAATTAAAAACTTTTTTAAATTGATATGGAATTAAAAAAAAGCCTGAATAGCCAAAGCAGTCCTAAGCAAAAAGAACAAAGCTGGAGGCATGACATTACCTGACTTCAAACTATACTACAAGGCTACAGTAACCAAAACAGCATGGTACGGATACAAAAAATAGACACATAGACCAAAGGAACAGAATACAGAGCCCAGAAATAAAGCTTCATACCTACAACAATCTCATTTACAACAAAGTTGACAAAAACAAGCAATGGGGAAAAGACTCCCTGTTCAATAAATGGTGCTGGGATAACTGGCTAGCCATATGCAGATTGAAACTGGACCCCTTCCTCATGCCATATACAAAAATTAACTCAAGATGGATTAAGGACTTAAATGTAAAACCTAAAATTATAAAAACTCTGGAAGATTTTCAAATAACTTAAAAAAGAACTACTTGGACATAGGCCCTGACAAAGATTTCATGACAAAGACACCAAAAGCAATTTGCAACAAAAGCAAAAATTGACGAATGTGATCTAATTAAAGAGCTTCTGCACAGAAAAACTCTCAACAGAATAAACAGGCAAGCCACAGAATGGGAGAAAATATTTGCAAACTATGCATCTGACAAAGGTCTGATAACCAGAATCTGTAAGGAACTTAAATTCACAAGCAAAAAAACAACTCTGTTAAAAAGTGGGCAAAAGACATGAACAGACACTTTTCAAAAGAGGACATACAGCAAACAAGCACATGAAAAAATGTTCAACATCACTAATCACTGGAGAAATACAAATGAAAACCACAGCAAGATACTATCTGAGACCACTCAGAATAGCTGTTATTAAAGTCAAAAAAATATTGGGAGGCTGAGGCAGCAAGATCACTTGAGCCCAGGAATTCAAGACCAGCCTGGGCAGCATAGCAAGACCCCATCTTGACAAAAAAAATAAAATAAAAATTACCCAGACATGGTGACATGTGCCTGTTGTCCAAGCTATTTGGGAGGCTGAGGTAAGATTGCTTGGGCCCAGGAAATCAAGGCTGCAGTGAGCTGATTGTACCACAGTTCTCCCACGTGGGTGACAGGAAAAGACCCTGTCTCAAAATAGTAAAAATTAAAATTAAAAAATTAAAAGTCAAGTCTCAAAATAGTAAAAATTAAAATTAAAAAATTAAAAGTCAAAAAATAACAAATGCTGGTGAGGTTGCAGAGAAGAGGGAACACTTATACACTGCTAATGGGAATGTAAATTAGTCCAGCCATTATGGAAAGCAGTTCTGTGATTTCTCAACTTAAAAAAGAACTACCATTCAACCCAGCAATCCCATTGCTGGATATATAACCAAAGGAAAATAAATAATTCTACCATAAAGACACATGCACATGTATGTGTTCATCACAGAACTATTCACAATAGCAAAGACATGGAATCAACCTAAATGCCCATCAGTGGTAGACTAGATAAAGAAAGTGTGCTACATATACACGTTGGAATACTACACAGCCATTTTAAAAGAACGAGATCATGTCCTTTGCAGCAACATGGATGGGGCTGGAGGCCATTGTCCTAAGTGAACTAACACAGAAAACCAAATACCACATGTTCTCACTTGTAAGTGGAAGCTAAACATTGAGTACTCATGGACATAAGAAGAGAACAACAGGCAGGCTCAGTGGCTCATGCCTATGATCCCAGCACTTTGGGAGGCTGATGCAGGGGGATCATTTGTGGTCAGGAGTTCGAGACCAGCCTGGTCAACATGGTGAAACCCCGTCTCTACTAAAAATACAAAAATGAGTCGGGCATGGCGGCACATGCCTGTAATCCCAGCTACTCAGGAGGCTGAGGCAGGAGAGTCACTTGAACCTAGGAGGCAGAGGTTGCAGTGAGCCAAGATCGTAGCACTGCCCTCCAGCCTAGGTGACAAAGTGAGACTCCGTCTCAAAAAAAAAAAAAAAAAAAAATTAAGAGAACAACAGACATCAGGGCCTATCTAAGAGTGGAGGGTGGGAGGAGGGTGAGGATCAAAAAACTACCTATCAGGTACTGTGCTTATTGCTGGGGCAGTATAATAATCTGGACACCAAACCTCCATGATGCTCAATTTACCTATATAACAAACCTGCACATGTACCCCTGAACCTAAAATAAAAAAAGAAAAAAGCTAACATAAAGGCTTTTAAATACCTTTTACTCAGAGTAACAAGTGACAAAAACTCACTTAGAATGAGGGAGGCCATTAGTCAATGGCCTAGTTTTCCTGAAAATGAGTTTGAAAGAAAAGGAGCAGAGGAAATGGTCCTGAAGAAAGAAACTGAGAGCTTGAAAGGCAGTATGCCTCTCTGACTGCAGGTAAAGGCTACTCATAAGCCAACAGATTTTATTTTTTATTTCCTAAGCTGAAACAGCCTAGCCTAGGAGAGGGGTGTTTGTGTGGGTGTGTGTGTGTGTGTGGGTGTGTGTGTGTGTGTGTGTGTGCCCATGTGTGTGTATTTAAAGTAAATCGGTGGAGGAAGTAAAGAGACAGAGGAAAGGGAGTAGCCTGGGGGAAGAGAGATGAGAGACTTGAGTATAAATGACTTAGGACAGGAGTGACAAAATAGAGAAACAGCTCTAGGTTATTTAAAAAAAGAACGTATATACCATGGAATTCTACACAGCCATAAAAAAGAATGAGATTATGTTTTCTGCAGCAACATGGATGGAGCTAGAGGCCATTATCCTAAGCAAACTAATGCAGGAACAGCAAACCAAATGCTGCATGTTCTCACTTATAAGTGGGAGCTGTACATGGACACAAAGAAGGGAACCACAGATACTAGGGCCTATTTGAAGGTGGAGGGTAGGAGGAGGGGAATTAAAGTATAGAGTTTCTTTATGCAATCAAAGTTGTTATCAGCCTAAAATGCTATTAGTATAAGATGTTTTATGTAAGCCACTGAGTAACTACTAAGCAAAAGCCTGTAATTAATATACAAAAGATAAAAGAATCAAAGCATACCACTAGACAGCCATCCAGCCACAAAGGAAGAAAGCAATACAGGAAGAAAAGAACAAAGGATCTACAAACAACCAACCAGAAAACAAAACAGCACTAGTAAATAAGTCCTTGCCTATCGGTAATTACTTTGAATGTAAATAGATTAAATTCTCCAATCAAAAGACGTGGAGTTCCTGAATGGATTTTTTTTTTTTAAGACCCAACTATATGCTGCCTACAGTAGCCTCACTTCACCTTAAAGGACAGTCATACACTGAAAGTGAAGGGATGAAAAAAGAAACTACCATCAGAGTGAACAGGCAACCTACAGAATGGGAGAACATTTTTGCAATCTACTCATCTGACAAAGGGCTAATATCCAGAATCTACAAAGAACTCAAACAAATTTACAAGAAAAAAACAACCCCATCAAAAAGTGGGCGAAGGATATGAACAGACACTTCTCAAAAGAAGACATTTATGCAGCCAACAGACACATGAAAAAATGCTCATCATCACTGGCCATCAGAGAAATGCAAATCAAAACCACAATGAGATATCATCTCACACCAGTTAGAATGGCGATCATTAAAAAGTCAGGAAACAACAGGTGCTGGAGAGGATGTGGAGAAATAGGAACACTTTTACACTGTTGGTGGGACTGTAAACTGGTTCAACCATTGTGGAAGACAGTGTGGCAATTCCTCAGGGATCTAGAACTAGAAATACCATTTGACGCAGCCATCCCATTACTGGGTATATACCCAGAGGAATATAAATCATGCTGCTATAAAGGCACATGCACATGTATGTTTATTGCGGCACTACTCACAATAGCAAAGACTTGGAACCAACGCAGATGTCCAACAATGATAGACTGGATTAAGAAAATGTGGCACATATACACCATGGAATACTATGCAGCCATAAAAAATGATGAGTTCATGTCCTTTGTAGGGACATGGATGAAGCTGGAAACCATCATTCTCAGCAAACTATCGCAAGGACAGAAATCCAAACACCACATGTTCTCACTCATAGGTGGGAATTGAACAATGAGAACACCTGGACACAGGAAGGGGAGCATCACACACCGGGGCCTGTTGTGGGGTTGGGGGAGAGGGGAGGGATAGCATTAGGAGATATACCTAGTGTAAATGACGAGTTAATGGGTGCAGCACACCAACATGGCACATGTATATATATGTAACAAACCTGCATGTTGTGCATATGTACCCTAGAACTTAAAGTATAATATATATATAAAAGAAAAAAGACATTTCATGCAAATGGAAACAAAAAGAGCAGGGGTAGCTATACTATTTCAGACAAAGTTGACTTTAGGTCAAAAATTATAAAAAGAGACAGTGGGCTGGGCACGGTGGCTCATGCCTGTAATCCCAGCACTGTAGGAGGCCAAGGTAGGTGGATCACAAGGTCAGGAGTTCAAGACCAGCCTGGTCAAGATGTGAAACCCTGTCTCTACTAAAAATACAAAAATTAGCCAGGCGTGGTGGCGGGCACCTGTAATCCCAGGTACTTGGGAGGCTGAGGCAGAGAATTGTTTGAACCCGGGAGGTGGAGGTTGCAGTAAGCCAAGATCGTGCCACTGCACTCCAGCCTGGGCAACAAGAGTGAAACTCTATCTCAAAAATAAAAATAACAAAAATAATATCTGGAGATAAAAATGGAAACATATCAAATCTTACAGAATGTAGCAAAAGCAGCTCTGGGAGGGAAGTTTATAGCAATAAATGCCTACATCAAATAAGAAGCAAGATCTCAAACAACCCAATGTCACACCTCAAGGAACTAGTAAAATAAGAAAAAACTAACCCCAAAGTTAACAGAAGGAAAGAAATAAGAAATATCAGAGTAGAAGTAAATGAAATGGACACTAAAAAAAGAAAAAGAAAAGAAAAATCACCTAAACAAGTTTATTTTCTGAAAAGCAAAACAGAAGAGTCAAGTCAGAAATGAAATAGAAGACGTTACAACTGATAACAGAAATATAAAGGATCATAAGAGACTGCTACAAATAATTATATGCCGGCAGATTGGACAACATAGGAGAAAATGATAAATTCCTAGACACGTGTATCTACTAAGACTTAATCATGAAGAGATTGGAAATCTGAACAGACTAATAACTAGTAAAGAGCTTGAATCAGTAATTAAGAGTCTTCCATCAAAGAAAAGCCCAGGACTAGATGGCTTCACAGTTGAATTCTGCCAGACATTTACAGACAAACTAATAATAATCCTTCCCAAACTTTTCTTAAAAATTGAAGAGGAGGGAATATTTCCAAACTCATTTCATGGGGCTAGCATTACCCTGATACTAAAGCCAGACAAAGACACTACAAGAAAAGGAAGCTATAGGTCAGTAACATGGATTAATATGATGCAAAAGTCCTCAACAAAAGACTAGCAAACTATATTCAACAGTACATTAAAAGGATTATTCACCATGATCAAGTGGGATTTATCGCTGGAATACAAGGTTGGTTCAACATACTCAGATCAATAAATGTGATTCACCATATTAACAGAATGAAGGAGAAAAACATGATCATCTCAATAAATGCAGGCAAAGCATATAAAAAATTCTCATTTCTTGATTTTAAAATTCCCAACAAATTACATATAGAAAGAATGTTCTTCAAAACAATAAATATCATATATGATAAGCCCATAGTTAACTTCACACTCAACAGTGAAAAACTGAAAGCATTTTTTTTAAGATCAGGAACAAGACAGGGATGCCCACTCTGACTACTTCTGTTCAACACAATACTAAGTACTTCTGTAATAAATACTTCTGTCCTAGCCAGAGCAGTTAGGCAAGAGAAAGAAAAGGCATCCAAATAGGAAATGATGGAGTAGAATTGTCTCTGTTTGCCAATGACATGGTCATATATATAGAAAATTTCAAAGACTCTACAAAAAAAACCTGTTAGAACTGAAAAACAGATTCAGTAAAATTGCAGGAGACAACACCTAATTAGTTGTGTTTCTATACAATAACAACAAACTGTCTAAAAAAGAAATTATGAAAACAAGCCAGGTGTGGTGGCTCACACTTGTAATACCAGCACTTTGGGAGGCTGAGATGGGAGGATCGCTTGAGCCCAGGAGTTTGAGACCAGCCTGGGCAACATAGTGAGACCTCCTCTCTACAAAAATAAAGAAGTTACAAAAACCATCCTGTTTACAATAGTATTTTTAAAAAACAAAATACTTAGGGGTTAAAAAATTTTTTTTCTTGAGACAGGGCCTCCCTCTGTCTCCCAGACTGGAGTGCAGTAGCACAATCTTGGCTCAGTGCAACCTCCACCTCCCAGGTTCTAGAGATTCTCCCACCTCAGCCTCCTGAGTAGCTGGGTTTACAGGTGCATGCCACCACACCCAGCTAATTTTTTTGTATTTTTTGGTAGAGATGGGGTTTTACCATGTTGGCCAGGTTTCAGGGGTACATTTAACCAAGGAAGTTAAAGATCTGCATGTATACTGACAACTATAAAATATTGATTAAGGAAATTAAAGATTATGCAAATAAATGGACAGATATCTCATGTTTATGGATTGGAAGGATTAATATTGTTAAGATGTTTATAATCCCTAAAGCAATCTACAGATTCAATGCAATCTCCATCAAAATTCCAATGTCATTCCTCACAGAAATAGAAAAAAACAATCCTAAAATGTGTATGGAATAAAAAAAGACCCCAAATAGCCAAAGCAACCTTGACCAAAAAGAACAAAGCTGGAGGCATCACTCTACCATATTTCAAAGCATATTACAAAACTGTAGTGATCAAAACACCATGGTATTGGCATAAAAACAGACACATTGACCAATAGAAGAGGATAGTGAGCCCAGAAATAAACCCACACATCTACCATTAATTGATTTTTGACAAAGATGCCAAGAACACACAATGAAAAAAGGAGAGTCTCATCAATAAGTGATGTTAGGAAAATTGGATAAACCATATACAGAAGAATGAAAGTAGACCTTTATCTCACCCCCCTATAGAAGAATCAACTGAAAATGGATTGAAGACCTGAAATGATAAAGCTACTAGAAGAAAACATAGGGGAAAACCTATGATGTTGATCTAGGTAGGGATTTCTTGGATATGATCCCTAAAGCACTGGCAATGAAAATAAAAATAGAAAATGGGATTGCATCAAACTAAAAAGCTTCTTCACAGTGAAGAAAACAATAGAATGAAGAGAACACCTACAGATTGGGAGAAAATATTTGCAAATTACATGTCAGATAAGGGACTAATATCCAAAATATACAAGGAACCTCAAGCTACTCAATAACAAGACTACAAATAACCCTATTTTTAAAATTGGCAAAGGACTTGAGTAGACATTTCTTAAAAGAAGACATCAGATATATGAAAAAATGCTCAATATTTCTAGTCATCAGAAAACACCAAGTAAAACCACAGTGAGATATCACGTCACATTTGTTAGATAAGCTATAATCAAAAAGATGAAAGATAACTGTTGGTGAGGATATGGAGAAAAGGGAACTCTTGTACACTGTTAGTGATATTGTAAATACAGCCATTTTGGAAAACAGTATGAAGTTTTCTCAAACTAAAAATAGAATTACCATATAATCCAACAATTCCACTTCTGGGTATATACCCAGAGGAATTAAACTCAGTATGTCAAAGAGATATGTACACTCCCATGTTCATTGCAGTGTTATTCACAATAGCAGAGACATGGAAAAAACCTAAGTGTCTATCAGCAGATGAATAGATTTTTAACATGTGGTATATATACACAGGCAATACTATTCAGCCTTAAAAGAAGTAGGAAATTTTGTCATTTCCAGCAACATGGATGAACCTGGAGGACATTATGTTAAGTGAAGTAAACCAGGAACAGACAAATATCATATGATCTCACTTACGTGTAGAATCTAAAAAAAATTGAACTCGAGGCTGGGCGCAGTAGCTCAAGCCTGTAATTCCAGCACTTTGGGAGGCCAAGGCAGGCGGATCACGAGGTCAGGAGATCGAGACCATCCTGGCTAACATGGTGAAACCCAGTATCTACTAAAAATACAAAAAAATAGCCAGGCGTGGTGGCAGGTACCTGTAGTCCCAGCTACTGGGGAGGCTGAGGCAGGAAGATGGCGTGAACCCGGGAGGCGGAGCTTGCAGTGAGCCAAGATCGCGCCACTGCACTCCAGCCTGGGCGACAGAGAGAGACTCTATCTCAAAAAAAAAAAAAAAAAAAAAAAAAAAAATTGAACTCGAAAAGTAGATAGTAGAATGATGGTTACCAGAGGCTGGGGGTGGGGGCAGTAGATAGAGAAAGGGGAGACATTGGTCAGTGGGTGCAAAGTTTCAGTTCAGGTGTTCTGTTGCACAGCATGGTGACAATAGTTAATAATGGAGTGTATATTTCAAAATAGCTAAAACAGTATTTTCAGTGTTCTCACCACAAAAAAATGATAAATATCTGAGGTGATGAATATGCTAATTAGCCCAATTTGTTCATTCCACAATGTATACATGTATTGACACATCAGATTGTGTTTAATAATTATATACAATTATTATTTGTCAATTAAAATAAAAATTTTTTAAATCGGTGTAATACACCCTTAAATGGTATAAAGGACAAAACCACATGATCATCTCAGTTAATGTCTTAGTCCATTTTGTGTTTCTATAAAGGAATACCTGAGGCTGATTAGTTTATAAAGAAAAAGGGTTTATTTGGCTTACAATTCTAATGTCTGAAAAAGTTTAAGATTGGGTCTCTGGCGAAGGCCTCAGGCTGCTTCCACTCATGGCAGAAGGTGAAGGAGAGCCAGTGTGTGCAGAGATATCATGGTGAGAGAGAAATCAAGAAAGAGGGGGAAGGTGCCAGGCTCTGTTTAACAACCAGCTGTCATGGGAACTAATAGAGCGAGAGCTCACTTTTCCCCAAGGGAAGGCATTTATCTATTCTTCATGGATCCACCCCTATGGCCCAAACACCTCCCATTATGTTCTACCTCCAACATTGGGGATGAGATTTCAACATGAGGTTTTGAGGGGACATATCCAAACCATTGCAAATGTAGAAAAAGCATTAAAAAAAATCCGCCAACAATTTGGTATTTGTTTTGTAATAAAATCACTGAGCAAACTAAAAATAGAAGCAAACTTCTTCAACCTTATAAAGGGCATCTATGAAAAACACACACCTAACATCATACTTCATAACAAAAGATTAATTTCTTTCTCCTAAGATCAGGAACAAGGGCAAGATGTGTGCTCTAGCCATTTTTATTTATTATACTGGAGAGTCTAGCTGGGGCAATAAGGCGTTGGGGGGTGGGGGGTAACCCTTCAGATTAGAAAGGAAGAAGTGAAACTATCTCTATTCACAGATGACCTGATTCTTTTTTTAGGAGGTGAGGTATTCTGTCCTCCAGGCTGGAGTACACTGGCACGATCATAGCTCACTGCAGCTTCAAACTCCTGGGCTCAAGTGATCCTTCTGCCTCAGCCTCCCAAGTAGCTGGAACTACAGGCACTGACAACTATGCCTGGCTAACTTTTTAAATTTTTTTTAAGAGATGGAGTCTCACTATGTTGCTCAAGCTAACTTGATTTTATATACAGAAAATTCTAAGGCATCCACAGGAAAATTATCAAAAGTTACAAACAAGTTCAAGATTTCAGGACATAAGATCAATATCCAAAAATCTATAGTTCTATACACCAGCAATAAATGATTCAAAAACTGAAATTAAGAAAAAATCCCAGTTACAGTATCATCAAAATGAATAAAAAAGAACTTCCAGCTGCATTTTTGCAGAGATTGACAGTCTGAGCCTTCAATTCATGTAGAAATATTGGGGACTCAGCCAAAACAACCTGGAAAAAGAACAAAATTGAAAGATTCACAGTTCCCATTTTCAAAACTTACTACAAAGTAACAGTAATCAAGATTTGTACTAACATAAAGATAGATACATAGATCAACAAAACTGGAGAGTCCAAAAATAAACTCTTACTTAAATTGGTTTTTTTTTTTTTTTGAGATGGAGTCTTGCTCTGTTGCCTGGGCTGGAGTGCAGTGGCGCGATCTCGGCTCACTGCAAGCTCTGCCTCCTGGGTTCACCCCATTCTCCTGCCTCAGCCTCTTGAGTAGCTGGGACTACAGGTGCCCGCCACCATGCCCGGCTATTTTTTTGTATTTTTAGTAGAGATGGGGTTTCACTGTGTTAGCCAGGATGGTCTCGATCTCCTGACCTTGTGATCCGCCCGCCTTGGCCTCCCAAAGTAAATTGATTTTTTATAATACTGCCAAGATAATTCAGTAAGGAAAGAAGTGTCTTTTCAACAAATGGTTCTGGGACAACTTAATATCCACATGTAGGGCCAGGTGCAGTGGCTCAACACCTGTAATCCCAGCACTTTGGGCGTCTGAGGCAGGCAGATCACCTGAGGTCAGGAGTTCGAGACCACCCTGGCCAACATGGGGAAACCCGTCTTTACTAAAAATTTAAAAATTAGCCAGGCATGGTGGCGGGCACTTGTAATCCCAGCTACTCAGGAGGCTGAGGCATGAGAATCGCTTGAATCCAGGAGGCAGAGGTTGCAGTGAGCTGAGATCGTGCCACTGCACTCCAGCCTGGGGGATAGAGTGAGACTCTGTCTCAAAAAAAAAAAAAAAAAAAAAAATCTACATGTAAAAGAATGATATCGCATCTCTACCTTATAGTATTTACAAAATTAACTTGGAATGGATTTTAGACCTAAATGTAAAAGCTAAAACTATGAAACTCTTGGAAGAAAATGTAGTATATCTTGTTGTGTTAAGCAGTAGTTTCGTAGATATAACACCAAAGTGCAAACAACAAAAGAAAAAAATAGGTAAGTTAGACTTCATCACACAAAGTTAAAAATTTTTGTGCTTCAAAGGCTACCATCAAGATAACCCACAGAATGGGAGAGAATATTTGCAAATCATACATCTAGTAAACACCTTGTGGTCTAGAATATATTCAAAAAGACACCTACTACTCAAAGATAGAAAACTCAATTTAAAAATGGGCAAAAGATTTGAATAGACATTTCCCCAGAGAAGACAGACACATAGCCAATATGCACAAGAAAAGATACTCCACATTATTACTCATTAAGGAAATGTAAATTAAATCTACAAGATAGCACTTCACACTGAGAGTAGACATAACAGGCCAGGCATGGTAGCTCATACCTGTAATCCTAGCACTTTGGGAGGTCAAGTCAGGAGGCATTAAGTCAGGAGTTGGAGACAAGCCTGGGCAATAGAGCAAGACCCTGTCTTTACAAAAATAATAATAATAATAATAATTTTTTTTTAATTAGTTGAGTGTAGTGGTGCATGCCTGTAGTCCCAGTTTAGTCCCAGCTAAATTTGTTGAGACTTTCTTTATTCAAGAGACTGAGGCAGGAGGATCCCTTGAGTTCAGGAGTCGATGCTACAGTGAACTATGATTGTGCCACTGCAGTCCAGCCTGGGCAACAGAGTGAGACCCCATCTCAAAAACAAAAAAAGAGTAGATATAATGAAGAAGACAAATATTGGTATTAATTCTTTAAACATTTCATAGATTTTATTAGTGAAACCATCTTGTCCTAGAATTTTCTTTGTGAAAACCTTTTTAATTATTGGATCTTTCACTTGTGAATAGGTATACTCAGATTTTCTATTTCTTCATGAATGAACTTTGGTAGCTTGTAACTTCCTAAGAATTTGTCAGTTTCATCTAGGTTATATAATTTGTTGGCATGCATTTGTTCATACTAGAACCATGTAATCCTTTCTGATTTTATAACATTGGTAATGATGTCACTTCTTTTGTTCCTAATTTGACTAATTTGAGTTCTCTTTTTCTTTCTTGGTCAATGCAGCTAAAAGTTTGTCCATCTTGTTGATCTTTTCAGAGAACCAATTTTTTAAATTTTAATTTTGATTTTAAGTTCTAGGGTATATGTGCAGGATGTGCATGTTTGTTACATAGGTAAATGTGTGCCATGGTGGTTTCCTGCACCTATCAACCCATTACATAGGTATTAAGCCCAGCACGCATTAGCTATTTTTCGTAATGCTCTCCCTCCCCCCACCTCAATCCCCAACGCCCCAGTCTATGTTGTTTTCCTCCCTGTGTCCATGTGATCTCATTGTTCAGCACCCACTTATAAGTGAGAACATACAGTATTTGGTTTTCTGTTCCTGTGTTAGTTTGCTGAGGATAATGGCTTCCAGCTCCATCCATGTCCCTGCAAAGGACATGATTTCATTCCTTTTTATGGCTGCATAGTATTCCATGGTGTATATGTAACCCATTTTCTTTATCCAGTGTATTGTTGATAGGCATTTATGTTGATTCCATGTCTTTGCTATTGTGAACAGTGCTGCAATGAACATACAAGTGCATGTATCTTTGTAATATGTAATAGAATGATTTATAATCCTTTGGGTATATACCCAGTAATAGGATTGCTGGGCCAAATGGTATTTTTGCTTCTAGGTCTTTGAGGAATCACCACACTGTCTTCCACAATGGTTGAACTAATTTACATTCCCACCAACCGTGTAAAAGCATTCCCATTTCTCCACAGCCTCACCAGCATCTGTTGTTTCTTGACATTTTTAATAATTGTCATTCTGACTGGTGTGAGATGCTGTATCATTGTGGTTTTCATTTGCATTTCTCTAATGATCAGTGATGTTCAGCTTTTTTTCACGTGTTTATGGGCCGCGTAAGTGTCTTCTTTTGAGAAGTGTCTGTTCATCTCCTTTGCCCACTTTTTAATGGGTTTTTTTTTTCTTGTAAGTTTGTTTAAGTTATTTGTAGATTCTGGATATTAGACCTTTGTCAGATGGATAGATTGCAGAAATTTTCTCCCATTCTATAGATTATCTGTTTACTCTGATGTTAGTTTCTTTTGCTGTGCAGAAGCTCTTTAGTTTAATTAGATCCCATTTGTCAATTTCTGCTTTTGATGAAATTGCTTTTGATGTTTTTATCATAAAATCTTTGCTGGTGCCTATGTCCTGAATGATATTGCCTAGATTTTCTTCTAGGGTTTTTGTAGTTTTGGGTTTGACATTTAAGTCTTTGATCCATCTTCAATTAATTTTTATATAAAGTGTAAGGAAGGTGTCCAGCTTCAATTTTCTGCATATGGCTAGCCAGTTTACCCAGCACCATTTATTAAATAGGGAATCCTTTCCCTGTTGCTTTTGTCAAGTTTGTTGAAGATCAGATGGTTGTAGATATGCAGTCTTATTTCTGAGATCGCTATTCTGTTTCATTGGTCTATGTGTTTGTTTTGGTACCACTACCATGTTGTTTTGGTTACTGTAGCCTTGTAGTATTGTTTGAAGTCAGGTAGTGTGATGCATACAGTTTTGTTCTTTTTGCTTAGGATTATCTTGGCTATACGGGCTCTTTTTTGGTTCCATATGACTTTTAAAGTAGTTTTTTCTAATTCTGTGAAGAATGTCAATGGTAGTTTAATGGGAATAGCATTGAATCTATAAATTACTTTGGGCAGTATGGCCATTTTCACAATATTGATTCTTCCTATCCATGAGCATGGGATGTTTTTCCATTTGTTTGTGTCCTCTCTGATTTCCTTGAGCAGTGGTTTGTAGTTCTTCTTGAAGAAGTCCTTACTTCCCTTGTTAGCTGTATGCCTAGATATTTTATTCTCTTTGTAGCAGTTGTGAATGGGAGTTCATTCATGATTTGGCTCTCTCCTTGGGTGTATATGAATGCTTGTGATTTTTGCGCATTGATTTTGTATCCTGAGACTTTGCTGAAGTTGCTTATCAGCTTAATGAGCTTTTAGACTGAGACAATGGGGTTTTCTAGATATAGAATCATGTCATCTGCAAACAGAGACAGTTTGACTTCACTTCCTATTTGAATACCCTTTATTTGTTTCTCTTGCCTGATTGCCCTGGCCAGAACTTCCAGTACTATGTTGAATAGGAGTGGTGAGAGAAGGCATCCTTGTCTTGTGCCGGTTTTCAAGGGGAATGCTTCCAGCTTTTGCCCATTCAGTATGATATTGGCTGTGGGTTTGTCGTAAATGCCACTTATTATTTTGCAATGTGTTCCATCAATACCTAGTTTATTGAGAGTTTTTTATCATGAAAGGATGTTGAATTTTATCAAAGGTCTTTTCTACATCTATTGAGATAATCATGTTGTTTTTATCTTTTGCTCTGTTTATGTGCTGAATTACCTTTATTGATTTGTGTATGTTGAACCAGCCTTGCATCCCAGGGATGAAGCCAACCTGATCATGGTAGATAAGCTATTTGATGTGCTGGTGGATTTGGTTTGCCAGTATTTTATTGAGGACTTTTGCACCAATGTTCATCAGGGATATTGGCCTGAAGTTTTCTTTTTCTTATTGTATCTCTACCAGGTTTTAGTATCAGGATGATGCTGGCCTCATAAAATGAGTTAGGGAGAAGTCCATCCTTTTCAGTTGCTTGGAGTAATTTCAGAAGAAATGGTACCAGCTCCTCTTTATACCTCTGGTAGAATTCAGCTGTGAATCCATCTGGTCCTGGGCTTTTTTGGTTAGTAGGCTGTTTATTACTGCCTCAGTTTCAGAGCTTTTTATTGTTCTGTTCAGGGATTCAACTTCTTCCTGGTTTAGTCTTGGGAGGCTGTACGTGTCCAGGAATTTATCCATTTCTTCTAGATTTTCTAATTTACATGCCTAAAGGTGTTAATAGTATTTTCTGATGGTTGTTTGTATTTCTGCAGGATCAGTGGTGATATCCCCTTTGTCATTTTTATTGTGTCTATTTGATTCTTCTCTCTTTTCTTCTTTATTAATCTAGCTAGCAGTCCATTTATGTTATTAATTTTTTCAAAAAGCCAGATCCTGGATTCATTGATTTTTTTTTTTGAAGGCTTTTTCATGTCTCTATCTCCTTTAGTTCTGCTCTCATCTTGGATATTTCCTGTCTTCTGCTAGCTTTTGGGTTTGTTTGCTCTTGGTTCTCTAGTTCTTTTAGTTGTGATATTAGAAAGATTTATTTGAGATCTTTCTAGCTTTTTGATGTGGGCATTTAGTGCTATAAATTTCCCTCTTAACACTCTTTTAGCTGCATCCCAGAGATTCTGGTACATTATTTCTTTGTTCCCATTGGTTTCAAATAACTTCTTGATTTTGGTTTTAAATAACTTCTTGATTTCTGCCTTACTTTCATTATTTACCCAGGAGTCACTCAGGAGCAGGTTGTTCAATTTCAGTGTAGTTGTGTGGTTTTTAGTGAGTTTCTTAATCTTGAGTTCTAATTGATAGCACTGTGTTCTGAGATCCTGTTTGTTATTATTTCATTTCTTTTGCATTCACTGAGGAGTGTTTTACTTCCAATTATGTTATCAATTTTAGAGTAAGTGCCATGTGGTGCCAAGAAGAATGTATATTCTGTTGTTTTTGGGTGGAGAGTTCTGTAGATACCAGGTCCATGTGATCCAGAGCAGAGTTCAAATCCTGTGAATATCCTTATTAATTTTCTGTCTCAGTGATCTGTCTAATATTGACAGTGGAGTGTTAAAGTCTCCCACTATTATTGTGTGTGGGAGTCTAAGTCTCTCTATAGGTCTTTAACAACTTGTTTTATCAATCTGGGTGCTTCTGTATTGGATGCATATATATTTAGGATAGCCCTTCTTGTTGCATTGATCCCTTTACCACTGTGTAATGCCCTTCTTTATCTTTTTTTGTCTTTGTTGGTTTAAAGTCTGTTTTGTCAGAAACTAGGATTGCAACCCCTGCTTTTTTCTGCTTTCCATTTGCTCGGTAAATTTTTCTCCATCCCTTTATTTTGAGCCTACGTGTATCTTTGCACATGAGATGGGTCTCTCGAATACAGCACACCAATGGGTCTTGACTCTTTATACAGTTTGCCATTCTGTGTCTTTTAATTAGGGCATTTAGCCTATTTACATTTATGGTTAATATTGTTATGTGTGAATTTGATTCTGTTATGATGCTAGCTGATTATTTTGCAGACTTGTTGATGTAGTTGCTTCATAGTGTCATTGGCCTTTGTACTTTTTTTTTTGCAGTGACTAGTAATGTTTTCCTTTCCATATTTGGTGCTTCCTTCAGGAGTTCTTGCAAGGCAGGCCTGGTGGTGACAAATTCCCTCCTCATTTGGTTGTCTGAAAAGGATTTTATTTCTCCTTCACTTATGAAGCTTCGTTTGGCCAGATATGAAACTCTGGGCTGGAAATTCTTTTCTTTAAGAATGTTGAATATTGGCCCCCAATCTCTTCTGGCTTATAGGGTTTCTGCTGAAAGGTCTGCTGTTAGTCTGATGGGCTTCCCTTTGTAGGTGACCTGGCCTTTCTGTCTGGCTGCCCTTAACATTTTTTCCTTCATTTCAACCTTGGAGAATCTGATGATTATGTGTCTTGGGGTTGATCTTCTTGTGGAGTATCTTACTGGGGTTCTCTGGATTTCCTGAATTTGAATGTTGGCCTCTCTTATTAGGTTGGGGAAGTTCTCCTGGGTGATATCCTGAAGTATGTTTTTCATCTTGGTTCTGTTCTCCCTGTCTCATTCAGGTACCCCCATCAGTCGTAGGTTCAGTCTTTTTACATATTCTCATAGCTTTTGTTTGTTCCTTTTCATTTTTTTTTTTCTCTAATCTTGTCTTGCCTTATTTCAGCAAGATAGTCTTCAAGCTCTGAAATTATTTTCTCTGCTTGGTCTGTTCGGTTATTGATACTTGTGTTTACACTGTGAAGTTCTCATGTTGTATTTTCAGCTCTGTGAGGTAATTTATGTTCCTCTCTAAACTGGCTCTTCTGGTTAACAGCTCCTGTAATGTTTTATCATGGTTCTTAGCTTCTTTGCATTGAGTTAGAACATGCTCCTTTAGCTCAGAGAAGTTTGTTATTACGCACCTTCTGAAGCCTACTTCTGTCAATTCATTCATCTCAGCCTCTGCCCAGTTCTTTGCCCTTGCTGGAGAGGTATTGCAATCATTTGGAGGAGAAGAGACATTCTGCCTTTTTGAGTTTTCAGTGTTTTTTCACTGATTCTTTCTCATCTTCATGAGTTTGTCTAGCGTCAATCTTTGAGGCTGCTGACCTTTGGATAGGGTTTTTGTGGGGACTTTTTTGTTGATGCTGTTGTTGTTGCTTTCTGTTTGTTTTTCTTTCAACAATTAAGCCCCTTTTTGTAGGGCTGCTCTGGTTTGCCGAGGGTTCACTCCAGACCCTATTCACCTGGGTCCCTCCCACACCCAGAGGTGTCACCTGAGGAGGCTACAGAACAGCAAAGATAGCTGCCTGCTTCTTCCTCTGAGATCTCTGTCCCTGAGAGGCACTGACCTGATGCCAGCAGGAATGCTCCTATATAAGGTGTCTGGCAACCCTTATTGGAGGGTCTGACCCAGTCAGGGGGCACGGAATCTGGGACCCACTTAATGAAGCACTCTGGCTGCCCCTTGGCAGAGGGGGTGTGCTGTGCTGGGGGGAATCCCACTTGTCTGGGCTGCCTGGATTCCTCAGAGCTAGCAGGGGGAAAGACTAAGTCTGCTGATCTGCGGACACCATAGCCGCAGGTCTCCGCAGCCCCTCAGTCCCAGGGAGATCAAAGTTCTGTCCCTAAACCCCTGGCTGAAGTTGCTAAAATTCCTGCAGGGAGGCCCCACCCACTGAAGAAGAATGGGTCAGGGTCCGACCTAAAGTGGCAGCCTGGCCACAGTCTGCCACAGCCAGTGTGGCAGTTTGGATCCAAACCGTCCAGTTTCCCCAGCACCAGCAGGGGAAAAACTGAAGACTGGAGCTACAGTGATGGCTGCTGCCCCTCTCCCAGTGAGCTAATCATCTTAGGCAGCAGGCAGCCATAGTGATGCCTGCTGCCCCTCTCCTGGGAAGCTCATTAGTCTTAGGCAGCAGGCAGCTATAGTGATGATGACCTCCCCTCCCGCTCAGGATGATGACCTCCCCTCCCCCTCCTCCCCTGCTCAGTTGTCATAGACAGCAGGCAGCTGCAGTGATGGCTGCCAACCCTCACTTGGGGGGAACTCAGTTGTCTTAGCCTCCAGCTGAGTGGCCGCTGAGAATCTGCACAGCTGTGTGCTTGGGATCCAAGGTCCTGGTGGCGTAGGCCCACAAGTAGGATCTCCTGATCTATGGGTTGCACAGATCTGTGGAAAAAGCATGGTTTCCCAGTCTGGGTAGCACGATCCCTCACTGCCTCCCTTGGCTGGTGGTGGGGGGCCCCCTTACCCCATGTGGCTCCCAGGTGAGCCATCGCACCACCCTGCTTTTCCTCACTTTCCGTGGGTCATGCCAACCACCTAGTCAGTCCCAGTGAGAGAACCTAGATACCTTGGTTGCCACTGCAGGGTTCACTCACCGTTTTGGTTCTTCTCTGTGGGACCCTCCAACTGCAGCTGTTTCTAGCTGGCCATCCTCACCCCTCTGATTTTACTTCTTTTAAATTTATTGGGACTTTCTTATGGCCTAACATATGATCTGTCCTAGAGAAGGGAATGCACATATTTTTCCTTCTATGTGCATTTGAGGAAAACGTGTGTATTTTGTTGTTAGATGGAGTGTTCTATAGACGTGTGTTAGAGCTAGATAGTTTATAATATTGCTCAAGTTTTTTATTTCTTTGCTGATCTTCTGTCTAGTTGTTCTGACTGTTAGTGGTATATCAAAGTCTTCAACTATTATTGAATTGTCTACTATTACTTTCCATTCTGTCAGTTTTTGCATTATATATTTTGAGGCTGTGCTTTTAGGTTGCATATATGTTTATAATTACGACTTCCAGACATAACTGACCCCTTTATCATTATAAAAATATCCTTCTTTGTCTCTAACAAAAATTTTTGTCTTAATGTCTATATTGTCTGATGTTAATATAGCCATACCAGTTCTCGTTTGGGTACTATTTTCATGGTATATATTTTTCCATTCTTTTACTTTCAATGTATTTGTACATTTGAATCTAAAGTGTGTACCTTGTAGATATAGTTGGATCATATTTTTAAATTAATTTTTCCCAACTCCGTCTTTTAGTTGGAGTGTTTAATTCATTTATGTTTACTGTAACTGCCAATAAAGGTAATTGGTAGGTTTTACACCTGCCATTTTGCTATGTGCTTTATATAGGTCTTATGCCAACTTTGTTCCTTTGTTCCTCCATTACTGCCTTCTTTTGTGTTAAATGTATTTAGTATGCCATTTTAATTCCCTCAGTGTGTGTGTGTCTGTGTGTGTGTGTGTGCGCGTGTGTGTGTGTGTGTGTGTGTGTGTTTTTATTATAGGGCAGGTCTACAAATAGAAAATTCTCTCTGTTTTTATCTGAGAATGTCTTGATTTCTTCTTCTTTTTTTTTTTTTTTTTTTTTTGAGACAGGGTCTTGCCCCGTCACACAGGCTGGGGTGCTGTGGCACAATCATAGCTCACTGCCACCACAGTCTTCCCAGGCTCAAGCGATTCTCCCACCTCAGCCTCCCAAGTCATTGGGACTACATGTGCACACCACCACACCAGCTAGTTTTTCTTTTTTTTTTTCTTTTTTTTTTTAAATTTATTGTTGTAGAGATGGGGTCTCGCTATGTTGCTCAGGCTAGTATCAAGTTCCTGGGCTCAAGCAATCCTCCCATCTCAGCCTCTCAAAGTGCTAGGATTACAGACATGAGCCACTGTGCTTTGCAGTTTCTTTAGTTTTGAATGGTAGTTTTGCTGGCTGTAGGATTCTTTGTTGATGGTCTTTCATTTCAGACTTTGAATATTTCTGCTGTCTGCCTTCTGGCCTCCACTATATCTGATGATGTCACCTTTTCATATTATTGAGGGTTGTTTGTTGTTTTTCTCTTGTTGCTTTCAAGATTCTCTTTATTTTTGGCTTTTGACACTTTTGATTCTAATGTGGCTCTATGCGAATCTCTTTGATTTTATCCCCTGTAGAGTTTGTTGAGCTTCTTGGCTGTGTAAAGATTTTTTCATCAATTTTGGAAAGTTTTTGCCCATTATTTCTTCCCATTTCTCTTTCTCTTTTCCTTCTGGCACTACCACTGTGTGTGTGTTTATACCCTTAATGATGCCCCACAGGTATCTGAGGCTCTGTTCATTTGTCTTCATTCTTTTTTCTTTTTGTTTTTCCTACTTGAGATAATCTCAGTTAACTTGGCTTCAAATTTGCTGATTCTTCTGCTAGCTCAGATCTGCTGCTGAGCCCCTTTAGTGAATTTTTCATTTCAGTTATTGTATTCTTCAATCCTAGAATTTATATTCGGTGTACTTTAAGTAATTTCTACCCTTTTTGTTGGCATCCTCTATTTGGTGAGTCATTGTTCTTACACTTTCCTTTAATTCTTTAAGTGTGATTTCCTTCATTTCTTTGTTTAAAGTATTTTCCAAGCAAGTCCAATGTTTGAGCTACCTCAGGAAAAGTTTTTATTTACTTCTTTTTGCCCGTGTATGGGCCATACTTTCCTATTTTTTTATATCTTATAATATTTTGTTGAAAACTGGACATTTTAATTAATTTGGCAACTCTGGAAATCAGATCCCTTCCCCACATCCCCAGGGCTTGTTATTGTTGCTTTTTATTGCTTTATGTTGTTGATGATGCTTGTTTCTTTTTTTAGTGACATTATTGGACTCATTGCTTTTTGGGGTTTTTTTAGACAGGGTCTTGCTGTATTGCTCAGGCTGTAGTACAGTGATGTGATCAGAGCTCACTACAACCTTGCCTGGACTCAAGAAATCCTCCCACTTCAACCTGCTGAGTAGCTTGGATTACAGGCATGCACCACCACATGCAGCTAATTTTTTAATTTTTTGTAAAGATGGGGATCTTGCTATGTTTCCCAAGCTGGTTCCAAACTCCTGGCCTCAAGTGATCCTGTTGCCTCAGCCTCCCAAAGCACTAGGATTACAGATGTGAGCCACCATGCCTGGACCCATTCTTTAATATCTGTATTTTTTAACTATATGCAGTCACTAAAGTCTCCATGCAGTTAGTTAATGATCAGCTAATAACTGAACAGATATTTTCTTAAATGCCTTAAATCAATAACTCTCCGCATTTTGTAAAGTGTTTTTTTTATGTGTATGTGTTGGGGCTCACTGTCATTGCTCCAGCACTTTTCAGTTCAGCCATAGCCTTCACTTCCTGCTTGCCCAGAGCCTCAAGGTCAGCACAGGTGAGAGATTAGGCCTTCTCAGGCCTTCCCTAGGAATGTGCACAGCCCTGCACTCATGTGTGGCCTTCTAGATTCCCAGGAATATGTCAGAGCTTTTCAAGGCCCCCTATGGATATTTCATTCCTCAGATTTTCCTTATAATTTTTTTTTTTTAGCCATTCTCTGGTTTGCCCGAAATGACATGGCTGCTTCATGCAGCTGGGATGTTAAATTATATGGGTTTTTTTTTTTGTTTTTTTTTTCTCTCCAACAAATGCCTTGGGTATAGAGTTTTCCTCACTGAGTGAGCTCTGAGTCAGGTTAAATTAAGACAAGCCCTATGAATGGAGTTTTTCCAGGAAGCTGCCAAGCAGGTCAAATAATAACAATTCTGGGGGGTCAGGACTTTTTGTAGGAGTTCCAAAACCATTCTGTCCCTTCTAATGGCTGCTAGGCTCTGGTTTTCATGACTTTCATGATTCTACAGCAGCTTGTTTTTAAGGCTACTGTGGAGGTGGGAGGGGAAGGGAATAGTGCAAGTTAAAAATGCAACAAAACTCATTGTTATTATTCATCCATTTTTCTTTTTTTTTTTTTTTATTGATCATTCTTGGGTGTTTCTCGCAGAGGGGGATTTGGCAGGGTCATAGGACAATAGTGGAGGGAAGGTCAGCAGATAAACAAGTGAACAAAGGTCTCTGGTTTTCCTAGGCAGAGGACCCTGCGGCCTTCCGCAGTGTTTGTGTCCCTGAGTACTTGAGATTAGGGAGTGGTGATGACTCTTAACGAGCATGCTGCCTTCAAGCATCTGTTTAACAAAGCACATCTTGCACCGCCCTTAATCCATTTAACCCTGAGTGGACACAGCACATGTTTCAGAGAGCACAGGGTTGGGGGTAAGGTCATAGATCAACAGGATCCCAAGGCAGAAGAATTTTTCTTAGTACAGAACAAAATGAAAAGTCTCCCACGTCTACTTCTTTCTACACAGACACAGCAACCATCCCATTTCTCAATCTTTTCCCCACCTTTCCCCCTTTTCTATTCCACAAAACCGCCATTGTCATCATGGCCCGTTCTCAATGAGCTGTTGGGTACACCTCCCAGACGGGGTGGTGGCCGGGCAGAGGGGCTCCTCACTTCCCAGTAGGGGCAGCTGCCGGGCGGAGGGGCTCCTCACTTCTCAGACGGGGCGGCTGCCGGGCGGAGGGGCTCCTCACTTCTCAGACGGGGCGGCTGCCGGGCGGAGGGTCTCCTCACTTCTCAGACGGGGCGGCCGGGCAGAGACGCTCCTCACCTCCCAGACGGGGTCGCGGCCGGGCAGAGGTGCTCCTCACATCCCAGACGGGGCGGCGGGGCAGAGGCGCTCCCCACATCTCAGACGATGGGTGGCCGGGCAGAGACGCTTCTCACTTCCTAGATGGGATGGCGGGCGGGCAGAGACGCTCCTCACTTTCCAGACTGCGCAGCCAGGCAGAGGGGCTCCTCACATCCCAGACAATGGGCAGCCAGGCAGAGACGCTCCTCACTTCCCAGACGGGGTGGCGGCCGGGCAGAGGCTGCAATCTCGGCACTTTGGGAGGCCAAGGCAGGCAGCTGGGAGGTAGAGGTTGTAGCAAGCCGAGATCACGCCACTGCACTCCAGCCTGGGCACCATTGAGCACTGAGTGAACGAGACTCCGTCTGCAATCCCGGCACCTCAGGAGGCCGAGGCTGGCGGATCACTTGCGGTTAGGAGCTGGAGACCAGCCCGGCCAACCCAGCGAAACCCCGTCTCCACCAAAAAAATACGAAAACCAGTCAGGCGTGGCGGCGCGCGCCTGCAATCGCAGGCACTCGGCAGGCTGAGGCAGGAGAATCAGGCAGGGAGGTTGCAGTGAGCCGAGATGGCAGCAGTACAGTCCAGCTTCGGCTCGGCATCAGAGGGAGACCATGGAAAGAGAGGGAGAGGGAGACCGTGGGGAGAGGGAGAGGGAGAGGGAGAGCGAGAGCGAGAGCGAGAGCGAGAGCGAGAGCTCTTTGTTTCTTACAGAGCGTACATGGGACTCATCCATTTTTCTTGAGTAAACATTTCTTGGATTGTCACAAGCCTTTGGTTAACCAGTATTAGCCACCCCATTGCTTTCATGGACAAGCAGATTTTCAGAGGTCTTTACTCTGCCATTCCTAAAGTACCTCTCCCATCATCGTGTTCTTAATATCCAAAAAAGCATGTTCTTACAATCAAACGCTCAGGGGCCATGCCCCAGAAAATGAAGCCCATGGACTCAGTCGGACACCAGTTTGGCTAGACCTTAGTCTGTCCCATGCTTTGGGCTTTGTGGGTATAAAGTGGGTATAGAGCTGCTTTGGGCACTGTGGGTATAGAGCTACCTCTGTTCTGCCCAGTTTGGGTCTGCTTCCATCTGGCCTGTGAGAGTACCCAGAACTCACTCTCATGTAGCCCTCTAAGAGAGAAACAACTCACAGAGAGAACCAGATCTAACTCACTGGTCCCACCCATTGTCATGATCTAGTGGCGGCCAGGAGTGGCCTATTGAGGAGATGCATATTGTGGTGGTGGTGTCTCACATCAGCTTTCCTCTGCTGTCAGGAATTTCTGCTGAAGATTTTTTGCGTGTTCCGGAACCTGATGAAGATGAGTGTCTTCCCTCGGGACTGGATGGTAATGAGACTGCTCACAAGCAAGTAAGTATGGAAGGGCTCTGTATCAGCATCACTGAGCTGTTCTCAGACTAAGAAGAGTATGTGTATTTCAGAGAGGGAGCACATGAGCAAGACAAATAAAGGCCAGGGCCATGGGAACAGAGAGGAGAGGGCAAATGAGAAAAACATTTTTGTGCTTAGTAGATGATGGCACAGTAAGGATAGAGAAGAAAATTTTCAGGATGTGAAATATAATATCCAGAGAAGGGTTCTTCCTTGAGGAAGGCCTGCTCAGTGGCCCACTGGCCTCTGCTGCCCTATAGGTTTGGGCATTATCCCAAGCCTTCTTCTCAGTTTGAATTGTGTTGTCTACCAGGCAGTGCTTGCCTCCCATAGACAGTGCCAGTTATCCACCTGAGACCTGGCTGCAAGGCTCTGACCACTTCTGATTACTGACATAGAATTTACTCTAAAGATAATCCTAACCTGACTGCCTCATTTATATTTCTAGCTTGTGCTTCCTCCTGGCAAACCAGACAAATGATGCATGTGGTAAGGGGCTGGCTCATCTGGTCTCTCTCTATTCAGCAGAAGGCTACTTGGCCTCCACACTCTAGCCCATTGCCTCCTCCCACTGATCTGCCTTTTATATTGACATATAAAATACAGTGAAAGTGTCTGTTAGATATATTAGCAAGATACTAGCATGGTCTTTCCACTTTACACCTTTTATAAGCACTGTAACTTTTTCCAAAATACAAATGTTTTATAAAGAATAGAAGGATGATTGTAAACAAAGTTGCACAGATACTTCCTCAAATAGTGACTTTTCCATTTGAATCTTTCTTGTTTCTATCTCTTAGCTCCATTCAGAGCACTTCAGGCTCCCCAGCTTGTCCTGCAAGAGCAGCTTTTTCTTTCAAAGCTTTGACCCTTTAAATTTTTCACCCCCTCTAGTGGTGGACTAGTCTTTCTAATGCACTGTTTTTGTCATGTTCTTCTGCATCTAAGCAGAGGTGGCCACTGTTAGATGTAAGTCTCTTTGCCAGGTAGCCAAGGCCCTATGTAATGAAACGTACTGTCCCACTAGACTTCCTCTCCACTTCACTCTCTTGTTCCAGCAGGACAGCCTCCCATTGTCCCTTCTATGTGCCCAGGCTGAGATTGAGAGTGATTACTCAAGCTAGACCAAAAGAGCTGAATTCAAATGACACATAGATGAAAATAATAGTATATGACAAAAGCAAAGATTTATTAACTATATAAACCCCTGTTATCCAGTATAATAATAAAATTATGTTCTAAATCCTACAAAGTGATCATAATATCTCTTGATTACCCAGAGATCCCCAAAATACTAGAACTACTCTGAACTGGGAGAAACCTTAAAGAACCATCGATCTCCTACCACCTTTTATAGGCAGGGAAAATGAGACCCAGAGAGAAGTATGAAGGCCAGGTAATGACAGAACTAGGTCTAGAACCCACTGATGTCCTGTGCTGTCCTGCCAACTGTGGGGCATTTCTCCAAGACTGGTTTTCTGTAGAGATTTTTTCTATAGAGTTTGTACCATTTTCTCTTTCCTTTATAGTCACATCTTACATGGGAACAAATTGTACTCAAGAAGTTTGCACACAGGCTATAGACAGCTGATACCAAGCCATCAGATGCCATTGTTAGTCTTTTAATTCTGCCAATGCCTTGTTTCCTTACTGCAGTATTATAGTCACTACTGTCCAGTACCTGTCCTCTGCACTGCACAAGAATTTCACAGAGACTGACTTTGACTTTAAGGTAGGCACTCCTGAAATATCCATCACTATTATTGCAATAACCTTAGAAAGCCAAAACCAAGCTCACTTGTTTTTTGCTTTATTAATAGATTCATAGTATCAAACAGCTTCCAAGCCTGATGATGATTAGAATATGACCTGGGATACCCCTGTTGGAAGTGTTGGTAGCCAAACTCCATGAGTATGCTTTCTAGTCCAGAATCAACACAATTGGCTTCAGAAGGAGTTAAGGGGGAAAAAAAGAAAAATTCTTGTTTGCAAAGATATTTAAAAGGGAAAAAAAATGAGGATCTTAAGATTGTAAAATGGGTTCTATGCTACATGCATGTATTTAGTAACGCTCCCTACAAGATTAAGTTCTTAGACTGTCACATTTTCTCTTTCTCTGTCTGTCTAGGTGTGGAATTCTTACTTTAGCCTGGCAGTTCTATTCATAAATCAGCCAAGCCTTCAGCTAGAAATTATCACCTCAGCCAAAAGGAAGAAGATTCTAGATAAGTAAGATAAACGTCTTATATTCATCTCCTTACCACTTGGCCAAATAGGGCTATGTTTCGTTGAGAGTTCTTTCAGAGGTCCACAAGGTTCTCAGCTGGGTGGTTTCCCAGGGGCCCAAGTGTGGGAGTTCAGTCGAGAGCCCAAAGGCTTAGCGCATTGGGAAGCATTAGAAACAAACAGTGCTGAAGTCCTGGCCTCATGGGTTTGCAGCCCTATCCTCCTGAACCTTCTCCCACTAACGGTTGGCTCCTGTGTTACTATTCTTAGGTATGGGGACATGCGTGTAATGATGGCCTATGAACTGTTCAGCATGTGGCAGAATTTGGGTAGGTTTTTTCTCCCTATTCTTCCCTTCTATATATTGCATAGCCAAATAGAAAGTAGCAAGACTAATAACATCTCCCAGGCTTTATGAATGTTAATTCAGGCCCAAGAGATCCTTACATATCTTTCACATAACACCTCAGATGGATGGTGTAGCACATGTGCATAAAGCCCTTGGCAAGGAGAGTTTGTCTGAGAAATAAGACCTCAGTAATACATATGCCAAATCCCTTTTTTTAGGAACTAAAGTCAAAAGAAAAAAAAGAAAAGGAGGGCTGTAGTAGTTTTTTCCAATTTGAGAACCCATTCCTATAAGATCCTCCATGCTCTTCACTTCCCAGTCTGGATGTTGCAGGCTCAAAAGCTTAGATCTGAGATACCCAGTACATGAGCAAAGGTGGCTATTAATTTTAATAAAGATTGAAACATTTATTGGATCTCTGGTATTCATGCATCCAGATCAGATACTTGACACCAGTTGCATGGAGTAACATATAAGAAGAGAACTGCAACCTCTGGGTGAGATCAGTTTTGGCTTCCCTTCTTTGCACAGCTTCTGCTTTGAATGCTTTGAAAATAGCCACTGCTTTGAATCTAAATTTGTCAGATCAGTGTTTTTGGTAGAATTTCTGGGTTGCCCTGGTGACTGAGTGGGCCATCCTGTGATATTGTAGAGTTCTGAGTGGCCTGTCAAGATGCTGGAGAACTATTATTATTTCAAGTGAAGTCTGCTTTCAGCTGAGCTCATGGTTCTGAAGCTGTAGGAATGATGGTCATAAAATCTCCAGTCCTCTGTTAACCATCCCCACCACTAACCTAGAGGCAGCAAGTAGGATATGAAGTATTTCTGCCGGCGAGAGGGCCTTCTATTCATGAGTGGGGATGCATTTCCCCAATCAGACTTTCCAACACTCTGGTTCCCTGTATCCAGCACAGTTTGGAAATGGATTTTAACCCAAAGTTGACTCTGAAATTCCCAGGAATGCAAGAGACTGGCTACTGTGCCAAGTACCAAAATTGGAATATGCTGAACCAGCCTCAGGGCTAAACATTTGCTTCTTAGAATTTTTTTTAATACCAGATTTGCCTGATAAAGCCTTTTCTGCCTCATTTCTTTTGGTGGAAATGACATTCTCTGGTCCCCAAGAAATGGTTTTACTTGGCCGTAGCATTCATTGCACAGACCCACAGTTTATCTCCTCAATAGTCTCTGAAGGACTGAGAGCAGAGCTCTGAAAGATGGTTCACTCTGTTTTACCATTGCAAGGAAGAGAAAAATCCTATCCCACCATCCACAGGACTGTCTCTGGCTTCTGGTAACATACCCTAGATGGCACGCCAATGAGAGGGAAACCCACATCACACACTTACCATGGAAATGCTTCATTAAGGAAGTTGAGGGTTGAGCTGAGCCAAGTAGGTGTAATGGCACCATCAGAAATGCAATATGAACACAAAGGGAGTTCAGGGTGGGTAAAGAGAGAATCTCTAAGCCAGCCTTTTAGGGTAGGGCTGTGCAGGAGACTCCTGCTAGCTCAGGAGGAGGACTTCTTTGGCATACATGAACATAGGCAGTGTAAAAATCCATGGACTTATTAGACGTCTGGTGGCTAGACCAGGGACTGGATATCCTCATCACTTAAATGTCTCTGGGCTAGAGCTAGAAACTCCAAGGAGAGTGCATTGTATTTAAGCAGAAATATTGGGTTTTTCTTGTTAAATAAACACTGTGAATAGACCATCTGACACTCATAGGTTACTCAGAAACCTATTCTGTCTAGAGTAGCAAACTCTGTTCCTTCATCTCAGAGAGATTTTCAGGTAGTTTGTGGGACTGTCAGGAAATTCTTTGGAAAAGCAGTTTTGTGACAGTTGCGCATTTGCTTTCACTGGGCTAGGCCAACTTTATCCATAAACTCTAAAAAGTTGAGGGAGAGTACCTCAGAAAACCATAGGGGAGAGCTTGTTTTGCTCTCAGAAGCTTCCAGTATGGATTGTAGCATGTGTTGTGGCCCCATTTGGGAATCTTCCATGGAAGGAGCAAAGCAGGCATAAACTAATTTGGGTTTTGTTTTTCAGGTGAACATAAGATCCACTTTATTCCGGGAATGATTGGTCCTTTTCTGGGTGTGACACTGGTCCCACAGCCAGAAGTACGGAATATCATGATTCCCATCTTTCATGACATGATGGACTGGGAGCAGAGAAAAAATGGCAACTTCAAACAGGTAAGACACCTGGCAGTGTTCGGGGTATTCTCTGGAATGGATCCCTTCTGCTTAGGCAGGTGGCCTAGATGACCAAGCCATGATTCTAGTGGGGATGGGCTGTAGTTTGGCTAATTTGAATCCTGTTCAAGGGTTTTCCCTTACTTGCTGGCCAAAATTGATTTGTGGATTTTCTCCATGAAGTTAGAGGCCAGAAAATAATGAGGCCAGGAAAGAATGAACATCACTATAACTTTCTGATCAAGGAATGATTGAGACTGTAGCCTCCCAGTTTCAATCATGATAGGGCCCTGGGAGTGTGATGTCATTCCTTTACTGAGGATTTTCACTGTATAATCCAGGCATTTCTAGGGCTGCAGCCCAGACCAGATGACTTCTCATGGCTCAGGGTAGCCCAGCATTTTATAGACTACTGCACAGAGGGGTTGGTCCAGGAGATACAGGCCCCTTGGCTTCCAACTGAATGGCTTCAGGCTGTCCTCCTGTGTAGTTCTTTTGCCACCACTAAGTGTAGGAGATGGCCCCTGCCTTTATATCTGTAGCTCCAGGGGATAGTACCAGGACCAATAGGGGCTAATGATGAGGAAGCCAATTTTAGCTAATCAAATAAATAACTTGCTAACAGCAAAAACTGTCCACTGTAAGCAGGCCTGCTTTGGGAGATAGAGATTTTCTCTCTTGGCAGATGATCTTCAAGCAGAAGCTCCCAGGAAACCTCTAGGGGAATTTTCTGTATTGGCTTGGGAATTGTACCAGTTCCCCACTAAGCTCCTTCCGAGCCTGTGATTCTGGGATGAACCAGTGGTCTATTTAGAATAGGTGACTGTAACAGTGAGAAGTAGACCAGGCAAACAGTAATTTTTAAATATTTATTTATTTTTAAATTTACATAGAGTAAAATGTATTCTTCTTGATTTACAGTTCTATGTGTTTTGGCAAATGCATAGTCGTGTAACCACTACCACAATCAAGAGTTTTTGAATACTTAAAAATTCAGTCTTGCTGTCTATTTGTAGTCAAACCCTTCCCCTGTTCTTAACAAATGCAACCATAGGTCTGCTCTTCATCACTATAGTTGTGCCTTTTCTAGACTGTCATATAAATGGAATCAAGCAAAGTGCAGCCTTTTGAGACTGGCCCCTTTCACTTAGCATAATGCTTTGAGAAATTAATCCATGTCACTGCATGTATCAGTAGCTTTTCTATGCTGAGTAGTATTTAGTTCATTCATTCACCATTTGAAAGACATTTGGGTTATTTCCTCTTTTGTGGATTATAAATAAAGCTACTAAAAACATTTCTTTACAGGTTTTTGTATGCATATAAGCTTTCATTTTTCTTGAGTGAATACTTAGGAATAGGATTGTTGGGCCTTGTGACAAGTGTGTAATTAGCTTTCGAAGAGGTTCTCAAACTCTTTTCTAAAATAGCTATACCATTTTGAAGTCTCAGCAGCAGTATATAATCGATTGCTCCGCATACTAACCAGTACTTAGTATTATCTGTTCGTTTGTTTTAGCCATTCTAATAGGTGTGTAGTTGTATATCATTGTGGTTTTCATTTCTATTTCCCTAGTGACTAATGGTGTTGAGCATCTTTTCATATGCTTATATACCATCTTTATGCTTCTTTGGTAAAATGAGTTCAAAGCTTTTGTTCATTTTCATTTGAGTTGCTGCTTTCCTTATTGTTGAATTGTAGGGTTCTTTATATATTCTGTATGTAAGTCCTTTGTTGAGCATATGATTTACAGATATTTTCTGCAAATCTTTAGCTTATCTTTTCATTTACTAAACAATATCTTTCTTAGAACAAAAGTTTTTAATTTTTATGAAGTCCAGTTTGTCAATGTTTTTCTTTTATAGATCATGCTTTTGGGGTCATACCCCAAGAACTTTTTCTTAACATAGGGCCACAAAAATTTTTCTCCTGTCTTTTCTTCTAGAAGTTTTATAGTTTTACATTTTAAATTTAGATCTATGATCTATTTTGAGTTGATTTCTGTATAAGGTATGAAGGATGGATCAGGTTCTTTTTTTTATTTTGCAACAAGATGTCCAATTATTCCAGCATCTTTTGTTGAAAAGAGTATCCTTTCTTCAGTTGTCTTTCTGCCTTGGTCAAAAACCAATTGCCAAAAAAAAAAAAGAAAAACAAATGGGTTTGGACAAGGAGAAGCTTAAAAAAAAGAAAAAGAAAAAAGACCTTTGAAACTTTGTATTCAAAGTTAGGAGGAGTAAGCTTTAGTGAGCTATTGCACCACGTGGTAACTATAGTTAATAATAATGTATTGTACAAAAATTAGCCAGGCGTGGTGCCACGTGCCTGTAGTCCCAGATACTCAGGAGGCTGAGGCAGGGGAATCACTTGAACCCGGGAGGTGGAAGTTGCAGTGAGCCAAGATCGCACCACTGCACTCCAGCCTAGGCAACAGAGCGAGACTCCATCACAAAATAATAATAATAATAATAATAATAATAATAATAATAATAATGTATATTTAAAAATTGCTAAAAGAGTAGACTTTAAATGTTCTCATTGCAAAAAAAAATTAGGTGAGGTGACAGATATGTTAATTAGCTTGATTTAATCATTTCACAATGTATACATATATCAAAACATCATATTGTACTCTATAAATAGATATAATTATTGTCACTTAAAACTACTTAAAAAATCAATTGACCATATTTGTGTGAATCTCTTTCTAGACTCTAGTCCTTCCGTAGATCAGTATGTTTATTCTTTCATCAATACCACGCTATCTTATTATAGTAGCTTTATAGTTAGTCTTAAAACCACATGGTGTGAGTCTGTCTTCCAGTTTTGTCCTTTTTTTTTCAGTATTGTGTTAGCTATCTAATTCTTTTTCCTTTTTTAAATAAATTTAGAATCAGCATGTCGATATCTATAACATTCCTGCTGAGATTTTGACTGGGATTGCAGTGATTCTATAAATCAAATTGGGGGCCGGGCACAGTGGCTATGCCTGTAATCCCAGCACTTTGGGAGGCCAAGGCAGGTGGAACATTTGAGATCAGGAATTTGAGAGCAGCCTGGCCAACACAGTGAAACCCCATCTCTACTAAAAACATAAAAATTAACCGGGCGTGGTGGCAGGTGCCTGTAATCCCAGCTACTTAGGAGGCTGAGGCAGGAGAATTGCTTGAACCCAGGAAAGGGAGATTGCAGTGATCTGAGATCGCACCACTGCTCACCAGTCTGGGCAACAGAGCAAGACTCTGTCTCAAAAAAATTATATATATATCAAATTGGGAAGAATTATGTCTTAATAGTCAATGAAAACAGTATATCTTTCCATTTATTTAGGTGTTCTTTTATTTCTTTCATCAGTGTTTTGTATACAGATCTTACACATATATTATTAGATTTATATGTATTTCCTGTTTTTTGGTGCTCTTCTAAATAATTCCATGCAACTGAATGATGTTGATTCCTTGAAAAAATTTTAGACTCCCTTTATTGTCAAGTATGCAGCATTTCAAAAAATTGTTCTACATGAACTTGAAAACAATGGGTATTCTGTGGGTGAGGGAGTAAAACTTACGTTTATCTAGTAGCTCAAGCTCCTTAATTATATTGTTTGAACTTCTGTAGCCTAACTAATGCTTTGCTACTTGATCCATTGGTTTTAAGAAAGTTCAATTAAAATGTTCCACTTTGTTTATATAAATATATAAATGATTGCAATTTTTAAATTTTATTTTTGTTTCTAGGATATAGAAATTCAACTGATTTTTATATATTAACATTATATCCTGTACCCTTGCTAAATTTACTTATTAGTTCTGGAAGCTTTTTTGCAGATTCCTTGGGATTTTCTATTTAGACAATCATGTCATCTGAGAATAGAGTTTTATTTCTTCCTTTCTACTCTATATATCTCTTATTTTTCTTGCTGTATCACATCAGCCAGGACCTCCAGGATGATGTTAAATAAGAGCAATGAGAAACTTGCTTTGTTCTTAGGAGAAAGTATTCACCAGTGTTTTACCAGTGAATATGATACTATCCTTATGTGCTTCTCCTATTAAACAAATAAATAAATATGATACTAGCTCTAAGTTTTTTATAGATTCTTTTTATCATGGGTAAATAGTATTTAAGATAAAACAGTTTGGGAGTGTGTAGCTCTAATGCCTCCAGGTCTTTGGGAAATAATAACTTCAAACAAAAAAGGAACTGTTACTTTTCTGTATTGTTACAACTTGTGCCTTCTAAATGTGCAAAATGCACAACACTTGATAAAAAAAAAAAAAAAAACCCAGTTACCAAGAAGTGGATGACATTGCAGAGCTATGCAATGGCTCTGAGTCAGCTGAAGATGGGGCTGGGTTACATTCCACCATCACTAACACTGACCAGCCTAAAAATACTTTTTCTAATTATAGAACAATATTTATTTATTGTAGAAAAATGTAAAATGCAATAGTGGGCCAGGTGTGGTGGCTCACACCGGTAATCCCAGCACTTTGGGAGGCTGAGGCGGGTGGATCACAAGGTCAAGAGATCCAGACCATCCTGGCCAACATGGTGAAACCCCGTCTCTACTAAAACTACAAAAATTAGCTGGGCGTGGTGGTGTGTGCCTGTAGTCCTAGCTACTCAAGAGGCTGAGGCAGGATAATCGCTTGAACCTGGGAGGTGGGGTTTGTAGTGAGCTGAGATTGCACCACTGCACTTCACCCTGGCGACAGAGCGAGACTCCATCTCAAAAAAAAACAAACAACAACAACAAAAAAACGCAATAGCTATAATGAAAAATTTTAACCCATAATCCTACCATTGTTAAGAACTTGGAGAGGAGGCAGTTTATGTCTTTTTTCTTCTCAATACATAGGCTTTTTTTAACTTAGAAAATGAAATTGTTAGAGGGCTGGCAAGATGGCCAAATAGGAACAGCTCTGGTCTGTAGCTCCCAAGATCAACACAGAAGGCGGGTGATTCCTGCATTTCCAGCTGAGGTACCCAGCTCATCTCATTGGGACTGGTTGAACAGTGGGTGCAGCCCACAGAGGGCGAGCCAAAGCAGGGTGGGGCATCACCTCTCCCGGGAAGCACAAGGGGTCGGGGAATTCCCTTCCCTAGCCAAGAGAAGCCATGAGGGACTGTGAACTGTGCAATCCGGCCCAGATACTGCACTTTCCCCATGGTCTTCACCACCCACACACCAGGAGATTCCCTCCAGTGCCTATGCCACCAGGGCCCTGGGTTTCAAGCACAAAACTAGGTGGCCGTTTGGGCAGACACCAAGCTAGCTGCAGGAGTTTTGTTTTTGTTTTTTTTTTTCATACCCCAGGGCACCTGGAACGCCAGTGAGACAGAACCCTTCACTCCCCTGGAAAGGGGGCTAAAGCCAGGGAGCCAAGGGGTCTGGCTTGGTGCATCCCACCCCCACGGAGCCCAGCAAGCTAAGATCCACTGGCTTGAAATTCTCACTGCCAGCACAGCAGTCCGAGGTCGACCTGGGACACTCGAGCCTGGTTGGGAGAGGGGCTTCTGCCATTGCTGAGGCTTGAGTAGGCAGTTTTACCCTCACAGTGGAAACAGAGCCACCAGGAAGTTTGAACTGGGTGGAGCCCACCGCAGCTCAGCAAGGCTGCTGCGGCCAGAATGCCTCTCTAGATTCCTCCTCTCTGGGCAGGGCATCTCTGAAAAAAAGGCAGCAGCCCCAGTCAGGGGCTTATAGATAAAACCCCCATCTCCCTGGGACAGAGCACCTGGGGGAAGGGGCAGCTGTGGGCACAACTTCAGCAGACTTAAACGTCCCTGCCTGACGGCTCTGAAGAGAGCAGCGAATCTCCCACCACAGTGTTTGAGCTCTGCTAAGGGTCAGACTGCCTCCTCAAGTGGGTCCCTGACCCCCATGTCTCCTGACTGGGAGACATCTCTCAGTAGGGGCCAACAGATACCTCATACAGGAGAGCTCTGGCTGGCATCTGGTGGGTGCCCTTCTGGGATGAAGCTTCCAGAGGAATGAACAGACAGCAAACTTTGCTGTTCTGCAGCCTCCACTGGTGATACCCAGGCAAACAGGGTCTGGAGTGGATGTCAGCAAACTCCAGCAGACCTGCAGCAGAGGGGCCTGACAGTTAGAAGAAAAACTAACAAACAGAAAGGAATAGCATCAACATCAACAAAAAGGACGTCCACACAGAGACCTCATCTGAAGGTCACAAATATCAAAGACCAACGGTAGATAAATCCACGAAGATGGAGAGAAAACACTGCAAAAAGGATGAAAATTCCAAAAACCAGAATGCCTCTTCTCCTCCAGAGGATCACAACTCCTAGCCAGCAAGGGAACAAACCTGGACGGAAAATGAATTTGACGAATTGACAGAAGTAGGCTTTGGAAGGTGGGTAATAACAAACTCCTCCAAGCTAAAGGAGCATGTTCTAACCTAATGCAAGGAAGCCAAGAACCTTGAAAAAGGTTAGACGAATTGCTAACTGGAATAACCAGTTTAGAGAAGAACATAAATGACCTGATGGAGCTGAAAAACACGGCACGAGAACTATATGAAGCATGCACAAGTATCAATAGCCAAATTGATCAAGCGGAAGAAAGAATATCAGAGATTGAAGATCAACTTAATAAAATAAAGCAAGAAGACAAGATTAGAGAAAAAAGAATGAAAAGGAATGAACAAAGCCTCCAAGAAATATGGGACTCTGTGAAAAGACCAAATATACGTTTGATTGGCGTACCTGAAAGTGACAGGGAGAATGGAACCAAGTTGGAAAACACTCTTCAGGATATTATCCAGCAGAACTTCCCCAACCTAGCAAGACAGGCCAACATTCAAATTCAGGAAATCCAGAGAATGCCACAAATATACTCCTCGAGAAGAACAACCCCAAGACATATAATCGTCAGATTCACCAAGGTTGAAATGAAGGGAAAAATGTTAAGGGCAGCCAGAGAGAAAGGTCAGGTTACCCACAAGGGGAAGCCCATCAGACTAACAGTGGATCTCTGCAGAAACCCTACAAGCCAGAAAAGCCAGAAGAGAGTGGGGGCCAATATTCAACATTCTTTTGTTTTTGTTTTTGTTTTTGTTTGTTTTGAGATGGAGTCTTGCTTGGTCGCCCAGGCTGGAGTGCAGTGGTGCAATCTCGGCTCACTGCAAGTTCTGCCTCCTGGGTTCATGCCATTCTCCTGCCTCAGCCTCCAGAGAAGCTGGGACTACAGGTGCCTGCCACTATGCCCGGCTAATTTTTTTGTATTTTTAGCAGAGACGGAGTTTCACCATGTTAGCCAGGATGGTCTCAATCTCCTGACCTCATGATCTGCCCACCTCAGCCTCCCAAAATGCTAGGATTACAGGCATGAGCCACCACGACCAGCCAACATTCTTAAAGAAAAGAATTTTCAAGAATTTCGTATCCAGCCAAACTAAGCTTCATAAGCGAAGGAGAAATAAAATCCTTTACAGACAAGCACATGTGGAGAGATTTTGTCACCACCAGGCCTGCCTTACAAGAGTTCCTGAAGGAAGCACTAAATATGGAAAGGAGTAACCGGTACCAGCCACTGCAAAAATATACCAAATTGTAAAGACCATCAACACTATAAAGAAACTGCATCAACTAACAGGCAAAATAACTAGCTAGCATCATAATGGCAGGATCAAATTCACACATAACAATATTAACCTTAAATGTAAATGGGCTAAATGCCCCATTTAAAAGACACAGACTGGCAAATTGGGTAAAGAGTCAAGACCCATCGGTGTGCTGTATTCAAGAGACCCATCTCACATGCAAAGACACACATAGGCTCAAAATAGAGGCATGCTTACCAAGCAAATGGAAAGCAAAAAAAAAAAAGCAGGGGTTGCAATCCTAGTATCTGATAAAACAGACTTTAAACCAACAAAGACCAAAAGAGACAAAGAACTGCATTACATAATGGTAAAGAGATCAATGCAACAAGAAGCACTAAGAGACAAATAACTGCATTACATAATGGTAAGGAGATCAATGCAACAAGAAGCACTAACTATCCTAAATATATATGCACCCAATACAGGAGCACCCAGAATCATAAAGCAAATTCTTAGAGAACTACAAAGATACTTAGACTCCCACACAATAATAGTGGGAGTCTTTAACACCCCACTGTCTATATTAGACAGATTAATGAGACAGAAAATTAACAAGGATATCCAGGACTTGAACTCAGCTCGGAACCAAGTGGACCTAGTAGACATCTACAGAACTCTCCACCCCAAATCAACAGAATATACATTCTTCTCAGCACCACATTGCACATATTCTAAAATTGACCACATAATTGGAAGTAAAACACTCCTTGGCAAATGCAAGAGAATGGAAATCATAACAAACAGTCTCTCAGACCACAGATTAAGAAACTCACTCAAAACCGCACAACTATATGGAAACTGAACAACCTGCTCCTGAATGACTACTGGGTTAATAACAAAATGAAGGCAGAAATAAAGATGTGCTTTGAAACCAATGAGAACAAAGACACAACGTACCAGAATCTCTGGGACACATTTAAAGCAGTGTGTAGAGGGAAATTTATAGCACTAAATGCCCACAAGATAAAGCTGGAAAGATCTACAATTGACACTCTAACATCACAATTAAAAAAACTAGAGAAGCAAGAGCAAACAAATTCAAAAGCTAGCAGAAGACAAGAAATAACTAAGATCAGAGCAGAACTGAAGGAGATGGAGACACACAAAAACCCTTCAAGAAATCAATGAATCCAGGAGCTGGTTTTTTGAAAAGATCAACAAAATAGAATAATAAGAGCTATTTATGACAAACCCACAGCCAGTATCATAACTGAATGGCCAAAAACTGGAAGCATTCCCTTTGAAAACCGGCATAAGACATAGATGCCCTCTCTCACCACTCCTATTCAACGTAGTATTGGAAGTTCTGGCCAGGGCAATCAGGCAAGATAAAGAAATAAAGGGTATTCAAATAGGAAGAGAGGAAGTCAAATTGTCTCTGTTTGCAGATGACATGATTGTGTATTTAGAAAACCCCATTGTCTCAGCCCAAAATCTCCTTAAGCTGATAAGCAACTTCAGCAAAGTCTCAAGATAAAAAATCAATGTGCAAAAATCACAAGCATTCCTATACACCAATAACAGACAAACAGCCAAATTATGAGTGAACTCCCATTCACAATTGCTACAAAGAGAATAAAATACCTAGGAATACAAATTATAAGGGATGTGAAGGACCCCGTCAAGGAGAACTACAAACCACTGCTCAAGGAAATAAGAGAGGATACAAATAAATGGAAAAACATTCCATGCTCATGGATAAGAAGAATGAATATCATGGCCATACTGCCCAAACTAATTTGTAGATTCTATGCTATCTCCATCAAGCTACCGTTGACTTTCTTCACAGAATTAGAAAAAAACTACTTTAAATTTCATATGGAACCAAAAAAGAGCCTGCATAGCCAAGATAATCTTAGGCAAAAAGAACAAAGCTGGAGACATCATGCTACCTGACTTCAAACTATACTACAAGGCTACGGTAACCAAAACAGCATGGTACTGGTACCAAAACAGATATATAGACCAATGGAACCAAACAGAGGCCTCAGAAATAACAACATGCATCTACAACCATCTGATCTTTGACAAACCTGACAAAAACAAGCAATGGGGAAAGGATTCCCTATTTAATAAACGGTGTTGGGAAAACTAGCTAGCCATATGCAGAAAGCTGAAACTGGACCCCTTCCTTACACCTTATACAGATATTAACTCAACGTGGATTAAAGACTTTAAATATAAGACATAAAACCTTAAAAACCCTAGAAGAAAACCTAGGCAATACCATTCAGGACATAGGCATGGGCAAAGATTTCATGACTAAAACACCAAAAGCAATAGCAACAAAAGCCAGAATTGACAAATGGGATCTAATTAAACTAAAGAGCTTCTGCACAGCAAAAGAAACTATCATCAGAGTGAACAGACAACCTACAGAATAGGAGAAAATTTTTGCAATCTATCCATCTGACAAAGGGCTAACATCCAAAATCTACAAAGAACTTAAATTTACAAGAAAAAAAAAACCCTATCAAAAGGTGAGCAAAGAAGATGAACAGACACTTCTCAAAAGAAGACATTTATGTGGCCAACAAACATATGTAAAAAAAGCTCATCATCACTGGTCATTAGAGAAATGCAAATCAAAACCGCGATGAGATACCATCTCACACCAGTTAGAATGACAGTCATTAAAAAATCAGGAAACAACAGATGCTGGAGAGGATGTGGAGAAATAGGAACATTTTTACACTGTTCGTGGGAGTGTAAATTACTTCAACCATTGTGGAAGACAGTCTGGCAATTCCTCAAGGATCTAGAACCAGAAATACCATTTGATCCAGCAATCACATTACTGGCTATATACCCAAAGGATTATAAATCATTCTACTATAAAGACACATGCACATGTATGTTTACTGCGACACTATTCACAATAGCAAAGACTTGGAACCAACCCAAATGCCCATCAATGATAGGCTGGATAAAGAAAATGTGGCACATATACACCATGGAATACTATGCAGCCATAAAAAAAGATGAGTTCATGTCCTTTGCAGGGACATGTATGAAGCTGGAAACCATCATTCTCAGCAAACTAATAAAAGAACAGAAAACCAAACACTGCATGTTCTCACTCATAAGTGGGAGCTGAACAATGAGAACACATGGACACAGGGAGGGGAACATCACACACCAGGGCCTGTCAGGGGATGGGGGGCTAGGGGAGGGATAGCATTAGAAGAAATACCTAATGTAGAAGACAGGTTGATGGGTGCAGCAAACCACCATGGCACAGGTATACCTATGTAACAAAACTGCCCGTTCTGCACATGTACCCCAGAACCTAAAGTATTAAAAAAAAAAAAAGGCCAAAAAAATGAAATTGTTGTGTATATTGGTTTGTAATATCCCTTTTTTGGTAGCAACTTGTCATGACTACCTCTTCATGTGAATTAATGCTCCCCTATACTACCCTGTCAGTTTAGAGTCTATATGGTATTCCATTGTATGGCTGGACTGTAATGTATTTTGTTAAGCTCCTAATTTTATTTTTTTTAATTTTTTTTTTTTTTGAGACGGAGTCTCGCTCTGTCACCCAGGCTGGAGTGCAGCAGCATGATCTCGGCTCACTGCAACCTCTGCCTCCCGGGTTCAAGTGATTCTCCTGCCTCAGCCTCCTGAGTAGCTGGGATTATAGGTGCATGCCACCACACCCAGCTAATTTTTGTAGTTTTAGTAGAAACTGGGTTTCTACTAAAACTGCAAAACTATCAGCCTGTTGGTCAGACTGGTCTCGAGCTCCTGACCTCATGATCTGCCCACCTGGGCCTCCCAAAATGCTGGGATTACAGGCGTGAGCCCCCACGCCTGGCATGTTTTGTTGTTGTTGTTGTTGTTGTTGTTGTTGTTGTTGTTGTTGTTGTTGTTGTTTTGAGATGGAGTTTCCCTCTTGTTGCCCAGGCTGGAGTGCAATGGCATGATCTTGGCTCACTGCAACCTCCTCCTCCCAGGTTCAAGCAATTCTCCTGCCTCAGCCTCCCAAGTAGCTGGGATTACAGGCGTGCACCACCATGCCCAGCTAATTTTTTTTGTATTTTTAGTAGAGATGGGATTTCACCATGTTGGTCAGGCTGGTCTCAAACTCCTGACCTCATGTGATCCACCTGCCTCCATCTCCCAAAGTGCTGGGGTTACAGGCATGACCCACCTCTCCCAGCCCCTAATTTTAGCAACTCAGGTTCATTCCAAATTTTTGTTGTTAATATTGCAAAAAACATTTATTCTCATTTTCTTAGGTAAATTTCTCAACCTGTAATCACTGGATCAAAGAGTCAGAAACCTTTCTTGAGTTTTTACAGCACGATTTTTTGAAATCCAGACTACCTTTTCTGTGTATGTTCCATCTAAGCAATCACCGTGCTGAGCCGTGTCAGCTGTCATACCTGCCTCCTCTGCCAGATGATGGGCTCTTAGGGACCAGGATTATTTCTTGTGCATTTTTATATCTCAGAACCCACCATGGTGCCTGGGACATGGTAGGCTCATAGAGATGAAAATCAAAACTAGCATTTATTGAGTGCTTCCCAAGATCCAGGGCACAGTGACACCAAAGAGGAATGTTACCACCATTCCTATTTCACAAATGTAGAAACTTGGGCTTAGAGAGGTAAATATCAGAACTATGCAGCTCATTATATCACAGGACAAATATTTGTTGAATGAAGATGTCACTTCAGGAATATTGTTTCTATGGAATAAAAGTAACTGCAAACTTGATGGTCAGTGTCACTAATTATGACAAAATATGTTTGAAGAACTTATTATTTTGTTTGACTTACAGATGTTGATTTTGCATGCATTGATATTCAGTGTCCCATGTTTCAGATTTCTAGATTTCTCCTAATAACTTCTCCTTTATGAGCTCTGTAGGGGTGATTAAGTAATGTCCCCCATATCCTTCCATCACCAGCTTTTTTTTTTTTTTTTTTTTTGAGATGGAGTCTCACTCTGTTGCCCAGGCTGGAATGCAGTGGCACAATCTCGGCTCACTGCAACCTCCACCTCCTGGGTTCAAGTGATTCTCCTGCCTCAGCCTCCCAAGTAGCTGGGACTATAGGCAGGTGCTACCACGCCTGGCTACTTTTTTTGTATTTTTAGTAGAGATGGAGTTTCACCATGTTGGTCAGGCTGGTCTCAAACTCCTGACCTCAGGTGATCTGCCCGCCTCAGCCTTCCAAAGTGCTGGGATTACAGGCATGAGCCACCACACCCAGCCCCATCACCAGCTTCTTTGCCTAATACAAAGTTCAAAACACTTGAATAGGTATCAGAAGCACGTGGAAGATTCATTAAAGCACAACTTGTGTGCTCCCACCCTGAGTTTCTGATCCAACAAACTAGAGGAGGCCTGAGAATTTTAATTTCTAACAAGATCTCTGGTAAAACTGCTGCTGCTGGCCCAGAGACCCATTTTGAGAAATATTTAGGCGCCAGTGGACTGTTGTACCCTGTTTACACTGTTGTACTCTCTGCTGCTCCAGGTCCCCTCCCCACATTTTTGCTCTGTTCTGAAGGCACAATCTACCTATACCACCATGTGTGAAGAGAGATCCCTTGTTATAATCAGGCCCGTCTCTTGGGGGCCTTTTAGCCAGCAGGTTGACCCAGTGAGGCAAGAAAAGCTCTGAAGTGGGACTAATCCACCTTGGCTTCTAGATGCAGCTCTACCTGACTTGACATAACCCCAGGCAAGTTCCTGCTTATGCCTCTTCTCTACACAAAGAGAGTGAGACGGCTTCAATCCCTAAGGACCCCAGGTCTCAGACTTTCTGTTTCTTCTCAAATGTATATTCAAGCAACTCACTCATCCCTGCCCTGGCCATGTAGCAGACCACTATTAAAAAAAAAAAAAAAAAGAGAGGCTATATTTATTTCTCTGTCCTCATTTTCTGGTCATCGGACTTCAGAGGCCCTAACTGCCTTCATTGAATTTACTAATTCAGTTATTCTTTTATTATTTCTTAGCCTTAGGATTCTTTGCTCTCTGTAGAGTGAGAAAGGCTTCTGTTTATAGTACATTATTTCATGCAGCCATACCATGGCTTTTTTGTTTATATGAAATAATAAATAATATCACAGTACCACAGTTTAAAGGTTAACAAAGGGGTCCAGTACGGTGGCTCATGCCTGTAATCCCAGCAGTTTGGGAGGCTGAGGCAGGTGGATCATCTGAGGTCAGGAATTCAATACCAGCCTGGGCAACATGGTGAAACCCCATCTCTACTAAAAATACAAAAATTAGCTGGGTGTGGTGGTGCGTGCTTATAATCCCAGCTACTCAGGAGGCTGAGGCAGGAGAATCACTTGAACCTGGAAGGTGGAGGTTGCAGTGAGCCGAGATCGCGCCTGTGCACTCCAGCCTGACATAGTGAGACTCCATCTCAAAATAAATAAATAAAGGTTAATAAAAGGTTAAAACAATTTTATATCATATCACTTACAACCAGTTTCTCACCTCAAAGTGAATCCAGTGAGACCTATTAGAAAAGTGGCTGAGATCAGGATAAATAGTCAATGCATCTGAGGCCTAATACCTAGGTGATGGGTTGATAGGTGCAGCAGACCACCATGGCACATGCTTACCCACGTAACAAACCTGGCACAGGTACCAATCAATCAACAATCAAACAAACAATCAAGCACGGGTATCCCCTGAACTTAAAATTAAATTAAATTTAAAAAAAAAGTGACTGAGTACTGCTGAATGCCCTTGCAAATCCGTGGGGTAGGAACAAATATAGTCTTGCTCCTTATGATTTAGGTATCCAATAACAAATGCAGGGGCCCGGTGATGGCCCAGTGATAGGAACAGCAGCCTCAAGGGCTCTAGGTTCTGTGAGTACAAACAGTAGAGCCTGTTATCCTGAAGGAAATTGGCTGGAGGAAACACTCAAATCTCATTTAGCTCCATTTAATGCCAGTCATTAGAGTGAGGACAAGCTCCCCAGAAAGCATCCTTTTTGACTGGCTGACTACAGGGTAAAGTTCTAACCAAATGTATTTTACGCATACAAATTCTTTTGAATTAATGTTTTTAAAGGGGGAAAAAAACATCTGAAAAAGGCCTCTTTTGAATCCAAAGTACTTTTCTCTGTAGGGAATCCTTGCCTTTTGCCCTTAGATTGGAAAGAGTACCTGAGACTTTTAAGTCCTATCTCTTTTTCAAACCATTAGGGTGGGAGGCCTTTTTGATTTGGGGAGCAGAATGGTTTCTTGGTGCTATAGGTAAAATACTACCTTCCCTGGGATTTCTTTGGAGCAAGGACAGGATCAGGAAGTAGTTTCCCACCATCCTCACCCACCACAGGAACTGGATTTCCCATTCTTTTTCTGAGGTCATCTCAGGTTTATGAAGTCTCTGCTTCCTTCTAGGTGGAGGCCGAGTTGATTGACAAGCTGGACAGCATGGTGTCAGAAGGGAAAGGTGACGAGAGCTACAGGGAGCTCTTCAGCCTACTGTAAGCTGCTCCAGCCCCAGGCACACCACACTGGGGGATGGGATGAAGTGGGCCAATGAAAAGTAGAGGTTGCAACTGCACTGGCAGGCTTTAGAGGTTGGTCATCAAGAGGGACCTGGGTTGTTCCTGATGGTAGCAATGCTCAACTTCTGTCAACAAGAAACCAAGGTCTTTCAGGGATTCCCATAGTTGACTGAAAAGATAGAAAACAGGTAATCTCTGAGCTCCTGGATTTGCTGACAGGAAAAGGATCATTGCGTGTCTTCATAACATGCACTGCATCTGGATGGGGGGCAGACGGTTCATGGAGACTCAGTTCTGGGCTCAATGCTGGCATTTCAAGGTGGGGGATAAATCCTCCTTTGAGAGACAGGTTCCTGTTTGCCCTGCTTTGTAAGGTAGTACAATCAGCTCACATTGCAGTGAGCTCTTGAACAAGCTGCAACACTCTTTCCAGGCCAGTTTTCATGTTTGTGGAATGAGATGGTTGTACTGAATGATGTCAGGGTTCTTCTGGATCCTCCATTCCATGGTTTCTGGCTTGAGTTGATGGAGGCCAAGAGACCTGAAGAGAGACCCAGGGGAACTATGGCCCTCCCAAGTAGATAGTGATGTTGCTATTTTATCTTCCTAAAAAATGAAATCTTAAGATATTTATAGCTCTAGAATACCCTCCCCATCTTACTTATTTCCAACTTTGAGATGTTCTTTGTTTTAGTACCATTTTGAAGACAAACCTCTAGCATATTTTTTCAGGAATAATACTATCCATTTGCTTAGAACTTTCCAGTGTGCAAAATGTATTGGCATTTCTTACCTTATTTGATCATCACAACATACCTGCAAGGTGTGCAGAGTAGAAATTATCTTCCCTCCCACTTGAGAGATAAAGAACTGGGCTCAGGGAAGTGCCAGCCTGCACTCAGTTGCATGATCAGTAAGAGGCAGCTCTGGAAGGAGGGCCCAGATCTTCTAATTTAAAAAGGGGGGAGTCTCCCCTATACTATGCCCATTTTGTTTCTTGAGGAGTCATGAGGTAAAATGTAAATTTATTTTTAATTTAAATAATTACAATTTGTGAAAATGAATCCATACTTTAGTATTTCTTTTTTAGCCGAAGATTTGTCTAATTGTGGAAACAAGGCAGTGTTCCTTGGCCACTAACAAATGACTACTACAAAGGAAAAAGTACAAAAATAATCTGTAATTACTAATTACCTGACCAAATCATGTTTATAAGCTCTTTTAAAATCAGTCTAAGAACTGAGAACCACTGATAACATGGAGCAGCATTTTCCAATTTGTGTTTTTGGAAGATGTTTGTAGGTATGCTAAAAAAAAAAAAAAAGTAAATCATGGGTGAATTAGTTTAGAAAAGATTCAGCTAAGCAAAATTGAACAAGCCTCTTTATTGTAGGACTTCTCAAAGCCTTTGTTGTGCAAAAGGATATGAGCTGGGTGCAGTGGTACGCACCTGTAATCCCAGCTACTTGGGAGGCTAAGGTGGGAGGATTGCTTGAACCCAGGAGTTCGAGACTATCCTGAGCAACATAGCAGGACCCCATCTCAAAAAAGAAAAAATAAAGGATATGAAAAATCTCCAAAAGGAGGGTATAGTGATCAGCATTTCCCAATTTTCCATGCTTGTGTGCTCACAGAACATTTCCACCTGTCCTCTAGGACAGAGACCTCTGTAGAACACATTTGAAAAATGCTGGTACATTTCTCAACGGATAAAGCCACAGAAGTCAGATTCAGTGTTCTTACCTTCTCTAACAACAGGAGTCACCTGGAAAACCCTCACTTTCTCAGAAGCCTGGCCTAGGCAGTATGCTCTGTGCAAGGAGACAGTCATCATTGTAGCAGCAGCATTAACAGCAGTCAGGCTGTGGGTTTGAGTCCCCAGTGCTAGACCCCTAACTGGGTCTGCCACCCCAGGTGACTCTCATGACCTTAGAGAGCAAGGAATAGTGTGGAAAGGAATCAGGAATAGGGTTGTATGGAGTGAAGGATGGACCTGGGCTCATCACTGGAACAAGCAGAAAGAGTTCAGGTCATTGTCCATTAGGAAAGACCTGTGCGATGGCAGAGGATCTCAGAAGCCAGGCTTTTGGAGAAGCCAGGGGCTGCCCTGAGGTACCAGGAGCATGGGGTTGTCAAGTAAGAAAAGAACCTGGACATTTAGCTCCTGGCTCTGGCACATTTTGCTTGGGAGCATTCCCTGTGACAGTAGGATGGCCAAGTATAGCTCCTGGACTTGCTCACTTTCCCTCATGTTGGGGCCCCAAGACTAGTGGAATCTTTCCCTTAGTTTCCATGAAGATGATGGGTTTAAGCTGGGTATGGTGGCTCATGCCCATAATCCAAGCACTTTGGGAGGTCGAGGCAGGAGAATCACTTGAGGCTAGGAGTTCAAGGCCAGACTGGGCAACATAGCAAGACCCCATCTTAAAAAAGAAAGATTAAAATTTTGAAAAACAGAGCTTGGTGAGGATGGCTCTGGGCAGTGATAAAGACAGTCAGCCATTGGCAAAGTCAGGCTTATCCCTCAGTGGGCTCTTGTTCAACTACTGCTTCAGAACAGACCTCAACTACTCCTTTAGAACAGAAGAGAAGTGAGTTACAGTGTATGCCTAAGGTGGCTGGAGCCGAACCCCTCCCTCCCCCCACCTCAGTGGCATCCTTAGGAACTTGTACATGGAAATAGAAGATGTGTTTTCATTTGTTGCTGCCAGTTCAGTAACCTCCTTATCTTTGCTTTCTGCTGCATGGAGTAGAACCCAGCTGTTTGGGCCCTACCCCAGGTAAGACTGCAGTGTGGTAAGTCTGCTGTCTCCAGATCCATCACAGCCTCCATGGGCTCTTGGACTTCACTCTTGTGCCCAGGAGAAGGCTCATGAATTGTGTTTGCTTTCTCCACCCCTCCACCAATAGCCTGCTGGAGAAGGTTGAACAAGAAACATGGCGCGAGACCGGCATTTCCTTTGTGACCTCAGTCACCCGCCTCATGGAACGTCTTCTTGACTACAGGTATCTTCTCAGCCACCCGCTCCCCTCTTCCCTTGTCAGGATACTCTCTCTGGCAAGGGAATCCCCCTGACCTGAAAACTGAGACCATGTGCTCTTCATGGGGAGGACTGTTGTGATATTGGGTGCCATCACCAGTCAATAGGAATCTGCTGATGACCAAGGAGAGACAGAGACTTTTCCCAGGGGTAGGCTAGGGCCTCCTGGGATTCCCCACTAAAATGTGGGCACATGTACCCTGGAGGGATCTCAGGGACATGTAGTCATCTGGCCTTCCATCCAGAAGGGTCAAGGCTCAGAGGAATGGGCACAGCAAGAGGGAAGAGTAAAGCTGTCTCCAGAGCAGGGCAGGGAACAGCTGTAGGTCCTTAGTGCAGACCCTCCTCAGAACCATATGGCAGATGAGCAGAGAAGTATCACCTGGAGGACTTGAAGTTGGCTTTTCCAGGGACTAGGGACCCCACTTTTCAATGCCTATATTCTTTATCTAAAATCTATGTATTTCTGTCCCTTGGTCGTGGCCAGAATAGATTAGAGGAAACAGCCTGTGAGCTCAGAGATCTTCATATTATGTCCAGTCTGGGAGTTCATGTGGAATAAGAATTTTTTTTTTTTTTTGAGATAGTCTTGCTTTGTCACCCAGACTGGAGGGCAATCATGGCTCACTGCAGCCTCGAAGTCCTAGGCTCAAGCGATCCTCCCACCTCAGCCTCCTGAGTAGCTGGGGCTACAAGCTCATGCCACCATGCCCGGCTAATTTTTTGTTTTTTGTTTTTGTACAGACAAGTTCCCACTGTGTTGCCCAGGCTGGTCTCAAATTCCTGGGCTCAAGTGATCCTCCCACCTCAACCTCCCAAAGTGCTGAGATTACAGGCCTGAGCTGCTGCACCCAGCCAGAATTAGAATTTCTTAATGAAAGTCTGCCTTCTCAGTTGTATCATGGCTTTTGAATTAGTCCAAACATGACAATGAAGCCACAACTGCAGCCTTAATCATTCTCTCAGCAGGGTTCAGGTGATGGCTGAAGGTGCCTTTTGGGAGCCTGGAGGAAGGTGAGGAGAAATGATAAATGAAACCCAGCTCCAAGCAATAGTTGCCTTCTCTGTGCTATAAGCTGTGCAAATGCCAAATGAGGGGAGCATTTTCAGCTCATGGATCAGGAAATAGGAGAGTTAAGCCTGGATCCAGTTGCTGCTGAAGTAGAAGATGCTGCTATGCAAAAGATACAGGTGTCCAATGCACTGGCCTGGATATGGAAATGGAATTCCTGAGAAATGTGCTCATGTCTTAAGCATCCCCCCATTCTGTAGCACAGCTATGCTTGTGTGAACTTTAGCCCATTTTTCCTGGGCCTTTCGAGTTCAAAGCTGGCCTTGGGGCCCCTTTTACAGCAGGAGACTTCTTTGTTCACACCAGGTCCGTAGCTTCTCCTGCAGCTGCAATTAGACAGGGAAGAGAGGTGGGTAAAGTGCTGCACCTCCCCCTTTCCAAAACATTTTCTAAAGTTTGGCTTTATTCACCGTGGCCTAACAAAGGAGCAGAAAATAATTTCTTAGGCTCCAAGGCCTTATTCTAGCCGCCTGTTTGATTTCTTTAGCTGCCTTCTACAAGCAGCTCAAACTCATGCCCAAAAGCAACTTCATTCTCTATTTCTTGTCTCAATGGTGGTATCTACAAAAAGGCCAAAGTCTTTAATATGGCATCACTGGCCTTTACTCACTTCTCCAGACCAATCTTCTGCTAGTCCCCAGTACTCATGCCCTACACACCAGCCTCCCAGTGTTGCTTCTTGCTAACATGAAAGGAAACAGCATAATGTTGATGATGGCCCCTGTTTATTGAAAATCTACCACGAGTGCTCTACATACATTTTCTCTAATCCCATAAGCATCCTCATTCTTTTTATCCATGAGGAGACAACTAAAGTATACATATGTAACAAACCTGCAGGTTGTGCACATGTACCCTAGAACTTAAAATATAATTTAAAAAAAAAAAAGAAAAAGCCAAAAAAAAAGAAGAAGAAGTACCACTGCTAGGATTTGAACCCAGATCTAGCTGACTCAAGAACCATGCCCTATCTCTGTGTCCATGTTGTCACCACTTAATCACTTGTATTTTCCCTTCAGGTTTCTCTGTATGCTGTGTTCTCTCCCAAGAGTGGTCTTCCAACTCACCCCTATTAAGGAAGCTTTCCCAAGCCAGGAGCTTACCTTTCCGTGCACACATTGAATGATGATCATTTGTCATTCTGTCTTACCTTACAAAAGAGGACCAGCTCCTTGAGGATAGGAACCTTGTCCTTATCTCCCTGTTCCCCTGTATGGGGGCCAGCTCCTGGCAGGTGCATAGTAAATAATGAGTGATAAACTTGTTGGAAAGACCATGCAGGAACCAAGCAACTCTTTTCCTCTGCCTCAATGCAGTTAGTTCAAGAACTTACTAAGAAAAGAGTTGTTGGCCAGGCACAGTGGCACAAGCCTGTAATCCCAGCACTGTGGGAGACCAAGGCAGGCAAATTGCTTAAGCTCAGGAGTTTGAGACCAGCCTGGACAATATGGCGAAACCCCATCTCTATGAAAAATTGGAAAAGTAGCCAGGCATGGTGACATGCACCTGTGGTCCCAGCTACTTTGGAGGCTGAGGTGGGCGAATCACTTTAGCCGGGGAGGTCGAGGATGCAGTGAGCTGAGATTGCGCCACTGAACTCCAGCTTGGGCGACAAAATGAGACCCTGTCTCAAAAAAAAAAAAAAAGAAAAGAAAAGAAAAAGAAAATAGTTGTTGATATGACTCAAGGGAAGGACATCAAACAAAAAGGAAAAAATAATTGTTCAAAGTTTTAAAATACATACATTGATTAAACAAATAATCAATAGATTGTACTCTAGAATTACCTGAACCTGTTATGTAAGACTCAATTTTAGACTGGCAAAACTTTAGGTACTCAGAGGAATACCTCTTCAACTTTTATATCAATGTCTTTAACTTTTGTGTGAATCTCAGACACTCTGTGTCAGACATGAAGATTCTCACTGGTAGTAACTATATTTCCCAGGTTAGGAAGCAGAGCCCTAGAAGGGTTTTTTTGTTTTTTTTTTTGTGCCTGGAACAGACAGGGACAGAGCTAGAGTTGCCAAGCCCTTGTGGCTCAGAGTGGAACCTCTACCTGGAATGGGCAACTGAGGGTTATGAAGCCTTCCTTTCCCAGGCCTCTCAGGTTGCAATGAGGGCTTCCTGGTCACTGATGTAGTCCCCAGCCAGCCCACTACTCAGGTGAGCCGGATGCTTCAGAAGCCTCTTTCTGGAGTCTTCCCTGCTCACCCTTCAGAGAAAGAGCAAGAGGAAAGCAACAGCTGCACCTAAGTCAGACTTTAAAAGGCATCCACCATGAAGTAGCCACACAGAAGTGATGCAGAGGTACACAAAAAAAGAGTCTGCTGTCAGCAGTGCAGAGGAGAAGCAGTCATAGAGCACAGAAGTGTGTAGGATGCCCCTGGTATCACAGTGTTGAGGCCAGTTCCTTTCTGTTTAAGGGACTTAGCTATGAAGTTCTGGTTATGGCCAAATAGAAGTTAATCCGTGGTAAATGTTTCAGATGCTTTATAGAAAATACAAATCACTAAATGCCAAAGTGGCTAGGTAAAATCTCACTGCCCTTCATGGGGCCAACTTACTGGGGAGACAGATGCCTTCTACCATTGTGTGGGTTGCTTGGAACAACTTGGCCATCTGACCTCAGCCTCACTCCTCGAAAAGTCAAGCAGTTTCCTGGCTCTGCTAGCGCTAAAGGGACAGGTTCTGCAGAGGGATGTTCAGGACCCTCATGTCTGGCTACATAGGAACCAAATATCTTACGTGGTGAATGTGCTGATAGGTCAAACCCCCCTAGAAAGGAGGGCCTTGGTTCCAAACCTCTCAAACCTATCAACTCTGACAGGAGACTTCCACAGGAAGGACATTTGGCTTTGCAGAATATCATGAGAGGAGTATGGATTTTCAACATCCTTTTCTTTCAAAGAAGTCATCCCAAGGTTCTTCCTCTGCATGATGGGAAGGTGGGGAGAACTGGGTTTGTCAAATGACCATCCAGAGGCTCAGTGACTTGGCCTAGGGACCCTGACTCCCAGCTGTACTGCTCTTCACTGGGCCCTGTGCCTGCCAGTGGAGCAAAGCCAAAGACACTCTCCAACCTGACCCTAGAAATCTGTATAAACCCCTTTCTGCAGCTTTTCCCCAGAGCTGCTAATACACAGCTGCACAAGAAACTAGATCTTCTCCATAGCAGTGTGGGCTGCTATGGAAGGAGACACATCAGGCAGATGGCACTCTGGCTGGCATAGGAGATGTCTTGCTGGATTCACCAGTCTGGTTCTCATTCTCCTTCATCTCCTTGTGCCAGGCTTCTGCTCCTTTCCAGAGGAGCTTGGCTTTGACCAACCCTCTCCCTATCTTGGAAAAGATCCATTCTCAGTGTTCCTATTTTCCTATCTCTCACAGGCCATCCCTGACCCCTCCTACACCCAGACCCTGCTAGGTATGAATGCAGCTCAGTCCTGGCTGATGCTTTAAGCACGAGACCTGCTGCTTCTGGTGATAGATGGCTCCAAACACTAGTACACAGGAAGGAAACCATAGGGAGAAATGTCAACTAGGTGGTGAACATGTACAGAGCCCTGAAGCTAGGGCCCTGAAGTGGAGGGTCTTGGCTTCTATTCAGCACTCCTACAAAATGAAACCTGCCCTTTAAGGAGAATTCTGTGCCTCCCTTTTTGGGAAGTTGAGGATTTGGCCTTCCACTTAATTCATATACCCTTTTGTGCCAAGGACATTGGTAGGTGCCACTTAATACCCTGATGTAGCTCTGGGCTCTCTCTGTGCTCTGCCACCAGAATAAGGGGCTCAGTTGAACAGAGATCTTTGAGCCCTGAGAGTGGTTCCAAAGCTAAAGGAGCTCACAGTAGAGTCCTTATCTATGGAAGCAGTTCCTGTTGGAGGCCATCTCAATCTGGGATTTGGTCATACTAATGCCCCAGTGATAGTACAGTTCTATGTGTTGTCTCAAGGCCCCACTTCATATCTGGTGCTCATCTGTGCTCTCTCTTCCAGGGACTGCATGAAAGGAGAGGAAACAGAGAATAAGAAGATAGGCTGCACTGTTAACCTGATGGTGAGAGGACATGGGCCCTGACTTCTCTCTGCCTACTGAAATGGTTTCTGTCCTGCACTGTGATTGGCTTGGCCCTTCTACAATACATGGCTGCAGGCCTAAGGGTTTGAATCAGGACATCAGCTCTGTTACTGGTATCTTAGAGGCCTGCACTCCCCCAAACACATTCCTACTTGGGGAAGGAATGAAACGAGCTTCTCTTTGGATAGAACTCTAGCCTGGCCTCTTGGCAAGGACCCACTAACCCTGACATACCCAATTCACAGTCAACCCTGACTCCTGATCTGCCCTGATGCTTTTCCTCTTAACACTACCCAGGGCTCCCATAGACCTGCCAGTGGTTCCACCCACAGCAGGTGTTCCTTCTGGCTGGTGCTTTCTCCTTCTGGTGCTGTCTGCCTCCAGGGCCTGCCCTCCCCCTCCTGCCCAGCACACCCACGGCTATGGCCAGCTGCCCAGAGCTTGGCTATGGCTTCCACAGGTAGTTGACAGGTGTTTCCTTCTCTTTATTGTAGAATTTTTACAAATCTGAGATTAACAAGGAAGAAATGTATATCCGCTACATCCATAAGCTTTGTGACATGCACTTGCAGGCCGAAAACTACACAGGTAAGTGGGGAGAAGAGAGAGCCATGCCTGACCATGAGGACAAACTGAAGGGATTTGTACAATAGGCAGAGAAAGGCTTCAGGCTGGTGCCTGCCAGATCTCAGCAGAATGTTGGGGCTTGTGCTATCCCCTCACCTCACTCATTTCCCTCAACTCCTTTGTGGCACATGGTAGAGAGAAAGCAGGCAGAACTTCCACTTGTGCCTTTGTGCCATGTCATCCACTACTTGAGTCTGTTTCACTCTTCTTCCCTCCTATCCACCCCTCTGAAGTCTCAAGGGTGACCTCCAAATTCTGGTGCACCAGGTTCAGAGCATCCTGAGCTCACTGTCACTCCTTATGAACAGAGAGCCTTTTTTAGGACTTTCAAAGCTGGAGCTAAGGTTATAACAAAGGAATATCCCCCTAACCCTGGAACTTCCAGAACTCACTAGCAGACCTTCCTTGCAGGCTAGGCTCTTCAGACCCTGCAACTGCATAGCAGCCTCACATTGTGCACTCAGTGTAGAGTATAAAGAATGTTCATCTGACTTCTTGACAGGCCAGATAGGGCTCCTTTCATTGTATCTACAATTTAATCCAATATCAAGGCCTTTTCTAACTAGAACAAATTTTAAAGCATTTCAAAGTGGCTGTCACATCTGTTTACTGAGAACCACGCTGAATCGGGGTTACGTGCATGCATGTGTGTCCTATCTGATTGACTTATGCCATCGTTCCCCCCAAAGAGCCATTTTCTCCACTGTGGTGACCAGCCATTATGTCTTAGCTCTTAGGCGATAGGACTTGAATTTGTGTGATAGATCAGGAAATTTAAGCTATCCTTGTCTGCAAACGCTACTGCAATTAGATAGATTTGTAGAAACAGAGAATCCTCCTTCTTTATCTCTAGCCGTTAGAGAGTGTTTGGCATAGATGGTATCTTATCTGATAGCATAGCTTGGCAAGAATTAAATCTAAAATGACTGGGCTTTGAATCTTAAATTCAGCTGACTAATAAAATAAAATGACTGGGCTGAGTCTACCATTCTCTGCATCCACTTGCACCCATGATCCCAGCAACCCTCTGAGAGGGCATTGAAGAGAAAGACTTTGATAAATGTTATGTATCAGTAGAAGCATTTGCTAAACTCCTAGGAAACGGGGCCATGACTGAGAGGCTGGGTCAGGGATTTTAACAGAGAAAGAGTGCTAAGCCTTGTCTCTGATGGCTCAGGGAATGACATCTGAAAAGAATATAGGCAAGGAAGAAAAAGACGTTCCATGGTTTCCTAAGCTCCAGAGGGAGGCCCTGAGTTCCACAGGGCTTGTCCCTAGAGAGAAAAGGCTTCCTGATCCCATGAGGAGGCGTGTACATTCCTTGGCAGGAAGTTCCAGTGGCAAGGGCACAGGCAAAAAGGCAAGGATGAGGAGGAGCCTAAAGAGTGGACACAGGCAAGTGGGCCTAGCTAAAACTGGAAGTGGGTCAATAAATGGTTAGAAATGAGATTCTTCATAGTCATGGGGAGTAGATTTGAGTAGGGCCTTGAAAGCCAGGCAGAAGCACAGAAGCTAGAACTAACTAACTTGCCAGTAGGAGATGCCCACTAAAAATGAACAAATAGAACAGAGAGAAAACTGTGTAATGAGGCCCCTGAGCCGTGGCTGTGATTCAGTATGACTCATCCCTTGGAATGTAGGGAGCCATGGTATTTCACTGCTGTTGTTTTACATAACCTTCTCTAATTGTTCCACACATAGAGTAAGATGTTGCCAGGCCTTCACTCTGGGTCTAGTATCAATTTAGGTTCCTTTGGTAATGGAGCCCTAAGAGCCAGTTCTGAGAAGGTTGGAAAGGAAGCTGTAGTCAGTTGAGCAAAAAGGAACCCAAGAGCTCTCTCTGATGTGTCAATGTCTCCCAAAGCAAGGCAGCCTGTGCACAGATTTTTGGGTAGCTGAACCATTCTTTATTAATCTGGAGGCTGGAACAGGTGACCAGGCCATGGAAGGAAGGTGTCTACCAGAATATTTGGCTCCTTCATGCTGTGGACAAGGGTTATTGGCTTGTTGAGCAGCCCTACTGTTTCATCTTTAGTATCCAGTGTCCCCGACCTGGGCTGCACATGACTTGCGCTGGCATTCTGCCCAGCATAGTCCTCTGACACCAGGCTGCTCCTGGGCCTCTGAGCAAGGGAAGCCCCTGGACCTCCATGCTGTCTGTCCCCACAGAGGCCGCATTTACCCTGCTCCTTTACTGTGAGCTGCTGCAGTGGGAGGACCGGCCACTACGGGAATTCCTCCACTACCCATCGCAGACAGAGTGGCAGCGGAAGGAGGGACTGTGCCGGAAGATCATTCACTACTTCAACAAAGGCAAGGTATGCATCATTAGGCAAGCCCTTTAGCCCTTCAGCTTCTGCTGTGATGCATGGCATCTTGACACCATAGGGTTAACAGCAGCTGCAGGGGGTAGTGTGTGGGGTGGTGAGTGGGTGGGTGCCTATCTATGTGCCTAAGATGTGGAGGCAGCATGATTTTCTCTGAGGGAGAAAAAGACAACAGCCTAATTCTGTGGCTTGAAAGCCATATCCAGATTGTAGGTGTTAGAGACTACCCTACATACTAGCTTTGCATATCTATAAATATGAATGCTTCTACAGCAGGGGCTTCTGGAACCCTGTTTGTTTTTATTGGATTTACTTAAAGAACTGATACGGCTTTCTAATCTGCTGCCATATAAAATATGAGTGGTAGAAATGAATGGATTTTAACCACAGCCAAAGGCGGCCTAAACTGCCTCTTACTGGTATGTGTTCTTTTCTTAGATTTCCCTTCTCTACAGCACAGCCTGGGCTCCTCTCATATTGGGGTTATTTTCCATCAAACTACTTTCTATGGGATTGGCAGCATTGTCAGCACTGGTTTAGGCTTCCTTGGGACTTCCCAGCCATTCTCCTCCCATCTCTGGGAGAGCTCTGTGTGGCGCCCTCTGACTACCTACTGTTAGATGGGGCCCTTGTGCTGGAAAAACTTGTTGAAGCCATTTTCTCATTACTAAGCTTTGAGCACATTTTAAAGCTGAAATAGGGTCATTCATGGAACTGTAGTAGCTGAGCCCCCAACTCAAATGGAAATTGGTTTTTGAGATGAGTTTTTTCATCAAAAAGAAAGATTTAAACATTAATGGCTTTTGTCTATAAATCAGAAAACATTCTTCAGTTTTACATAACATGGGGGACTTCTATGTTTGTCAAAAATATTCACTCAGAAAACATTTCCCCATACAGAGAATGCACTGGTAAGCAAGAACCTTTCCAAAAGCGCAGAAACTCTTATGTAACCTAGCCCAGAAAGGATGCCCATGCTCAGCTCTCAGCCAGCCCATGCAACTGATCCACAATGCTGACCCAAAGCCTCTGGTCCTTGCTGATCCAGCGCCTGACACAGAGCCCCTCACATGCAGTTTTAGGCCTATTTTCCTGGCACCTGGCTAACCTGGAGCTGCCCCTCACCCTCATGCCCAGCAAGCCCTCCTAGCTCACAGGGAATGACATAAGCGTGGTGTGAGTACGCATGTGTGCTTCTAGTGCATTCATTCTCATTTCTTTCCATGGGCACAGAGTACAGAGTGGAGAGTTATCCTAATCTGACTGAGTCTACCCGTGGGATGCATGAGCATTGATGGTCCCCTATTCATCCCACATTATAGTAATGCATAGAAAAGCAGGATTAAATTTTAACATGGACTAGGGAGTAAAACACAAAGTGTGCCTGAGTACTGTAGATGGACAAGAAGGAGAGAAGGACTAGGAGGCTCCATAGGCCACCTTCTCAGGAATCTCCTCACTTCTGCAATCCTGCCTTTGCCCTGAATTTCTGGAGGAGCAGAGTCTATGCTGAGTAGAGACCACTCAGTGAGCCCCCTCATGAGCTCATCCTCAGAGGGGCAGTTATCAGACCCACTGTCTTAGGCTCACACAGAAGGCCTACCTTGTCTGTTCCTGTGCCTCAGCTCCTGATGAAACTATTAGGTGAGATTAACCAGTCCTTCTTGAAAATATTCCGGGTTTTCAAGAAGAAAACCATGGTTCTAGAAAAGCAAAACCCAGATGCTATGGGAAAAAAAAATGCTCCCGTGGGGCAGGGATGTTTAGCACCAAGAGAAAAGCCACCTTGGCAACAAGAGAAGGGCAAGGAAAGAAAGGAGGAGCAGGTAGTGAGTTTCTAGCTCTCAACACTGCCAGCACACCCTGCCTCACAAGGCAAGCCCCTCCTGGCTTTTCTTCCAGACACTACCCCCAAGAGCTGCCCCATAGGGACTGCTCATTTAGGTGATGATGGCCCCATGTAGGGCTAAAGATGCCCTGCCTGCTGACAGTAGCTTCCAGTGAAACAAATGTCCTCCAGTGGGATCAAGGCTCATCTATCTTGCTGGTATCTCTTCCCTAGTTTGTAACCATGCTGCTCCAAGGCACTCACTCCAAGGCCTCTACTCCAGTTACCTTTAGAATGAACAAGGACAAAAAGTAGTAGAAGAGAAGTGATTGGATTTCAGAGACTGGTAAGGCATTTTGGAGTAGCTTTGCTTTCTGCCTGAAGGAGGGAAACCAAAGGAAAAGATGTAGATGGGGATGCATTGCACCTGTAGTACACTTGCTACCTCTGTGCAGAGGCAGCTCTCAAAGCCCCCAGACCCACCATTGTTCCAGTACACCCCTCAAAGCTGGCACATGCTCTCTGGTGTCTGCCTTAGACAACACAATCTCCCTTGGTCCCATGTTTATGTCCTGGGTACCCAAGAGGATTAGCCATGGCTAATAACATGGCCATAGCCTAGTCCTGGGCCATTCTCTCCTGTAGTGAGGTGGTTCACTTACAAACCTGCTACAAGTTGGACTGGGCTCTGGTCCACAGACAGTCAGCTCTCCCAGGCCAGACAAGGAGAGAGGGAAACTCCAAAGAGACAGGATATGGCAGGGTGAGAGTTTAGAGAAGGAAGGGGTGATGTGAAGATCAGAGCTGGTCCTGCATCTCTAGGTGGAGGAAGCAGGCAGGAGGAGAAGCTGGACAGAGGCTAGCAAACCATCAGGGCTAGACCAGCCACTTATGTGGGAGAGGGCTTGGGCTCTCCTGCTTGAGGGTTTACCATGGTCCACACTCATTTGAAGGAATGACTGTTACTTCTAATATGTAATGTGCAAACAGACTGCCAGACAGGTGGCCCATGCTTTTCCCTTCCTTTGCCATTTGATTAGAATGACCCCTAAGTCAGTACAACTTTTTGTGCTGTCCCTGCGAGGGAGCAACAAGGATATATAAAAGCACATATTAGGCCAGGCAAGGTGGCTCACGCCTGCAATCCCAACACTTCGGGAGGCCAAGGTGGGCGGATCACTTGAGGTCAGGAGTTCAAGACCAGCTGGCCAACATGGTGAAACCTCGTCTCTACTGAAAATACAAACATTAGCTGGGTGTGGTGGCGCATGCCTGTAGTCTCAGCTATTTGGGTGGCTGAGTCATGAGAATCACTTGAACATGGGAGGCGGAGGTTGCAGTGAGCTGAGATTGCACCACTGGACTCCAGCCTGAGTGACAGAGCAATTCTGTCTCAAAACAAAACAAAAGCACAAATCTGCAGGAGCTGGTAGAAGTGACTGGATTTCAGACACTGGTAGGGAGTTTTAGAGTTAGCTTTGCCTCCTGCCTGAAGGAGGGAAACCAAGGCAAAAGATGTGGATGGGGATGCATTGCGCCTGTAGTATATTTACTAACTCTGTGCAGAGGCAGCTCTCAAAGCCCCCAAGCCCACCAGTGTTCCAGCATACCCCTCAAGGTTTGCAGAGTGTCTTAAAATTTTTGGTCCTGGCTCATTCTAAAGATAATTGTGGTGGAGAGGGGTGCCTTGGAGCATCAGGGTTACAAGCTAGGGCAGAGATGCCGGCAAGATAGATGAGCATTGATCCCAATGGAGGAGAAGACCTGTTTTTTACTGAAAGCTACTGTTAGCAGACAGGGCATCTTTAGCCACACATACAGCCATTGTCATCTAAATGAGCAGTCTCCCATGGATTGGCTCTTGGCAGGCTGGCCAGAAGTCTGTATACAACTCAGCTGTAAACTTAGCTAGCCCCCATGAAGCTGCCAGCCAGGTAGACCCTGTTGTGGGTCCATTGCTGAAACCTGCCCAAGCGGCACTTGGAGAGGACTGATATACGCCCCCTTGAAAGCTGTGATAATGGGGGTACAAGAGGCTTTCTAGCTCACTGAGGCACAGGCATTATATTAAAGCAAGGAGTCAGGGTCTATTTGAAATTCTGTTTGGCTGGGCATCGTGGCTCATGCCTGTAATGTCAACACTTTTGAGAGGCCAAGGTGGTAGGATGGCTTGAGACTACGAGTTTGAGACCAGCCGAGGTAACATAGCGAGACCCCATCTCTATAAAATATTTTAAAAACTAGCCAGGCATGGTGGCACACACCTAGCCCCACCTGTAGTCCTAGCTACTCGGGAGGTTGAGGCAAGAGAATCTCTTGAGCCCAAGCATTCAAGGTTGCAGTGAACTGTGATCATGCCAGTGCATTCTAGCCTGGGTGACAGAGCAAGACCTTGTTTCCAAAAAAAACAAACAAACAACAACAAAACACACATGCACACACACAACAACAACAAAAACCTCTTTGGTTTGTTTTAGTCTTTTTAATTGGTCCTGCAGTTTCAATCCATATGGTGTTAATTTCTTTGAAGGATAGAAAAATGTACTCTTTTGAGAAACACAACCCCAAATGAAACAGTGTTTTCCTTCTCCTTGATGCTATTTCAAAGAGTATTCTTACAAATATAGTCCTTATGTTTAATGATTTATGCTGAAATATTTACCGGTGAAATTATATCTGAGATTTGTTTCAAATACTATGGGGAGGAATAAGTGAATAGGGTATGAATAATACAAGATTGGCTGTGAGTTGGTCATTGTTGAAGCTGGATGATGGATAAGGGTTTATTCTTCTAGTCTCTCTACTTTTCTATATGCTTAAATTTCCTATAATAAAACATTTTTATTAGTATTGAGAAGTTGGGGAGCCTGGGTAAAATATCAAGTAAACTAATGACCCTCAATCTAACCAAAAGAGGTATATATATTTTTAATTATACTTTAAGTTCTAGGGTACATGTGCACAATGTGCAGGTTTGTTACATATGTATACTGTGCCATGTTGGTGTGCTGCACCTGTTAACTTGTCATTTACATTAGGTATATCTCCTAATGCTATCCCTCCCCCCTCCCACCACCCCACGACAGGCCCTGGTGTGTGATGTTCCCCACCCTGTGTCCAAGTGTTCTCATTGTTCAGTTCCCACCTATGAGTGAGAACATGCGGTGTTTGGTTTTCTGTCCTTGCAATAGTTTGCTCAGAGTGATGGATTCCAGCTTCATCCATGTCCCTACAAAGGACATGGACTCATCCTTTTTTATGGCAGCATAGTATTCCATGGTGTATATGTGCCACATTTTCTTAATCCAGTCTATCATTGATGGACATCTGGGTTGGTTCCAAGTCTTTGCTATTGTGAATGTGCTGCAATAAACATACGTGTGCATGTGTGTTTAGAGCAGCATGATTTATAATCCTTTGGGTATATACCCAGTAATGAGATCGCTGGGTCAAATGGTATTTCTAGTTCTAGATCCTTGAGGAATCTCCACACTGTCTTCCACAATCATTGAACTAGTTTACAGTCCCACCAACAGTGTAAAAGTGTTCCTACTTCTCCCCATCCTCTCCAGCACCTGTTGTTTCCTGACTTTTTAATGATCACCATTCTAACTGGTGTGAGATGGTATCTCACTGTGGTTTTGATTTGCATTTCTCTGATGGCCAGTGATGATGAGCATTTTTTCATGTGTCTGTTGGCTACATAAATGTCTTCTTTTGAGAAGTGTCTGTTCATATCCTTTGCCCACTTTTTGATGGGGTTGTTTGATTTTTTCTTGTAAATTTGTTTAACTTCTTTGTAGATTCTGGATATTAGCCCTTTGTCAGATGGGTAGATTGTAAAAATATTCTCCCATTCTGTAGGTTGCCTGTTCACTCTGATGGTAGTTTCTTTTGCTGTGCAGAAGCTCCTTAATTTAATTAGATCCCATCTGTCAACTTTGGCTTTTGTTGCCATTGCTTTTGGTGTTTTAGTCATGAAGTCCTTGCCCATGCCTATGTCCTGAATGGTATTGCCTAGGTTTTCTTCTAGGGTTTTTATGGTTTTAGGCTAACATTTAAGTCTTTAATCCATCTTAAATTAATTTTTGTACGAGGTGTAAGGAAGGGATCCAGTTTCAGCTTTCTACATATGGCTAGCCAGTTTTCCCAGCACCATTTATTAAATAGGGAATCCTTTCCCCATTGCTTGTTTTTGTCAGGTTTGTCAAAGATCAGATGGTTGTAGATGTGTGGTATTATTTCTGAGGACTCTGTTCTGTTCCGTTGGTCCATATCTCTGTTTTGGTACCGGTACCATGCTGTTTTGGTCACTGTAGCCTTGTAGTATAGTTTGAAGTCAGGTAGCGTGATGCCTCCAGCTTTGTTCTTTTTGCTTAGGATTGTCTTGGCAATGCAGGCTCTTTTTCAGTTCCATATGAACTTTAAAGTAGTTTTTTCCAATTCTGTGAAGAAAGTTATTGGTAGCTTGATGGGGATGGCATTGAATCTATAAATTACCTTGGGCAGTATGGCCATTTTCACAGTATTGATTTTTCCTATCCATGAGCATGGAATGTTCTTCCATTTGTTTGTGTCCTCTTTTATTTTGTTGAGCAGTGGTTTGTAGTTCTTCTTGAAGAGGTCCTTCACATCCCTTGTAAGCTGGATTCCTAGGTATTTTATTCTCTTTGAAGCAATTGTGAATGGGAGTTCACTCACAATTTGGCTCTCTGTTTGTCTGTTATTGGTGTATAGGAATGCTTGTGATTTTTGCACATTGATTTTGTATCCTGAGACTTTGCTGAAGTTGCTTATCAGCTTAAGGAGATTTTGGGCTGAGACAATGGGGTTTTCTAAGTATACAATCATGTCATCTGCAAACAGGGACAATTTGACTTCCAAAAGAGGTATATATTTTTTTTAAAGGAGGAAATGGATAATATCGCCTCTTAATGAAGGCCACTGCAGCCTTCTCTCAGGCTGTTGCATGGGCATGTTGCTGTAACAAGAGCCATACCACAGAAAGCCTGGAATCTAACTAGGCAAGGATCATCTGAAGCCTAATTTAAGGTCAAATAGTTCCATAAAGGAAATTGTCAGACCTACTGCCAAGTCCTTGAGTAGGCATTTTCTTCTTGGTTTCCATACTTGTTTCTGAGCTTAAACTATCTTAATCTAAAAATTAGTGTTTCATTATCTCATCAAATAAATCTTTATTGAGTACCTGATACATCCCTGGCATTGTTCTAGTCTCTGAGAACAAAATAAACAGGGTCCCTGCCCTCATTCTGTTTCTCATCTGATTGAGACTAATACAACAAGAAAAGTAAGTAATTTTTTTAAATTAAGATAACTTCATAGTAACAGAACAGAAATGGACAAGGAAGTGCCTGTTCTTGACAAAGCAGTCAGGGAAGGCCTCTTGGAGGTGGAGACATTTGAGCAGAGACCTAAAAACTATGCTTGAGCTAGAAAGCCACACGGCTGTGTCATGCCCCCCAAATTGGTCTTGAGGTATATGTTCTTTGTGACACATGAGTTGGAGCTGGCGGGAGACCTTTTGTTGTGTGTCTTCTGATGTGTTTAATGTGGGCTTAGGCTATTCTGAAGATGAGATGCTGAAGCCCTGTTTCTGTTTCTGACACAGAGCTGGGAGTTTGGGATCCCACTGTGCAGGGAGCTGGCGTGTCAGTACGAGAGCCTCTATGATTACCAGAGCCTCAGCTGGATTCGGGTGAGCTGTGCCCCTCCCCCCACCCCAGCCCTGACTGGCATCAGTTTCTAAATGAGCGTTCTCTATGGGCCCAGCCCTTAGTTTAGTGCTGTGGACAATACAAGAGAAACAAAAGCCAAGACTCCTGCCCTCAGGACACTTGCAGTCTGACTAGGAAACCAAAAATAACACCTGACAAATAATTGTATGATCTAGACCCCAAGAGCCACTGGTGCTCAGAGAAGGGAGAAGTGGCATAGGCAGGATAGGATGGTGGTTTCAAGAAGGAGGTGGCAGCTCAACTTCACAGAGAAGCTTTTCCTGGAATGGTTTTGTTTATGGATGCTTCATCCAAAATCTTTTTAAGAGCTTTCCCCACTTTGCTTATGGTCACTTTTAAGCATGTTGTACTTGCTGCCTTCTTTGATGCAGAATATTAAAAAATTAAATCAAATGCTCGATGGCTTTGAAGGTCTGCGCCAAATTTTTCCTGGTTGCTGGTGCTCGGTTCTGAATCATAATGGCTGCTGATTTCATCAGCAAAAAAGAGGCTAGCAGTCTCAACTCACCCTTTCTGCACCCTCATCTTTGTGGCTAACTCTCCTGTTCTATGATCCAGATTGGTGTTTGGGCATGTTCCTCTAGCAGTGGCTTCTTAACCAGTTCTGGCAGGCTGGCTTGATTGAATGCATTATAGCTATCTTCCCAATCAAAGTTGCAGTGAGTTTTTTTCTGAATGTGAAGCCAGGTCAGCCACAAGTAAAAAAGTTACAGACCTTGGAATGCTAGACATCATGGATATTAGTTAGCTTTTCAAGTTTAAAATATCTTAACTTGGAGTGAGTACCAGTGCTGTTGTCATCTGAGCCTTCCTCACTACAGTTGTTAGCATCTTTAGTCAGATGATAGATGAACAAGAGTTGGACTGATGCAAAATGGTGGTGAGAATTGATGGTAGCCAGCTACAAGCAACCTAGTCAGAGGTCAACTGGTATAGTGAGTATTGGTCAAAACCAGAAATCCCCAGGCAGAAAATGTCCGTGTTAAAAGTGTGCCTCCCAAGTACAGTAAGCCCAGATCTCTATAGGGCTGAGTCCATTCCCTAGGAAGGACATTCACAGCAGCTGCACGTGGCTGCAGTGGGCAGGCCTGTCCCCATCCCACCATCAGACAGTGGTGATGGAGGGCTTTCTCTTCCATGATGAAACTCCCTGGAGAGAGGCTGGTCATGTCTAGAGGCTCACTTACTTCTTATCTAGATTGAGTTGCCATGATCCCTTTCCAGAAGACAGTGTCCAGTTGGGCCTGGGAGAACTTCCTTTGGATACCAACAGCAGTCAAGCCAACCTGAAGACCTTTCTCATTCACAGAAAATGGAGGCCAGCTACTATGACAACATTATGGAGCAGCAACGCCTGGAGCCTGAGTTCTTTCGGGTCGGCTTCTATGGCAGGAAGTTTCCTTTCTTTCTTCGGGTGAGTCCATTCAGATGGTCACAAGAACTTATATATTTTACGCATAATTCACTTAAAACCGATATTCTTTTCTTCCCCTTTTTGCCTTTTCTACTGAATACTTCTTTACAGAGGATAAACCAGTTAACAACAGGCATTTGGTTTTATTTGACTGGACTGGCTGCCAACTTCAGACTCTGTTTTAGTCTGCTCTGTTATTCTGTAGCTACCAGGAATGTGTGAGGGTGGCTTTCTTACTAAATCAATGGAGTTTCTTCAGGAAGTGACCAGGGTCTAAGAGTGTGCCATAGGTGCCTTCCAACTTCTGCCTCCAGTGCCTGGAACCTCCATTGTGACTCTTCTCAGCCATATAGGGCACCAGTAAAGCACTGACTTTAACAGTAGACTGGCCTCTTAGGGTTTGTCATCTAAGATGATGGTTTTTCCTCCTGGCTGCACTGTAGCCTGTGCAGCCAGGATGGAGAACTGTTGGTATGAGAGAACCTGAAGAACACAGCATGTGGCTCCTAGGATCCTGAGGGAGCTGCCAAGCACTGGGTTTGGCTGTAGAAAGCCTCTTCTAGGCAGCCAGTTCTCTGACCCAGGATGACAACAGCCTTTTCTCCCTACCGTTCCCTGGCAGGCTGAACTGGAATATAAAAAGAGTGGAAAGGATGACTGAGCATAGATCTACTGACACCAGTTGTGATTTTCTTATTTATTCAGCACAACTCAGAGGCTCTAGGAGTAGTCAACATACACTATAGGCTGAATCCCATAGAGATGTGTTCTCAGATGATCTAAATGAAGCTGCCCTGATGTGTGGGCCCTGGAGCAGTTGAGACCTAATTGCTAATCGCTGATCACCCCCAGTTCCAATATCTTTAACTAAAGTTCACTGTCCACAAGCCTCAGCAAGTAGCTGGGAAAATTCCCTTTGATATGTTTGGGATCCTGTCTTCTTGGAGAAATTGGGTTAGCCAATGAGCAATAACAAGCTTGTTATCACATCAAAGGTCAACCGGGCTTAATAGCTCCTTTAAAAAAAGCTAGTCTGCTAGCGGCAGAGTCCAGGCTAACCACATTGCAGAAGTAAGGCAGGTCAACTTGCACTTTTCTTGGGCAGTAATCATTCTAGGCTAGAAGGAAAAACGATCTGTGTGAGCACTGGCAATATGACAGGGACAGCAAGCTCACTGCCTAATTGTGATCCCCAGGAAGGCTCTAACTCTATTCCACAGGAGTGTTTCTAGTAGCAGAATGGGAATGAGTAGAGAGACTTTTTTTTTTTTTTTTTTTTTTGAGACAGAGTTTCACTCTTGTTGCCCAGGCTGGAGTACAATGGCACGATCTTGGCTCACCGCAACCTCCACCTCCCAGGTTCAAGCGATTCTTCTACCTCAGCCTCCCGAGTGGCTGGGATTACAGGCATGCGCCACCATGCCTGGCTAATTTTGTATTTTTTAGTTGAGACGAGGTTTCTCCATGTTGGTCAGGCTGGTCTCGAACTCCTGACCTTATGTGATCCGCCCGCCTCGGCCTCCCAAAGTGCTGGGATTACAGGCGTGAGCCAATGCGCCCAGCCAGGAATGAGTGGAGAGACTTTCTTAAGAGGACTGGGCCTCCTTCATCTCTAGTGACCATCCAGCCCAGGCATTTTAGAAGTGGCATATTTGCTAGCCCCATCAGCATAGATCATATAAGAATAATGGAAGTGGTGGAAGTCAGCAAAAGAAGTAGAAGCAATTGTACAAGAACTAGAAACCAAAAGCATTTCCAGAAAGTCCTTTGACAAACTAATGATTCTGGTCTTGTAACTTGCCTTTTTCTCATTTTATCTTTTCAAATTATGCTTTCTTGTCATTTTCTTCTTCCTGTATAGATCCACAATTTGTACATCAAAAATGAAATTTCACTATAAAACATCATTATTTTGGATATTACAGAATCAGGCCCTGGTATCCCCTGTTTCTGTTCTGCCAAGCAGGAATGCTCCATCGTAGTCCAACCTGTTTCCCACCCTTTCATGCTCATGTCACAGGACACATTAGTGTCTCAGGGTTGTTGGAGCTTTCTGACAGGTAGGACCTGGCATAAAACCTGCATCTAAGCCATCCACATCATGCTCACAAGTAACAGTCCAAATGTTCAAATGTGGTTTCAAAGACCCTGGGAATGGAGGAAAAATAACAAGAGGTGTTAGGAAATATCACCCATCAATCGATTCCCATCTCCACACAAGATGCAATCTCAACGAGAGGCATAATGCATGTATAATTCATGCATACAAATTTCCTCAGCCAACCCACATGCTACCTTCCCTTATTTCAGCTGCTCAGTTCATCTGTGGCAGAATAATAAGTCCCAGTGGAGGTAGCTCTTTGCCTTGCCCATGGTGGGAATCAGGTACAAAGCAGTGGGGGCCAGATCTGTCTTTTGTGGGGATGCTGGAGCTCTTGCCCAAGTGAATATGAAACCAACAGTCAGCCTCAAGGTCAACACTGTGTGCGTTCTTCCTGCTGGGCCTTCCCCAGAAGGCTAGGCTACTCTCCTACCATCCCTGAATGCACAGGCCATCTATTACTTTAGCTCTATCAGCTTGGTTTCTCTGGGCCATCTGCCTGCCTCGCCTCACAAATGTGATTATCTATTAATCTGCAAAGAGTCAGGAAAACATCCAACCCTCCCTTCTTGAGGGAATTTATATTTCTCATTTGACCCATGAACAGACGTTGATGAGGGTTGTACATATGAATGATATGAAAAGGCTAGTTCTTCACAAGTACTTTCTTTGTCAGTTTTATTTATCAAGCAAAAGATGTAGAAATATCTCTGTCCTTTGACTACTGGTCTGTTCCACTGGAGAGGCCAGCCTGCTCCTCCTGACCTTAACTTTCTTCCTAGCGTTAATCAGAATCAGAATCCCTTCCATTCTGATTCATCCAGACACATGGCCCAGTCTGGGTGCAGTGGCTCATGCCTGTAATCCGAGCACTTGGGAAGGCTGAGGCGGGTGGATCACCTGAGGTCAGGAGCTCGAGACCAGCCTGGCCAACATGGTGAAACCCCATCTTTGCTAAAAATACAAAAATTAGCCAGGCATGGTGCCAGATACCTGTAATCCCAGTTACTTGAGAGGCTGAAGTGGGAGAATCACTTGAACCCGGGAGGCATAGATTGCAGTGAGCCCAGATTGCACCACTGCACTCCAGCCTGGGCAAGAGAGTGAGACTCTTATCTCAAAAAAACAAAAAAACAATACAGACACATGGCCCAGCCTTAGCCAAGTTCTCCCATAGTGAGAGAGGAAGTAAAAATGAGACAGAAATCCTATTTCAAGAAGATCAGGGTCTTACAAGGCCTGCCCTGTGATTAACCCTGTCCCAGGAAGCATATGGCTGGCCCTGTGACGCCTCTCTCTCTCTTTCTTCCTTTGAAGACATGCCAAGAGGGGCTGGCAGTGCCTGATACCATTTTGTTGAAATGGGTCTGGCTAGGCAGTTGGATGGGCAGACTGCATCACCAGTGGGTTTCAGGGGAACTTCCTCCAGCCACCCACTCATGACCAGCTATGACATAGGCAGAGCAAGCAGAGTTGGGGGTGCCTTGTCCACAAAGAGAAAAACTGAGACATAACCAAAAGTAAATGTGACATAACATAAAGTTTTAAGAAGTCTGTACTTAGCATGATGTTTATTTGTTCTGCTGACATGTTTGCAAAGAAATTTGCTGCCAAAGGGTTACTAATGCAATAAACAGTTACTGAATACCTACTGGGCACTGGGCAACATTAGACTGTTTCTCCCAACTAATAAAAGTGATCCTTCAGAATCACACACTTGATCACCACCCCCCCCCCATTTAAAATTATTTGGTGGCACCCATAGCAATCACTCCTTGGTAACATTGGAGTCAGGGTCAGGGTATTCCAAGGCCTGCCCAGTGATTAACCCTGTCCCGGGAAGCATATGGCTGGCCCTGTGATGCCTCTCTCTTTCTTCCTTTGAAGACATGTCAAGAGGGGCTGGCAGTGCCCCCTCTGCCCAACTGCTTCTACCAGTTCTCTACACAGACACCTTCTTTCCAGCTCCACCTTTTCCTGTCTTGATTGTTGTTGCCCTGGTTGTCACGGTACCCACATAGATTGCCCTTCTCCACTCACACCATACCATACCAGCCTGACCTAGGTGGACCTTTCAGGACGTTTTTTTAACATAGCTTTTTCTAAAATCCCATCTCCCACCTTGCTCTCTTTCCTGCGTAAGGTTTTTCTTCTTCTTCCAAGCTTCTTGCAGCCTGTACCCTTCCCTTGGGGCTGCCACACCACAGTGTAATTCTCGCTTTGTTTTTCTTCTGCCTCCTTGAGTGCAATGCCCTGTGCCTGTCCCAGGGCCTGATACAGAGAAGGCTCCTAAGATATGTTTGTGCTATATGTAGCTACTGACTCCAGGGTGGAGGTGGGGGGCTACAAGCAAAGCATACATAGAGTGTGCTCTTCTGTTTGTGGCAGAACAAAGAATACGTGTGCCGTGGCCATGACTACGAGAGGCTGGAGGCCTTCCAGCAGAGGATGCTCAGTGAGTTTCCGCAGGCTGTCGCCATGCAGCACCCCAACCATCCTGATGACGCCATCCTACAGTGCGATGCCCAGTGTATCCTTTGATACTGGGTGGGAGGAGGAGGGCAGGGGCCCTGGGAGGTGAGATCCACCCAGTCAGCTGCCCCTTTACCACATTGCCAACCATACAGGTTTAGATATCCCATAGTCCTAAACCTGAGTGTGTCCTCATTGCTTAGCACACACTTAGCAAGGCACTAATACCTCAAAGAGGAAGCAGTGGCACGCCCTTAGCAGTGGGTGGTCTAGTTATCAGTGGGGCTTCAGGAAGGCCTTTATCCCTCAGGCTGGCTGCTTCCAACAGCTTAATCCTCACCCTGCCCTATGAGGAGTCTGCCCAGGCAGCCAGGAGCAATCACTGTACAGGGTGACTTGGGGTCCTATCAGGGCTCTTGTCACAGGGATACCACCTGTGCTGTGCCCTGCTCCACTCCCATGTGTACTATTGTTGTCCCTTCTCTTCATCAGGCGGACTGGGGCAGGGCCCAAGGATGTGTGGAGCAGGAGAAGATGAGGAGTTCCTTTGGTTTGGTGGCACTTGGAAGTCTGAATGGAAACACTGCCCTTCCCCTCACCTTTCACACACAGCTTCCTTGGGGACCACATGACAGTTGCCATGACTATGGCAAGCTTGTTTCAGAGAAGGGAGGGCAAGTGGACTCTTATCTGCTTTTTTTCCACAAAAATTTCAAACAGTATTTTATTTAAAAGTTGTTCTTCAGTAAATATGCTTTACCTATAGAGGGGAAGCCCAGACCCTTGCAGCCTTCTTTCACTCCCATGGGGTGGATGCCTGCATTCCCCTCTTTCCCTTTGTTTCTTAAAGGGGCACCAGAGAACACTTGGCTGTTGACATCTCACCTTGGCTGAGTGCTCATGAAACTCAACTACTAGAGCAGGGAGAGGGAGAGAGCAGATAGAGATTTACCTAACTGAGCTTGGGTCTGATCTGCCCCTAGAGATGCCACTGCCTCCCCTACTGGGCTGTCAGTAAGGAGCAGGGACTATGGTGCACTTCTCCCCTTTGAGGAGATGACAGGGGTCAGCCTCTCAGGCCCAGCTCTGGCAAGTCTGTGTTTCTCCTTCACTTCCTGCCCAGACTTGCAGATCTATGCAGTGACGCCCATTCCAGATTATGTGGATGTTCTGCAGATGGATAGGGTACCAGATCGAGTCAAGAGCTTCTATCGCGTCAACAATGTGAGGAAGTTCCGGTATGACAGGCCTTTTCACAAAGGCCCCAAGGACAAGGAGAATGAATTCAAGGTGAACAAATCTAGGAAAACGGGCAGTACACACAGCAAGTCCAGGGGCAAGCTCAACTTCCTTGGGAACTCACCACTGTTTTATCCCTCAGGTAGGCAGGGTGTGGCAAAACTTGCCTAACTGCCCATACCTGCCTGTTCCCTCCCTACAGAGCCTGTGGATTGAACGTACCACACTGACCCTGACCCACAGCTTGCCTGGCATCTCTCGGTGGTTTGAAGTGGAGAGGAGGGAACTGGTGAGACATGTCTCAGATGAAGCTGAGCTTCACAACTGCTCCATCAGCCCCAGCTCTGGGGGCCCTTCTCTAAGGACTAAAGAAAAAGAGAGCGTCGGCCACCTGCCTGGCCAAGGCTCCCACAGGTCAACCCTGTGCTAGGATCTTTGTGTACCTTCTCTTATCTAATCCATACAACACCCCTGAGCAGCAGGTATTTTCAACCTCCTACTTTACATATGAGAAAACTATTCTCTGAGATTCAAGAAACCAGAGTGCTCTGATTTCAGAACTAGTGTTCTTCACTATTTGCTGTACTTCCAAGTGCCTATAAATCAGACAACAGAAGTGGAAAGGGTCCAGGGAGTCTCAAGTTCACAGGAACAAGGAAGGGGAATCAATACCACAGATCTTAGACCCCAGCTCTCAGGAAGATGATGAGGGGTTATCATCATTTCTGGGATGACTCTGTGTGCTGTGTGCCCCTAGGTGGAGGTGAGCCCTCTGGAGAATGCCATCCAAGTGGTTGAGAATAAGAACCAGGAGCTACGCTCCCTGATCAGCCAGTATCAACACAAGCAGGTGCATGGCAACATTAACCTGCTAAGCATGTGCCTGAATGGTGTCATTGATGCAGCTGTCAATGGAGGCATTGCACGCTATCAGGAGGTAAGCTGTGGCCACAGGCCAAACCCATGCAGCCAGCCTGGCCAGGAAGGCGGCTCACAGGCTTCTCTTTTCAAGATTATAGTCTCCTTAGGTAGCCTTCCCTACATGCCCTCTCTTGACATGGTCCTGGAATGAGGCCCTAAGCTCCCTATCACTCCCTATTTCTTTGGCACAGTTTGGTAGGGCCTTTTCTTCATTTTTATTCTCTGAACTCTAAGATGGGTAATCTGTAATCCTGATTATGGGAGGATGTTAAGTGCCCTCCAAGAGGAGCCTTGGAGCCCAGCCCGTCAGGAGAAGTGAGTTGTAGGCTGGATAAGAGGCTAGCCCCTACTCCCAGTCCACCAGTCCTGCCTGCCCTACCTAGGCCATCCAGGCTCCATGAGGGACTGGGGTCAGCATCCAGACTTAGATGGCTTGGCCACGTTCAGTCCTTCTCAGACAAAAAAACACACCTCTAATTGCCAGAAGTTCAAACAGGCCAGACTGGTGTATGTACCTATGAGGAGACAGCCTGGCTGCTTTTTAGGTGGCATTAGTGGACTCAAGTCTCCTGGGCCCCACTTAAGTAGTAGTCCTGGGAAGAGTCTTCCTGACTTGGCCTTTCCTTTCACAGGCCTTCTTTGATAAAGATTACATCAACAAGCACCCAGGAGATGCTGAGAAGATCACCCAGCTCAAGGAGCTTATGCAGGAGCAGGTATGTCTTGGAGGGCTTGGGAACCAGCAGCCAGGTGAGAAAAGCCATGCACTACAAGATGAGCAGTTCTCAGGGGCTACTCATGGTTCACAGAGTGGCCTTGTTTGTGACTCTGATAGGTTCATGTCCTTGGAGTTGGGCTAGCAGTTCATGAGAAGTTTGTGCACCCAGAAATGCGGCCTCTGCATAAGAAGCTAATTGATCAGTTCCAGATGATGCGGGCCAGTCTCTACCATGTAAGTTGATCCCTGTCCTGCCCCTGCTGCAGTAGAACCAGGTGTCACTTCCTCCAGACCTACGCCACAAACCAAAGGAAAATAGGAGAGAGGGAGCCTGGGCAGGGGCCGGGGTTGGGGAGAGAGGCTGTCCTCCCTACAGAGGGACAGGGGGCAAGGATGGATGCTATATCCAGGGGAAGGATGCTGAGGATCCTCCCACTCACTCACTCCCAAAGGAGGAGCCAGATTCAAGGGCAGGGAACGTTTTTCAGGGCACTGTGCTAGTAGACAGGTTTTCATATGTGAAGGAAGAGAGCTAACATATATGGCCCACATGTAGGGATCTTTTTGGAGATGTTTTTCATCCCAAGAACCTAAAGAGATAGGCATGGCCTGAGCCAGCCTTCTCTCCCCATCTCCCTCCTCCTCCTCTCTCCCTGTCCTTCTTCATTCTTTCTCCTCCCTCTAATCGTTCTCTTTTCCCTCTTTTTACTCTTCCTCCCAACTCCCTTTTCTCCCTCTGTCTCTCCCTCCCTCTTATTCCCAGCTTCCTCTATCATGTCTCGTGATCCAAGCTCACATCTGAGATAGCCTAGGATGAGCAGTACTTTCATGCTAGCAGTCCTTAAAGGAGTCAAGCAGGTCCTGGGGCTGGACCAGGCTCCTGAAAGTCTCCCTAACTCTGGCCCAGCTCTTCAGCCTCCACAGTAGGGTTTGGCCCAAGGACTTAAACACACAAACAGGACTTATATTCCAGGACCAGTATTCCTTGGCAGGGTCTTAGAGGAAATGCTGACTGGCTGAGGATAGAGCCCCCTATTCACATATCCAAACCTCATTTTCAACTGTGGGGCTGACTCCAAATGTTTTCTAAAGATCCCTTCCTGCTAAACAGGCTGGCTCCCAGATCTTAAGGGATATGAGCCCAATTACCTGCTGCTACCTGGCACCCAAGCCAAGTTCTCTTCTCATCACCCAGGACCACTGGACAGAAGTGGCAGGGAGACAAGAAGTAGAGCTGTTCAATGCTGCACGAGGTTGTCATGAGCAAAAAATTCCCCCTCTAGGGATAACCATGGCCACAGGAGCCCTGAGGGAGGTTGCACTACTTAAACTCAGTGGGCCTGACCCATTTGGGGCGGACCTGCTGTGTTCTTGGATGCTGCAGGTTCTGGTCATCTCCGTCCCTCCAGGCTCCCAGTGCAGGTCTCAGCCTGTGTGGACAAGTGTGGACAGCATGAAAAGAGAAAAAGAAGCTTGTTGTAGTTTGAGAGGTAGGGGCACATTTTCCAGAGGAAAGCCTGGAGATCCTGAAATTTCTCCCTCTGTTAGGATTCTCCCATGGTATTTCAAGGTGAAATATGCAGAGAAGCTCTTTTACATCTCCGCCTTAAAATTGGAGTGTCCATTTAGTTAAGAACTTGGGCAGTATCGCTGAGTCTGGTGGGTATTCATTCCACTACCTCTCATTCCAGGGTCTCCTGCCTGTTTGACTGGTCTCTGCTGTGTGCAAACTTCCCCATCACAGCAGGTGACCCAAGCAGGCTGGAGCCTGGCCAGTGAGGAGGTTCTCTGCCATGTGGGTTGCAGCAAAAAGCACAAAACACTTTCCTATATACATCACGTTCTTCCGTGTGCACACATAGCCTTTCTCCAGCTACAGAAATACATTTTAGCCCTCTGTATGCTTTGGAAGAAGCAGGTGGAAAACCCGGTGCTTCTTCACACCAAGCTCAGAAATATCCCCAGTGGACTTAGGGCCCCTGTTCACTACAGCTTTTGAAGGACGTGAGGAAACCTTAACAGTTGTTTCCTCTGAGTTGTACACAGGGACACAAACAAACATGCTGTCACCCAGTAGGGTTTGAGATCAGAAGTGTCTGCCCAGAAATCTACATACTTAATATGAATTAATTAAGCTAAAATAGAGCTGTGCTATTTTTCAGTTACATACATCAGGATTTTATGTTCTGTCTCCCCGTAGACTGTGTCACAGACAACCCAGGTCACTAAGAGCTGGGCCATTTAGCAGTCTAATAAAACCCAACACCAATCCTTATGTAATTGGTGCCCACCTATTGACAACTAATAATAAGCTCTTCCTCTCCTTCTTCCCAGATCTTGTTCTACTTATTCCGTAGCGAGAAAACCTGTTAACACACTCCTATGAGCTCAGACCAGCTTCAGTTTATTCCAGATGTGCTTCTCTTAATGTGGAGTCAACCTGGGGCCTCGCACACGGCCTTTGGTCTAGGTTCCAGTGCAGTTAGGAGGGTGTTTTAGTCGTGAAGAGGGCATTGCCCAAAGGAAGTCAGCAGTTCAGGTTCAGCCAACCATATGATTCTTTTTTGTTTCTTTTACATTTTTGATCACCAGTCAGTTATTCCCTCACATCCCTTAGTTACTTATTTATTCTTTACTCTCTATGAAGGGGCATTCATTTCTCAACAGGAGTTTCCAGGTTTGGATAAGCTAAGTCCTGCATGTTCAGGCACCAGCACCCCACGGGGAAATGTTCTGGCATCCCATAGCCCCATGAGTCCGGAGAGCATCAAGATGACCCACCGGCACAGGTATGGCCTTAGGGCTGGGGAGGGTTCCCTCTGGAGAGGTGAGTCTAAATTGTCAAGGGTCAGAGGAAAGAGTCCTCATGTATACTCATATTCCCTCTTACCCATGCACACAGCAAACACTTATGTGGCTCCTGCCATAGGACCCACACCCTGCATTCAGTCAGTCACTATCCTGGGTAAGAGAAGTGTATACATGATACTGTGGGAACATGGAGGAGGGGGCATTTGGGGTAAGTCTTGAAGGATAAGTAGATGTTTGCTAGGGGTTAGGAGGGTGATAGGGCAAGATCTAGGAAAATCGACTGACACATGCAGAAGCCTCAAGATATGAACAAGCCAGCCTGGTCAGCACTCTGAGTAGAGCCAAGTGGCTGGAGTGCCGGATTCCAGGGCACGGAAAGGGGATAGGATCAGCTCTGAGTGGGCCTTGTTCATGCAGGCCTTTGGACTTGATCCCAAGGAGAATGAGGATCACCAAGTCAGTTTTAAGGAAGAAACAGCATAGTGATGTGAACATCAAAGACTGGTTTGCCTGGGCTCAACTGAGAATACTGAAAGCCTCTAGGCCAGGAAGGCCAAGTTGGAGGAGGAGACTAGTGAGAGGAGCCCCTCACTTAGGCTTGTTTTCCAGTGTGAGCAGCAGCTCAGCACAGAGTGGGCACTTAGTAAATAAGGGACAAATGAATGAGAAGCTTTCCTGGTATTGCTAGAGGAGAGCTATTGACAAGCCTTTTGGCCACAGATGTGGAAGGAGGCCTGCAGATAGTTCACAGCCGGCTATTTTGGTAGCTTCCCACACTAGGAAGAAGCCTCTGACCAAGAAGCAGATCCCATCATGGTGTGGGGGGGTTGGGGGGTGGGCACTGACCCAGACTAATACCCCATAGAAAGGGGAACCTGAGGTCTTTGACCTGATTTGGCATATCTCTTATTCCTCCTGAGAAACTGCTAATGTCATGCAACTGAGTGGCCATAAGCCATGTAGCTGTAGGTAGAGGCTTGTCCAGTGTACCACACCATTGTCTCTCCCAGACCAAGGGCTCCTGAGTAGCAGGGTACAGCTCAGGACTGCTCCAGGCCTCAGATGGGTATGAGCATTGACTATGGAACCCTCCAAACCGGTGGTAGCTGAAACCAGGGATGACTATTCCACACATTCCGCTCTACTGTCCCCCTGCCACCTGCCATGGGCCTGACTCCTCCCTATTTCCCACTCTTGCTCACAGCCCCATGAACTTGATGGGCACAGGCCGCCATTCATCATCCTCTCTCTCCTCACATGCGTCTAGTGAAGCAGGAAACATGGTGATGCTGGGTGACGGCTCCATGGGTGATGCTCCTGAGGACCTGTACCACCACATGCAGGTACAGAGCTGTCCACGGAGAGTGGGCCAGGGCACCATGCCTACAGAACTCACCTTGCTGTTGCAATGTCTAGTCTGAGGGCTTGGCAACCCTGCCTAATTCTCTAGCTCCTGAATTCAGAACACCCCTCACCAGAGCTAGAAAGCTGCCGTTCCTCCACACACCATCCTAAGTCTCGGTTCCCAGGCCTTATTTCCCAAGAAGAAAATCCAGCTTCAGTCCTGGTTGCTTTAGGAGATCCCACGGGAAAGATCCTCTGCCAGATTGCCCCCTTGCCTGGCATTCCTGTTGGCTTAGCCCTGCTTCCTCCATGGTCACCGTAGTATGGCCAGCCCAACAACTTCGCTCCATATGGGTGGTGTGGGTGGCCCCTAGTTGCCCAGCCATTAGCCTGGCCTCCATCAGGGCTCAGGGGATAGCATAAGGCACTGGGGCAGAACACCTCAGGGCATGAAAAAGCAAACTCTGTGCCAGCCCTAAAGTCCTGGCCATTCAGACCTCTATCCTGCTGATTTTTCTCCCTTTGCAGCTCGCGTATCCCAACCCCAGGTACCAAGGCTCAGTCACCAACGTCTCTGTTCTGTCCTCGTCCCAGGCAAGCCCTTCTTCCTCCAGCCTGAGTTCCACTCACTCAGCACCATCCCAGATGATTACCTCTGCCCCTTCCAGTGCCCGAGGTAAGGATGGCAGGGTGCTACTTGCAGAATGGAGAAGAGAGGTCTTCATCAACGCCACTCGGCTTCCTCTCATCTGTGGCTGTGTCTTTGAGCAGCCCTGTGACTTAGAGAATACTCATTTGTGCTTTTACCACTAAGGACTCGAGAGTTCCTGCCTCCAGGCCTCTTCCCTGGCTGGCTTCAGACTCCGCTCTGAGCAGTGGCTGCCGCTGTGCCGCCATTGCATTTCTACCTCAGTCACAGGACACACAGCTTAGAAGAAAGCTCACTTCTTTCCCATTGAAAGTTTTGCTAGAACAAAGATCAAAGTCTAGGCAAAAGTGAGTCTTTTGTCTTGAGGAATCAGGCATGATGACAAAGTATGAAAAGTAAATCGGGAGACTAAAATTAACCCTGGAAAATGTTATTCTAAAACAATAACAGCAACCAAAAAATTTTTCTTCAGTTGGGAAAGGCTTTCTCAGGAGAGATGGCTCTGTAAAAACCTATTTACTTTGCCAATTATTAGTTGATTTCTTGTTCAGTTGAATGAATATTGTTCTTTGAGAGGCAGCATCTTCGCATCTTTTTCACGTTCTAATCCTAGTTCCCAAGTGAAAGTTGATTCTGTCCTTGTAGACAGAAACATTTGCAGTGGAATGGAAATTAGCTGTGGTACATAGGATCTAGTGCTTCCCAGGGTTGGCTTTGCAGGGTAGTGACAGTGGTCTGAGCTTGCCAGCCAGTCACTTGCTCTTGCTTCCAGGCTTCAGAAGGAGGGAGTCTCTTTGTTCTTCTCATTATTATGAAACCAAAGAAAAATATCACAAATTTATTTATTTATTTTATTATACTTTAAGTTCTATGGTACATGTGCACAACGTGCAGGTTTGTTACTATGTATACATGTGCCATGTTGGTGTGCTGCACCCGTTAACTCGTCATTTACATTAGGTATATCTCCTAATGCTATCCCTCCCCACTTCCCCCACCTGACAACAGGCCCCAGTGTGTGATGTTCCCCACCCTGTGTCCAAGTGTTCTCATTGTTCAGTTCTCACCTATGAGTGAGAACATGCAGTGTTTGGTTTTCTGTCCTTGCAATAGTTTGCTCAGAATGATGGATTCCAGCTTCATCCATATCCCTACAAAGGACATGAACTCATCCTTTTTTATGGCAGCATAGTATTCCATGGTGTATATGTGCCACATTTTCTTAATCCAGTCTGTCATTGATGGACACTTGGGTTGGTTCCAAGTCTTTGCTATTGTGAATAGTGCCGCAGTAAACATACATGTGCATGTGTCTTTATAGTAGCATGATTTATAATCCTTTGGGTATATGTCCAGTAATGGGATGGCTGGGTCAAATGGTATTTCTAGTTCTAGATCCTTGAGGAATCTCCACACTGTCTTCCACAATGGTTGAACTAGTTTACAGTCCCACCAACAGTGTAAAAGTGTTCCTATTTCTCTACATCCTCTCCAGCACCTGTTGTTTCCTGACTTTTTAATGATTGCCATTCTAACTGGTGTGAAATGGTATCTCATTGTGGTTTTGATTTGCATTTCTCTGATGGCCAGTGATGATGAGCATTTTTTCATGTGTCTGTTGGCTGCATAAATGTCTTCTTTTGAGAAGTGTCTGTTCATATCCTTTGCCCACTTTTTGATGGGGTTGTTTGATTTTTTTATTGTAAATTTGTTTAAGTTCTTTGTAGATTCTGGATACTAGCCTTTTGTCAGATGGGTAGATTGTAAAAATATTCTCCCATTCTGTAGGTTGCCTTTTCACTCTCATGGTAGTTTCTTTTGCTGTGCAGAAGCTCTTTAGTTTAGATCCCATTTGTCAATTTTGGCTTTTGTTGCCATTGCTTTTGGTGTTTTAGTCATGAAGTCCTTGCCCATGCCTATGTCCTGAATGGTATTGCCTAGGTTTTCTTCTGGGGTTTTTATGGTTTTAGGCTAACATTTAAGTCTTTAATCCATCTTAAATTAATTTTTGTATGAGGTGTAAGGAAGGGATCCAGTTTCAGCTTTCTACATATGGCTAGCCAGTTTTCCCAGCACCATTTATTAAATAGAGAATCTTTCCCCATTGCTTGTTTTTGTCAGGTTTGTCAAAGATCAGATGGTTGTAGATGTGTGGTATTATTTTTGAGGGTTCTATTCTGTTCCATTGGTCTATATATCTGTTTTGGTACCAGTACCATGCTGTTTTGGTTACTGTAGCCTTGTAGTATAGTTTGAAGCCAGATAGTATGATGCCTCCAGCTTTGTTCTTTTTGCTTAGGATTGTCTTGGCAATGCAGGCTCTTTTTTGGTTCCATATGAACTTTAAAGTAGTTTTTTCCAATTCTGTGAAGAAAGTTATTGGTAGCTTGATGGGGATGGCATTGAATCTATAAATTACCTTGGCAGTATGGCCATTTTCACGATACTGATTCTTCCTATCCATGAGCATGGAATGTTGGAACTTCCATTTGTTTGTGTCCTCTTTTATTTTGTTGAGCAGTGGTTTGTGGTTCTTCTTGAAGAGGTCCTTCACATCCCTTATTAGTTGGATTCCTAGGTATTTTATTCTCTTTGAAGCAATCGTGAATGGGAGTTCACTCCTGATTTGGCTCTATGTTTGTCTGTTATTGGTGTATAGGAATGCTTGTGATTTTTGCACATTGATTTTGTATCCTGAGACTTTGCTGAAGTTGCTTATTAGCTTAAGGAGCTTTTGGGCTGAGACAGTGGGGTTTTCTAAATATACAATCATGTCATCTGCAAACAGGGACAATTTGACTTCCTCTTTTCCTAATTGAATACCCTTTATTTCTTTCTCCTGCCTGATTGCCCTGGCCAGAACTTCCAACACTATGTTGAATAGGAGTGGTGAGAGAGGGCATCCCTGTCCTGTGCCAGTGTTCAAAGGGAATGCTTCCAGTTTTTGTCCATTCAGTATGATATTGGCTGTGGGTTTGTCATAAGTAGCTCTTATTATTTTGAGATATGTCCCATCAATACCTAGTTTATTGAGAGTTTTTAGCATGAAGGGCTGTTGAATTTTGTCAAAGGCCTTTTCTGCATCTATTGAGATAGTCATGTGGTTTTTGTCTTTGGTTCTGTTTATATGATGGATTACGTTTATTGATCTGCATATGTTGAACCAGCCTTGCATCCCAGGGATGAAGCTCCCTTGATTGTGGTGGATAAGCTTTTTGATGTGCTGCTGGATTCAGTTTGCCAGTATTTTATTGAGGATTTTTGCATTGATGTTCATCAGGGATATTGGTCTAAAATTCTCTTTTTTTGTTGTGTCTCTGCCAGCCTTTGTTATCAGGATGATGTTGGCCTCATAAAATGAATTAGGGAGGATTCCCTCTTTTTCTTTTGATTGGAATTGTTTCAGAAGGAATGGTACCAGCTCCTCTTTGTACCTCTGGTCGAATTCGGCTGTGAATCCATCTGGTCTTGGACTTTTTTTGGTTGGGAGGCTATTAATTATTGCCTCAATTTCAGAACCAGTTATTGGTCTATTGAGGGATTCAACTTCTTCCTGGTTTAGTCTTGGGAGGGTGTATGTGTCCAGGAATTTATCCATTTCTTCTAGATTTTCTAGTTTGTTTGCATAGAGGTGTTTATAGTATTCTCTGATGGTAGTTTGTATTTCTGTGGGATCGGTGGTGATATCCCCTTTATCATTTTTTATTGCATCTATTTGATTCTTCTCTCTTTTCTTCTTTATTAGTCTTGCTAGTGGTCTATCAATTTTGTTTATCTTTTCAAAAAAAACCAGCTCCTGGATTCATTTATTTTTGAAGGGTTTTTTGTATCTCTATCTCCTTCAGTTCTGCTCTGATCTTAGTTATTTCTTGCCTTCTGCTAGCTTTTGAATGTGTTTGCTCTTGCTTCTCTAGTTCTTTTAATTGTGATGTTAGGGTGTCAATTTTAGATCTTTCCTGCTTTCTCTTGTGGGTATTTAGTGCTATAAATTTCCTTCTACACACTGCTTTAAATGTGTCCCAGAGATTCTGGTATGTTGTGTCTTTGTTCTCATTGGTTTCAAAGAATATCTTTATTTCTGCCTTCATTTCGTTATGTACCCAGTAGTCATTCAGGAGCAGGTTGTTCAGTTTCCATGTAGTTGAGTGGTTTTGAGTGAGTTTCTTAATCCTGAGTTCTAGTTTGATTGCACTGTGGTCTGAGGCACCGTTTGTTATAATTTCTTTTCTTTTACATTTCCTGAGGAGTGCTTTACTTCCAATTATGTGGTCAATTTTGGAATAGGTGTGGTGTAGTGCTGAGAAGAATGTATATTCTGTTGATTTGGGGTGGAGAGTTCTGTAGATGTCTATTAGGTCCGTTTGGTGCAGAGCTGAGTTCAATTCCTGGATATTCTTGTTAACTTTCTGTCTCATTGATCTGTCTAGTATTAACAGTGGGCTGTTAAAGTCTCCCATTGTTATTGTGTGGGGGTCTAAGTCTATTTGTAGGTCTCTAAGGACTTGCTTTATGAATCTGGGTGCTCCTGTATTGGATGCATATATATTTAGGATAGTTAGCTCTTCTTGTTGAATTGATCCCTTTACCGTTATGTAATGGCCTTCTTTATCTCTTTTGATCTTTGTTGGTTTAAAGTCTGTTTTATCAGAGACGAGGATTGCAATCCCTGCTTTTTTTTTGTTTTCCATTTGCTTGGTAGATCTTCCTCCATCCCTTTCTTTTGAGCCTATGTGTGTTTCTGCATTTGAGATGGGTCTCCTGAATACAGCACACTGATGGGTCTTGACTCTTTATCCAATTTGCCAGTCTGTGTCTTTTAACTGGAGCAGTTAGCCCATTTACATTTAAGGTTAATATTGTTATGTGTGAATTTGATCCTGTCATTATGATGTTAGCTGGTTATTTTGCTCGTTAGTTGATGCAGTTTCTTTGTAGCGTTGATGGTGTTTACAATTTGGCATGTTTTTGCAGTGGCTGGTACCGGTTGTTCCTTTCCATGTTTAGTGCTTCCTTCAGGAGCTCTTGTAAGGTAGGCCTGGTGGTGACAAAATCTCTCAGCATTTGTTTGTCTGTAAAGGATTTTATTTCTCCTTCACTTATGAAGCTTAGTTTGGCTGGATATGAAATTCTGGGTTAAAAATTCTTTTCTTTAAGAATGTTGAATATTGGCCCCCACTCTCTTCTGGCTTGTAGAGTTTCTGCTGAGAGATCTGCTGTTAGTCTGATGGGCTTCCCTTTGTGGGTAACCTGACCTTTCTCTCTGGTGGCCCTCAACATTTTTTCCTTCGTTTCAACTTTGGTGAATCTGACAATTATGTGTCTTGGAGTTGCTCTTCTTGAGGAATATCTTTGTGGTGTTCTCTGTATTTCCTGAATTTGAATGTTGGCCTGCCTCGGTAGGTTGGGGAAGTTCTCCTGGATAATATCCTGAAGAGTGTTTTCCAATTTGGTTCCATTCTCCCCATCATGAATAGGAACACAACGAGTCTGCAGCTCCCAGTGTGACTGACACAGAAGACAGGTGATTTCTGCATTTCCAACTGAGGTACTGGGTTCATTTCACAGGGGCTTGTCAGACACTGGGTGCAGCCCACGGAGCAGGGCGGGGCATTGCCTCACCCAGGAAATGCAAGGGGTCGGGGAGTTACCTTTCCTAGCAAAGGGAAGCCGTGACAGATGGTACCTGGAAAATCGGGACACTCCCACCCTAATACTGCGCTTTTCCAGTGGCCTTAGCAAAGGGCTCACCAGGAGATTATATCCTGCGCCTGACTCAGGGGATCCCACACCCATGGAGCCTCTCTCACTGCTAGCACAGCAGTCTGAGATTGAACTGCAAGGAGGCAGTGAGGCTGTGGGAGGGGCATCCGCCATTGCTGAGGCTTGAGTAGGTAAACAAAGCGGCTGGGAAGCTCGAACTGGGTGGAGCCCACTGCAGCTCAAGGAGGGCTGCCTGCCTCTGTAGCCTCCACCTCTGGGGGCAGGGCATAGCTGAACAAAAGGCAGCAGAAACTTCTGCAGACTTAAACGTCCCTGTCTGACAGCTTTGAAGAGAGTAGTGGTTCTCCCAGCATGGAGTTTAAGATCTGAGAACGGACAGACTGCCTCCTCAAGTGGGTCCCTGAACCCTCAGGAGCCTAACTGGGAGGCACCTCCCAGTAGGGGGCGACTGACACCTCATATGGCAGGGTGCCCCTCTGAGACAAAGCTTCCAGAGTGAAGGATCAGAAAGCAACATTTGCTGTTCTGCAGCGTCCACTGTTGATACCCAGGCAAACAGGGTCTGGAGTGGACCTCCATCAAACTCCAACAGACCTGCAGCTGAGGGTCCTGACTGTTAGAAGGAAAACTAACAAACAGAAAGGACATGCACACAAAAACCCCATCTGTACGTCACCATTATCAAAGACCAAAGGTAGATAAAACCACAAAGATGGGGAGAAACCAAAGCAGAAAAGCTGAAAATTCTAAAAATCAGAGCACTTCTCCTCCAAAGGAACGCAGCTCCTCGCCAGCAATGGAACAAAGCTGGATGGAGAATGACTTTGACAAGTTGAGAGAAGAAGGCTTCAGATGATCGGTAATGACAAACTTATCCGAGCTAAAGGAGGATGTTTGAACCCATTGCAAAGAAGCTAAAAACCTTGAAAAAAGAGTAGATGAATGGCTAACTAGAATAAACAGTGTAGAGAAGTCCTTAAATGACCTGATGGAGCTGAAAACCATGGCATGAGAGTGACGTGATGCATGCACAAGCTTCAGTAGCCGATTCGATCAACTGGAAGAAAGGGTATCAGTGATTGAAGATCAAATGAATGAAAATGAAGCGAAAAGAGAAGTTTAGAGAAAAAAGAGTAAAAAGAAATGAACAAAGCCCCCAAGAAATATGGGACTATGTGAAAATCTACGTCTGATTGGTGTAATAGCACAAATGTATGACTTGGGAAGTCATTAAGAAAAGAAGCTCTCTAAAGCACACAAACCCATGAAGCCCACAGTAGGAGTGATGGAGAGAAGCCCACAGTAGGAGTGATGGAGAGAAGCCCACAGTAGGAGTGACTGCTGTATGGCACAGTGAAAAGATGCAGTGACCACCTGGGAAAAGCCTTGGCAGATTGTAGAGGGAAGTGGAGTAAGGTTGCAGCAGGCACAGTCAGACTTCACCTGAAGTATTCAGACCAAGCCCTCATTTCCAGGGCAAGGGAATTAAGGCCACCTAGCCAGTTCACAGCCAAGCTAAGTTTGGGGCACAGATCTTTACACTCACCAGCCCTCACTCTCATGCCCATTCCACTGCCCATATTGCCTCCCTAGCATGGACTCTGAGGTCAGAAAAGGGGAGCCAGCATTTGAAAGCAGACATTTCTAGTACTAAATAGGACAAATGAACCAAAAGATCGGTGCATGCTGAAGATTTGTCAGTATGTGAAAGCTGCAGACATAGAGAAGGAGCAGTGATATGTGTTATCAAGAAGGCACACTGAAAGACGGCCTTGGGAATAAAAAGAAAAGAAACCCTGAGCCATGAGTGCCACAGTCAAGGTTGGCATTTATAGTGTCTTCAGGTAAATAGTCCTGAATAGAGCTGCAGAAACAGTTTCTGTAATCCCTTCTGGTTTTGTTTTTTTCCCTAACCTAAAGCGTCTCTAAGATATGTTCTGACATATCTAAGACTTTATCTGGTATTCTTGCTGAGGACAGATCTCTGAATCATGATGATTGATAAACACAGAAGGCAACCAAGGATGGACATTTGAACTCAAATGCACTCTGACATTGGTCAGACACTTCCTCTAGGCTGTTCCAGATACTTAGTGTCCTGAAAAGAAGAAAGAGGAGGAATAAGCAGGCCCTGCTCTTGGGGACCTCACAGGCTGGCGGTTACCACCTTTTCCTTCCAGCCGTTGACTGATTTATTCACTTATCAAGCTTTTACTGAATGCTCAGTGAGGAACCTGCATGGCTCTTGCCACGGGGGCAGGTGGTGCACTATGTCAGTGCTGAATAGAGAGAAATTATCTTCTTGTCTGGAAATAACTCATTTTTACTTCAAATGGCTTGGTTATCTGTTGCTGCATAATAAGCCACCCCCAAAACTTCTTAAAACAATCTATTATCATCTCTTATTCTGTGGGTTTACAGGGCTCACTGAGCAATTCTCACTTGGTGTCAGATGTCACTGGCTGGAATCATCTAAAAGCTCAGGTGGGCTAGATATTCGAGATGGCTCACATACATGGCTGGCAATTGATGCTGGTGGTCAGCTTGGGGTGCGACTGGGGCTGTCAACTTGAGCTCCTACATATGACCTTTCCATGTGACTTAGGCTTCTCACAGCATGGCAGCTGATTTTCCCCAGAGAAAGCATTCCAAGAGACCCAGGAAGAAGCCTCAAGGCTCGTTTTTACCCAGCCTTGGATGTCCCAGGAAGTCCCCACGTTTCTAGTCTCCTCAAGTCACTAATGTCAACCCAGATACCAGAAAGAGGAATGAGATTACACCTCATGTTGTAAGGAATGGTGTGTGTGTTTTGGGACAGAAGGTGTTGATGGTCACCATTTTTGGAGATGAGCTGTCACAATGGCCAAACTCCAGAATATCACACAGAGGAAGGCTGAGAGAAGCCCCTTCCCTTTTGGGGGTAAACATTAAGTGCAAAAATAAACAAAATGGTTAAACAGAACTGGGCCCAAAGAGAACAGTGACAAGATCAGAGGCAGTAAGAAAGAAAGCAAGTCCCTTCTAGACCACAACTTCCATACCATCCATGTGCAGGCTCATCTGGAGAAAGGTGCAGGTCCTACATCTATCAAGCACAGTGTTAGGCCCTGGGAGACAAAATAGAAGGGTCTGTGTGACATGGCATCATAGAGAAAGACTGATACTTTCAAATGTATGTAATAGATGTTGTAGTAGATACACTCTGGGCAAAGAAGGGAGGAAACAGTCCACTCTGTTTGAAGTTTGTGTTTGGTATTACCAGGGAGGGGAAAGCTTTCGTAAAGGTGATCTTGAGGGAAGCCTTTGCATTGGGGTTACTTCCCCCACTCCCAAGAGTGGTCATGAGACCAGTGGTCTTCCTTGCCATACCCATGGACACTGCTGTGATTCCTGTTGCTTTGGAAATGTCTGAGAGGAATGGCCTGCAAGGCCCCTCACACGGATCAGGATATTGAGTATGCAGATGTGGGGTTTTCTTTATGAGCCAGGCTGTGAGCTCCATGAGGTGAGAGACCACGGACAACCTGAGCAAGACAGTATACAAGGTTCCAATCACATGCTTGGTGTGGAATGGGCATTAGATATGGGTTTGATGTTACTGAGTTGGTCTAAAGGTGCTGTGTGTTTTTCGGTGCATACTGAACAGAGAGTAGTCCTGTCTAGAGCTGTGGGCTGCAATGCTCAGGAAGCATTCTGAGAGTTTCTTGCTGGGAAAGCACTGTATCGGTCAATGAGAATAGGTGCTTTTTTCACCTAAACTCTTGTGAGTTGACAGCTCCCCCTGCTGATCAAAAGGCTGATTGGAGCTAGGAAACAGGGATTTTGAATAATCCTTAAGTAATTCGTTGACACTGGGGTTTACTAGACTACAACTCACATAATTCAGAAGTCCCATGAACACAGAAACCCTTGTGTTGTTCAAATGTTTTCATGAAAAGTAACCATCACCTTCTCCTACCATGGGATTGGCTGCCCAGGGCAGAGGGCAGGGGGAGGGAAGTGAAGTGGTAGAGTTAAAAATTTTAGTGGTGGCACAGAGCACCCCTTTGTGGCCACCATAGCCCAGAGAGACCACCATAACATGAGTCTGAATCTTCAGCAGAGCCCCTGAGCCCTGGCTACAGCCTTCAGGCTGCTATATCTCCATCCTAACCCCCTCACACGGATCAGGATATTGAGTATGCAGATGTGGGGTTTTCTTTATGAGCCAGGCTGTGAGCTCCACGAGGTGAGAGACCACGGACAACCTGAGCAAGACAGTATACCAGGTTCCAATCACATGCTTGGTGTGGAATGGGCATTAGATATGGGTTTGATGTTACTGAGTTGGTCTAAAGGTGCTGTGTGTTTTCCGGTGCATACTGAACAGAGAGTAGTCCTGTCTAGAGCTGTGGGCTGCAATGCTCAGGAAGCATTCTGAGAGTTTCTTGCTGGGAAAGCACTATATTGGTCAGTGAGAATAGGTGCTTTTTTCATTTCTCTTTACATAGCCATCTTCTTGAGGTTGCCTAAGAGTACAGGTTCTAAAAGAGAACATAGAAACCAGTAAAATCACAAAATAGCAATTCAGGTCGAGTTTTAAAAATCATATTTTAGTCATTCTCTTACAAGTGAAAGGACATTTTTTAATGACTGGGTCTTAAAGCCAGCCCTGAGGTTCTACAAACAGGATCACTCAGACCAACTGTGGAAAAAGTTACATTACTGGTATTTATTACGCTGACTTCTTCAAAGTATTTTAGCCTCATCTTCTTGGACTGAAATGAATACAAGAGGAATTTCTCAAGGACTCCTTTGGCAAGCTGGCTGAAGAAGACGTATTTTTAGCTGTGTCCTGACAGTGCTGGCACTGCACACTCAAAGGAAAGCCCCAGAGACCCTGAGTTCCAGAGACACAGAGCCTCTAGGAGCTGCAGATTGACCCCAGCTGCAGATTCAGCTGGAGCCCATGGGTTGGTCTAAACTACCCAACTTCACTCAGAGGACACCCCAGAGAGGGGTTTCAACCAATAGAGCCAGGCAGAGGCTTGAGATCCAGGTGATCCTCCTGTGAGGGCTCCGATTCCCCCAGTGGTTTCTCATGGATATGCTGGTATCTGGTACAATGAGCACATTTGGAGGGCCTTCCAAATTACCCATTCCCCCAGGAAAGCCAGCAAGTTACTCTTATTGCTTCTGTGGAAGATCTTCTTAAGGACCATGGGTTGACAAGTTCCTGGACCTACGGCTATGGTCTGAATCCATGGGGACAGAGTCACACCACATGTGGCATGGTGTGGCCTCCATAACAGTCCCTCAGACTAGGGGAAATCACTGCAGAGGCCTCACAGGAGTAGAACATGAATCAAGTCAACTAAAGAGCCTGAGTTAAAGCCCCATAATTTCCACATTAGTTCCATGAACCCTGAGTTCACGGAAGGGCAAGTGTCACAGAGCAAAACCCCGGAGAGCAACCTGTGTGCAGAGCCCTGGCCCCCAGCCAGCCTGGCTCTAGGGCTGCAGTAGGACTGGCAGGAAGGCAGAGGCCAGGTGCTGGGACCTAGAATCTGGAAGGGAGAAGCCTCTGAGAAAAGTCGGTAGGGAGCCAGGTGAGAACAGGGCCAGTGGTGTCAGGAGAAGGTAAGTGCGTAAAGACACAGTATGTCAAGTAATAACAGTGTGGCTATGTTATCTGAGTGTCTCTGTCTCTGTGTGAGTGTCTCCATTGCAAGCTGGCCTGTTCCCATGCCTGGACCCCAGGAGAGCCCAGCATACAGGCCACACCCATTTCCTGATAGTGCTTGATGCAGGGAGCCCCTAGCCACCCTGCTCCAGTTCTTAACTCTCCTCACCCTCTGCTTCTGAGCATGGTGGGGACTCTGTCAGCGGATCTGCATCTCACCAGCCTGCTGTATGTCAGCCTTGGCTGGGACATGAGGTGCAGCCACTGCCACCATCTAACAACCAGACTCTGCTTCATTCCTCCTGTGCTTGCTGAGTTCATCCTCACCCTAACTGTAAGGGACACCTACCCTGGTTCCCTAGTCCTGAGGATGCTTGACTGCTGGACCCTCCATCTGTGGCTTGTCATCTGTGCTTGATTGTTCTCACTTGGTTACAGGCTCTCCCTCTCTGCCAGATAAGTACCGCCATGCCCGTGAAATGATGTTGTTGCTGCCCACATACCGGGACCGCCCAAGCAGTGCCATGTATCCAGCAGCCATCCTGGAGAACGGACAGGTAATAGACCCACCACACTGACTGTCCTCTGCTGCAAGTGTGTTAGCCTGTGCTTCCCTCCTTGCATTTGCGGGGCCTTCTGCATTGTCCTACATGGCTCTCTCATTCCGCTGTAAGATCCCGCAAAAGGCCGCTGGGCTTCTGGATGTGGAGTGCAGTGAACCTGAGGACCAGCAATCCAGACAGAGTGTAGGCGTGAGTAGAATGGTGGCAGGAACCACCATTGGAACCAGCATTGCTCATGTAGCTATCTGTCCTTCCCGCCAGATCCTGGACTCGTCATCCCTAAACAGTCTAGCAAAGGTAATTGGTTCTTTGCAGCCTGTTCTGAGAAGGCAGTGGTGGACACATTGGTCTGGAAGATGTTCTTCCTCCCTATTTGTGGGGCATCCTCACTGGAACAAACTCTGCCTCTTTTATTCATCCATCCAACTGAAGTCCCTCACTACCTGCTGGGGCTGTTCTACATGCCATTTGCACAGCTCTCCAAATGCTCTGCCTGGGGACCTTGAACAAGAAGCTGTAGGGATTAACTCCCTCCCTTGGGCAGTCTGTCCCTGCCCTTCTATCAGGGTCCATAAAAGTCACCTCTCAGTGACCATTACCTAGCCTCAGAATGCCAGGAGTTTCTTAGTGGTACCTCCCTGTGCCTGATTGGCTCTGCCAGGTAGAGGGATGAGATCTGCTTGGCAGCTGCCCATTAAAACAGCAAGTCCTGTCTGTGACTCTAGGCTTGATACTGTCCTTTCCTCTGCCTTCAGTGCTAGCATGGGCCTGTGCAGGGCCTCTCCAGGAGGCTAAACCTGTCAGTGCTCATGGGGAAGTGGGGATCTCTCTAGCCAGACAAAAGGATGCAAACAGATGCTCCCAGGTAGCTATGTTCTGTTTCTTGGGCCCTACATAAGACAGCTGGGTCCTAGCCAGATACTGGAGGATGGTATTGCAAATATTGTGTATAGAAGCACTGAGAACCAGACACCCTGGACAGTCTTTCCTAGGGCTGGCCTGGGGGTCTCAGTATATCTCAAGTGTGAGCTGTGCCACTGCTTTGTTTTCCCCGTCTGATCTTGTAGTGTCCTGTCTCTCGTCGCCCACAACACTGCCTCCCAAGATATAATTGGTTGTTTTCACTCTCTGTAATGTTTATCTCCTTCCTTCAGCCGCCGAATTTCCAGCGAGCCCTGTTCCAGCAAGTGGTCGGAGCCTGCAAACCCTGCAGTGATCCCAATCTGTCTGTGGCTGAAAAAGGTATTGTTGCCCAGGTGGCCTTCCCCCCATGTCTGTCCCCATCCTGAGTGTCTGACTCTTGTCCCTGAGTACCAGCTGGCCAGGGCTAAGCCATACTTCAACACTCAGGTCTGTCCGTCTGTCCAGAATTCTGACCAGTTCTTGTGCTCACTATTTAACCCATGTCTGACTTGATGCTAAGGTTTATATCCTGTATCCCTCCTTCCTCAGGGCCTACCCTCAGAGGTCCCAACTGCCTCCTGCCCTGAGCCCACCTTTATGGAAACTTGGGCTTCTGTGTGCAAACTGTAGAAAACTACTTCCCTAGACTCCTCCCAGCCACCCCCAGAATTCAGCAGGCCTTGTGGCCCCTTTGGTCCCTCTCAGCTTGGGCCCTCAGGGATCTTTCCTTGGAGCTCAGAACAGGCCGTGGCCAAACAAGCCCCAAGAGGAAGGGGAAAGACATGCTATTTCCCAAAGACAGGCTTCTCCAAGTGAAGCCCAGGGTGCCCCAAAGGAGTCCGGTCCTTCTGTAGCCACTCTGGCCAGCAGCTGCTGTGAATCCATCTTTTATTGCAAGGCCACCAACCATACTGTGAGACTGAGCAATCCTCCTTAGACCTGTGGCTGTTTAGAGAGTGGGCATTTTACCCTGTGTTCTGCTTCTGCAAGCCGATGGAAGAAGCAGACTCAGACCTCAGACACGGAGATCTGAGTTAATTTTAACAGAGAGTAATACTAAGTGCTGAGCCTTCCTGCCACCCAGAACCTGGCCTCATATCCGCCCCTCTCCTCACAGGTTCTCTGCCTAGCTGCTCCATCTATTGGAGTTTAGGGCACACTCAGTTCCCACCAATACAACCTGTCATCCCCTATTCCATCAGAACATGTCCCTCCAAAGCTGTCATCATCACGTTATCATCGTATCTGTTCATCGAGTGCTATGTGCTGTCCCCACTGTTATGCTCCGCCTTTGCTCATCATGGAGGACATACCTCTGTGTCCTCTTTAAAGAGACAAAACACTGATGGGCACTGAAGCTGGGTGCCCCACCACAAAGGGCCTGGAGACTGGCTGAAGATGCCTTCATAGCTTCAAGGTCGTATATCCCGAAAACATGCAGCTTCTTGGACTTCTGCACCTGTGACCCAAAACAGAGTGCCCTTTTCGCCTGGAGGGCCAGAATCCACAGTGGCATTTCTTCAGCTGAGATGCAGAGCAACGTCAGAAGTAGCCAAGAGTCTAGACAGGCTTAGAGCTCAAACAGGTGCTGGTGGCCAGACCAGGACCCTACCCCAACCAGACACATTAGCGCTTCAGGCCTCAGGCCAAGGCCAGACTACGACTACATCAAGGAGCTGGACATGCCCACCCCTAGGTGTGGAAGGAAAGGAGGGTTGTCTCAGAACAGAGGCTGAGCCCAGAGCAAGCATATCCGTACCACAAGGCCAGCATTTAGAAGGCAGCTAATCAGACATTTGCCCAGTGGCAACACACAGGCCAGAGCGTAGCTCCCTAAGTCTCTACCTGGATCCTCCAGGGCAGGAACTATACATACTTGTCATCATTCTCTTGTCTGTCAGGGTTCTGAGTCCCATGAGGACTACATCTCTCACTTACAGGTATCTCTTTTTGCCGTGCAGTGACTCCCAGATCAGGTGAGCCTGCCTTCAGGACCATGGGCTATGCACTGGCGGCCTCAGGCCAGTGCTGGACAGTTGTTAATGGTGAGGGAGGGAGGCGACAGGATACAGTTGGGATCACCCTTCTTTTCCTAGGATAAGTCATTCTGTATTAGCCTTCCCTCTAGCCCCAGTGCATTTATGCTACATGGCAAAGGTCTACTGGCCCCACTGCTCACAGACATCAGGCTGCAGGGCAAACTTGATGGCTTCTGGTTTATATGGAGTCACTCAGGCAGGCACCCTTTTGTAAACCATTAAAGCCCTGTAAGCCTTCTTCTCCCATAGCCTTCCTGCCCTAGAGCTCCTTTGAGCCCTTGTGGGTGAACATCTGCACCCCATAATTCTTCCAGGGCTAGGTGTGCATCTGAGATCCTGGGCTGTCAGAACCCCTTTAGGGAAGCCGCCCAGACCCATTTCTAAGCTTCCTATTCCCTGATATTTCTTTGGTGGCTTTTTATGGAGAAGGTGATTTTTTTGGCAGAGAGGGGAAGGTACAGGGAGCCTCAACACCAAGAAGCTCATGCTGCATCTTGTAGGGAGCATGGGTGAGTGGGCCTGTTCTTGGGATGGCTCAGGCTCTCTAAGGAGGCTATTTGGTGAAATCCACCTGATGCTCATCAGATGCAGAATTCTTTCCTCCTTTCAGGCAACAGCTAAGTGTCTTGCCTGCAACTCAATCACTGGCACACCCCTCCTTCCTGCCGCCAGCTATCAACCATACCAGGAGACGGGGCAATTCTCAGAACTGAGGCTGTTTAGACAGTGGAGTTTTACCCTGCGTTCTGCTGCAAGCTCACGCCAGTTCCTGCGCAATGAGGAAGAAGAGGATGATGGATGTCACAGTCTTATCCCTGGACAGCTGAGGGGGCCCAGCCCCTCTGGCCACATCCTTTTCAAAGGACAGACTCTAGCTCCTTCCCTTCCAAAGCCTGTCAGCTCCCATTAGGCCCTGAAATTCCCATCTCTGTGTCTAGGCCAGGAAGAAACCAAACCTCAGCCACCTCAGGCTCAATGTAGCTACCACGGCCTTAGAACAAATCCAGTGACAGCACCTGGATTGTGAGCCGCTTCTCTGCTGCTAATAGCCCAAAGGGGAGAGTTGCCTGGCTCCAACAGAGAAAGGACATATTTCTTTTTGCTGGTATTTGTTCTCTAGGAGGAGCTGGCCAAAAGAATTCACATGTCCACTGCTGCTTCTGCAGAGTGGCACCCTCAGACCCCAAGGTCCAGCCATCATTCCTCTCTCCTCCTGAAAAGTCTGTCATCCCAACTGTGGCTGAGGGGACAGTATTCTGGCAGTGGACTCCTTCTTTAACACAGAAGGGCACTCTGTGCTTCCCTTTTTCCTGGGCCCACTGCACCCCTGCATCCATGGCATGTGGGTGCTAGGAACTGGGGTTCTGTAGACGCCAAAGGGTACTCATCGGCTCCACAGCCCTCCCTCCTCCTGTTAGGAAGCAGTGGGTCCAGCTGGATCTGGGCTGCAGTTTCTTCCAACAGGTACCTGTCCTTGCTCCCTGCTTTTCCCACTGAGCCTGGGCAGTAGGAGAGCTGACTCTAGACTTTGGCAAGGAGCTCTATGTCCTGTGCTCTCTCTATATTCTCTCATTCTCATCTCTACTCTTCTGTCCTGTTTTCTCTTCTCCTCCTGGCAGATCCCAGAGGCTGCAGGCGTTCACTCCTTGCTGCACATTCAGCTATCTCATCCTGAATACTCTTTAGACATAAACTCACTCTGTTGCCCTCCTCTTAAGCAGCTTCAATCCCTGGCCACTCTCCCCTGTGGACCACAGTGCCTTGCTTGGCCAGCGTTTTTAGTTCCAGGTGCTGGCATGCCCCACATGTGTGCTGGATACGTGGTGCACACTGGAGAAGCCACAAGCTGTACTTCTCCCAGAGGGTGGCTCAAGAAGTAACCTCCCTTCATGCCATCTGTTTCCACCCTTCAGCTGTGCCAGCAGCCCCCAGCAGCTGGAGTCTGGATAGCGGAGCCCAAGAGGCCCAGCCCTTCCTGTCTGCCCATATGGGGCGCATCCTGGCCCCCCCAGTGCCTCCCCGAAGCCTGCTGCATGGTAAGAAGACCTCCAGCGGGTCCCCCGATAGTCCCTGGTCTCAGACTCTGCTCAAGGGCCACAGCAACAGCCATCTAAGCTGAGAAGATGGGCCATTCTCTGGGCCGACTCAGCCAAAGCCAAAACACCCCCACCACAGGAAGGATCCTGCTGGGCTTTGGGGTCAGTGAGGTTTCCGAGTACAGCAGGTTAGCTCAGGAAGGCCATCCCAACCAGAAGGCTGAAGACAATGGAATTGACTGTGCCAGGCACACTTCTCACCAGACTGTCTCATCGCCTAGCAGTGGGCTAGAGCTGCCGCTGCCTGAGGCCTGTTCCACAGACTCTGAAGCACTCAACTTCTCTGACTTCCTGTGTGGAGTGAGTTTCTTTTACCCCAGCAGCCTGTGTTTTGGAGAAGGCCAGTGTAAAGAGAGGTTTATCCATAGCCCTCAATGCTGAGGGGTCCCCAGGGGACTCTTCTCATGCCTGCCCAGTTGGCCCAGCAAGATGGTGCTGGCATGAAGTCTGTGCAGGGCCCCCAGCTGAGGCTCTGGTTCTGTTCCCTTTGCAGGTCATTACTCCCTACACTTTGACGCCTTCCACCACCCTCTGGGTGATACCCCCCCAGCCCTCCCTGCCCGGACCCTGCGCAAGGTAATGTACTGAAGCGGCAGCCCCACCAGGCTGTGAGATGAGTCATCTCGTCTGCTCTAGAACCACCCTTGGGGTCTACAGGAGGAACTGGAGCCCTCCCCTTCACCTCTCTCCCCAGCCTGGCAGAAGCTGGGGGTGGCCAGAGCCACACTTGAGCTGCAGGTGCACATTTGTGTCCTGCAGCAAATGTGATGGGGGCAGGGAGATCAGAGGGTCCTGGAGACAACAACACACAGTACCAAGAGTGTGTGGGCAGTGAGCACTGGGAAACCTGGGGGCTCTCAGCCAGCACCAAGGTATCAACACACTGTAGTTCGCTAGCTAAACAAATGTTCCTGTGGTGGATCAGAGAGCATTTCAAACTAGAATTCAGTAAAAGCAAGAACTTTATGAAAAACTCAGGAGAGTAAAATTTCCTACCTGTTAGCTTGTCTGCAAATTGGAAAAGACTGAGTCTATCACAGATTTTAGCAGCAGAATACATTCCTCTGGTCCACGGCCCACCAGGGTTCTTTCTGCCCCTCCTCAACAGGCCTGATGACCCAGCCTTTATGTCAGTATCCCAGAGCCACCGACGGCAGCCTGGGACCTGGGACCAGGGGGCACCAATGCCCAGCAGCCAGGGCAGGGCAATTTTTTGGCCACAGAAATGCAGATGATTCTGGAGTTCCACTGGCTTAGGGGTGGTGGGAGGAGCTGGGAGCTTGCTGCTGAAGAAACAAGAAACATGCTGTTGATGAGGGTTAAAGTTCATTCATAAGCAGGCTCTTGGTCTTCCTATGGCGGGCAAGTCAGCCTGTCTGGAGAGAGGGATTCTAACATGCCCACCCTTTCCTTCGCAGTCTCCTCTCCACCCTATCCCAGCCTCCCCCACAAGCCCCCAGTCAGGTCTGGACGGCAGCAACTCTACGCTGTCCGGCAGTGCCAGCAGCGGCGTGTCCTCCTTGAGTGAGAGTAACTTTGGGCACTCCTCGGAGGCCCCACCTCGCACTGACACCATGGACTCCATGCCAAGTCAGGCCTGGAATGCTGACGAAGATCTTGAGCCACCCTACCTCCCTGTCCACTACAGCCTCTCTGAGTCTGCCGTCCTGGACTCCATCAAGGCCCAGCCATGCCGAAGCCACTCAGCCCCAGGGTGCGTCATCCCTCAGGACCCCATGGACCCGCCTGCGCTGCCGCCCAAGCCCTACCACCCCCGCCTGCCGGCCCTGGAGCACGATGAGGGGGTGCTGCTGCGTGAAGAGACTGAGAGGCCTCGAGGCCTGCACCGCAAGGCTCCATTGCCTCCTGGGAGCGCTAAGGAGGAGCAGGCCCGCATGGCCTGGGAGCACGGCCGAGGGGAGCAGTGAGGGGCAACGAGGCGGCTGGGATGCCGCCCTCAGTAAGCAGCTTGCCAATCACTCCAGGTCTGAAAAGCAAGTCCCCCAGCCCCACCCCAGGGAGCCAGAGAGGCTTGCACTCAGGAGAGAACCACCCCCAAGTCTCCGTTCTACTGCCGTGAACTCATGTGTTGCCATGTACAGAGGCCACAGCAGCATGAAGGGTTGTGGCTTCCCTTTTTATTTTTTTACATTTCCATTTCTATGGGTTTTCCTTTCTTTCCTTTATGCAGTAGATGCTTTCTTCCTCCTGCAGTTCTGGACCATGTGGAGCTACATGGAGAAATTGCACAGACAGAATCACTTTGCCACACTGCAGGGCCCAGGAGTGGGAGCCCAGGCCCTCCCTCCAGGGTAGAGATGCACCGAATGGAAATTGCACTAAGGACCTCTTCCTTTGCTGTATGGACAGAAGAGTTCATGGTTGCATTCAGGGATTGCAAGGACCATATAGACATGTCACAGGTGGAAAAAGGGCCACAAGCCGTTTTGCACAAATGCCTGCCCACCTGCCCCTCTTCCATCCAGGAGTGTGCTACTGAGGGGCTGGCTGGACCAACCTGCTGGCTCAGGCATGTGACTGGCCTAACTGCATGCCCAGGGCACTGCCAGGGTTCAATGGGCCAGCCGTCTCCTACTCCACCTTGGATTTTTCTCTCCATCACATCATTTCTGACCATTTGCTCCCTTCCATTCTTGAAACACCTCATGCCCCACAGGAGCCCCAGTGGTGACTGGATCTGCAAGGGTTATCTCCCGCCCTCTGGGGTTTGAGTGGAGGTATGGAGCCAGAGAGGCTATCCTAGCTACCTTCCTCCTAGGGGGAGCTGGTCCCCTTCCTATGTGGTAGAGAGACTGGTGTAAGAGTGTGGGGTGTGGCAGGCGCCGGAAATCCTCAAAGCTTTCAGAAGCATCCAGAATGCCTACCATCAGCTCCTGAATCAGGGATTTTCAGCACTACCTCTGAGCCATGGGGTTGGCTGCCCAGCCAGGCTTCCAGGCCCTGAGGACATGTGGTCAGGTTCAGCAGGCTCCTGGGTAAAGAGGGTGGGAGGGGGCTTCTCCTTTTGGAAGCAGATAGCCATGCAGGTAGAATTGTCATCTCCCAAGTGGCCACATACAGCAACCCACTCCAGGCCATGGGGACCACCACTCAGGGTTCGGGGCTGGCAGGAGGGTAGTTTCTCCAGTCTCCCCAGTCTGTTGGTGTCTTTATAGGAAACTATAAAGCAGAGCAGTGGTGTCTTTAGAGGAAACTCATTCAAGTCAGGGCACTGATTTTCCTCTCAGTTTATTATTTGGGGGGATAGGGTCAGGTGGGTATAGTAGTACTTTACCAGGGTGCTTTTAAGTTACTTTAAAAAAAGCCTACAAAATATTTTTTTTCTTTTATTTGCTCGAGTTCACATTAATGATGGTCACAAGGCTGCCTTGTTGGGCAGGCGTATTGCCCCCAGTTCCTCTTCTGCTGGCCTGTATGACCTCCACAGCCAGGCCCTGGGCCCAAGCCCCTTGTCCCTTCTCCACTGCCCCTCTTTCCAGACAGTAAAGGCCATGGTCAGTGTGTTTTTCTCTTGTAAACAAACCCCAGCTTGTTTAACAGAAATGCTAATAACCTACTGGGAAAGATGGAGGTCTAAATTACCTCCAGGGTTTTTCTGGGGGTTTATCACCAGTGTGGGTCCCTTCTGATACCACCAGGTTCACTCCAGGCAGAGTGGGGCGGAAGGCTGCTGAGGATATGGGTCAGTTACAGCAGCCCTCACCTCAAAGGGCTGGCCTGCTTCTCAGCCTACATTCATTTGCAAGCTTCAATCTCTGGACCATCTGGTGTTCACAGGTGTTAGAGGGTTAGGGGTTAGGGGCTAGTTTTGGATTTGATTCATAGGTAGGAGGGCTTAGATTTTAAGGCACTTCTGAAAGTCAATCCCTGGACAAGGCAGTCATCACATAAGAACAGCTACCTTCTCCACTTGGTGGCACAAGAGGTAGGGAGGGGAGTATGGGTTCATTTGGCTTCGCATTATGCAAGGTGAAACCGTTTGTTTTCCCTCTCCATTTTCCCTAACTAAATGAAAAGGACACATTCTGAAATCCCTTTTGTTGGAGAATAAGTCAGTCTGAGGGGAAATGGGAGGCCAGAGATGAGAACCCTTTGAAAAGATTGTAAAATACTGATTTTCATTCTTTCAAGCTTATTTGTAAATACCTATTTGAATGCTGTGTATTTGTACAGGAATTTGAGCAAAAAATGTATAGAGTGTGATGTCCAATTGGTATTCAGCACTATAAATGTGTTTTTAACCTCCCGCATTCTGTGCTTATTTAAAACAAGGAAACTTCTAACCATTTCTTTTGTGTATTCATGTTTAAAGAAAAAAAGTGATTTAAAAATGATCTTACCTGTACCAGAAAAGCAAAGTTAAAGGAAACAAAATTTGTACCATTGTCCCAAGAGGTATTTTACTGTATATATTGTGGTAGCATGTTCAAAATCCAACAAGTAATGTGAATTTTAGATGTAAATATCTGCCACTTGATTTTTTTTCCCCCTTTCCCCACTTCCTTGACTGCTGTGATGTGAATTAAAGATAAATACGTGATACTGATCCACTGAATTCACTGAATGGGAGCAGAGGATGTGCCCCTCTCCAACCCTTGTCGCCGGGCTCCAAGCCCTTTTTAGCCCTATAGACATGTCCTTTTTGCACTGAGTAGAGCCAACGGTTCCCGCATCCTGCCTTGAAGGCAGGCAGCCAGGAGGGCACTTGAAAGGAGGGCAGTCGAAAAGGAAACATCCTCCAGTGCTTCTCTGGTGATTCCCGGGACCCCACTCAGGAGGTCCCACGGCAGCGGGGGACCCCGAGGGCCTAGCCGGGGAGGCAGGAGGAGGCTGGCCAGCCACCAAGCCACGATTCAGAGCTTGTAAGGGCACCTCCCGAGCCCCTCACCTTCCCACTCTGAGGCGACCCCATGTCCTCGACCGATGATCTGGCCCGGGCGCTTCCCTCCACGGTCTAGAGTGGCGGCCCAGCTTTGAGCTTGGCGCGCCTTGAGCCCTTCCTTCAGATGTCCCGCAGTCCGTCCACCCCGCACGTCTCCTATCAGCCTATGCACGGCGGGCTCCGGTCAGGTGGAGGATCAGCAGGTGGGCTTTCAAAGGTTGGATCCGTTGCCCACGCGAATGAAAGAAGAAAAAAGAAACCTCTTTGAGCCTTGCCTGCGGCCGCCCGCCCTTCCTGCCTAACCTGTTGTCTTGGCTGACCCCAGAACTCCTGCACCACGAGTCGGAGTCCGGGCGAGGAGATCAGCAGGGGTTTTCGAGGGAGCCTGGGGCCCAGGGCAGGGGTACGCGGGTCAACTCAACAGATGTAAGGCGTGGCCGAACCCCATTCAGCTAGCAGTACCCAGCCTCAGCCACAGTCGCTGCCCTTACCCAAGATGGCGGCCCACACCGCTTCCGTCGCTGCTGTAGTCGCTTCCTGCGGCCAGCCCGGGTTCAATCAGCGGCCGACAACTGTCTAGGGCTCAGACACCACCAGCCAATGAGGGAGGGCAGCGTGGAGCCGCCCGTCTGGGCTCGCGGCTCCTGGACCAATGGGGAAGTGGCATGTGGGAGGGCGCCGGGGGGCCCCCCGCCAATGGGGAGCTACGGCGCGCGGCCGGGACTTGGAGGCGGTGCGGCGCGGCGGGTGCGGTTCAGTCGGTCGGCGGCGGCAGCGGAGGAGGAGGAGGAGGAGGAGGATGAGGAGGATGAGGAGGATGTGGGCCACGCAGGGGCTGGCGGTGGCGCTGGCTCTGAGCGTGCTGCCGGGCAGCCGGGCGCTGCGGCCGGGCGACTGCGAAGGTGCGGGATAGGGGGCCGGGGGCCGCGCTCCGTGACCGTTCTGGCGGCGGCGCTGAACCCCACAACATCACCAGACGGCCGGGGCCAAGAGGGCGAGGGCGGGGGCGGGGGCGGGGGCGACAGCAGGTCCCCGCGGGGCCTGCATGAGGAGGCTCCGGCGCCCGCCCTAGTAAATCTTTCTTGGGCCTAGAAAACATTGGTCCGACGAAGAAAAGTTGAGACTAGATCCCGTTGAAAACTTGTCCTGAAATCTCCATCACTCCTGAGTTATTGTCCCCACCACCATCTAGAGGTTACCGCTCCCCGTTCGGCGTCGGGAGCTCCAGGGCTGGCCGTGGGTGCTGCGCCCTGTCTGTTGGGATCACGAAGCTGCACCTCTGGGTCCGCTGTTGTATTTGGAAATTAGCAGCAGCATTTTGATCATTTTTCTCTTCACCTTCCAGTCTCTCCATTTATGAGGTCACAGTGAGTCCCGTCTCAAGGACACGTGTTCACCATGGGCTTAAACTTGATGAAAGGAGCAGGGAGAAGTCGTTTATAGGTCATTGGGTGATGCTTGGTCCTTTGATGCCCTGGGTGTACCAGGGGACCCCCGCCACTTGGAACCGGGTTCTGTCTACCTGTAGACACCTGAGAAAAATCGGTGATGGAAAAGCTCACCTCTAATGATTCATCTCCGTGTCTCCTATTAAAATTGCTGGCGGAGTTCTTTTCTGGTGGATTGGAACAGCTTGGTGATTGCTGAGCATCTCCCGTCCCTCTCTTTTCCAGTTTGTATTTCTTATCTGGGAAGATTTTACCAGGACCTCAAAGACAGAGATGTCACATTCTCACCAGCCACTATTGAAAACGAACTTATAAAGTTCTGCCGGGAAGCAAGAGGCAAAGAGAATCGGTTGGTAAGTAGCTGGTGATCCTCCCCAACTGGCCCTGGCTCATGTTAACCCTCGGCTTCACCAGCCGTTTGATAAAAGGCCTTGCCCACCTCTCTGTTCAGGAAGCCAGCTACTCTCTCCATAAACTAATGTGAGAAGACTGAAGTGCTTCTATGTCCTTCCCAAAGCAGCATGTGTTCTGCAACTGTGATTTTTTTTTATCCTGTTAGTCTTTATTAAGCACCTACTATGTGCTAGGCACTGGGAATATCAGGGGAAAGAAGTGACAGTCGGACACACAAATAATGCAATGTCTGGGTGTCATGAAGAAAATGGACCAGCAGGTGCTGATTTAGAGTGGCCAAGAAGTCTCTGAGGAAGGGTTATCATTGAAGTGGGGTAAGACCATCCCATACAGGGAACAGCAGTGTGAGTGCCCAGAGGCCTGAAAGAGTGTGGCATGTATGTGGACAGGAGAAGGTGACAGGGTGCCTACAGGATAGGCAAGGGCCGAATCCAAGACAAAAGCCCTAGTGAAGCAATGGGTTTTCTAACTTGAATTTCTCTGACAGTCTCTGGCTTTTCTCTCTGTTAAAGGTTTGAACCCTGGTGACACTTAAATTCATTTGGTGGCTGTCAGCTTGGACTGAGCATGTGTTAAGAGTCCAGGGTTTACACTGGCTGAATCTGACTACCAGTACAGGCAGGGCACCGAAAAATGCCGCTGTGGGCCAGGTGCGGTGGCTCATGCCTGTCTTCCTAGCACTTTGGGAGGCCAAGGTGGGAGGATTGCTTGAACTTAGGAGTTTGAGATCAGCCTGGGCAAAGTGGTGAAATCCTGTCTGCACAAAAAAATTTTTAGGCTAGGCGTGGTGGCTCACACCTGTAATCTCAGCACTTTGGGAGACCGAGGTGGGTGGATCACCTGAGGTCAGGAGTTCAAGACCAGCCTGGCCAACATGGCAAAACTCTATCTCTACTAAAAAATACAAAAATTAGCCAGGCATGGTGACAGGCGCCTGTAATCCCAGCTGCTCAGGAGGCTGAGGCAGGGAGAATTGCTTGAACCTGGGAGGCGGAGGTTGCAGTGAGCCGAGCCAAGATTGCGCCACTGCACTCCAGCCTGGGTGACAGAGCAAAACTTTATCTCAAAAAAAAAAAAAAATTGTTTTAGTTAGCTGGGTGTGGTGGCCCACACCGGTAGACCCAGCTACTAGGGTGGCTGAGAGGGGAGGATCACCACCCAACAGATTGAAGCTGCAGGGAGCCGTGATCATGCCACTGCATTCCAGCCTGGGTGACAGGGAGCCCTATCTCAAAACACAAGTAAGGCCCTACAGAGAGATGATGTTTCAAGGTGTCAGTATGTTTGGAGGAGATGGCTCTCAAGCACCTCCTGAAGGCCATTGTCCTTTATTGCTCCAGTGCTACTATATCGGGGCCACAGATGATGCAGCCACCAAAATCATCAATGAGGTATCAAAGCCTCTGGCCCACCACATCCCTGTGGAGAAGATCTGTGAGAAGCTTAAGAAGAAGGACAGCCAGATATGTGAGCTTAAGTATGGTGAGTATGCCTAGTCCTTTCTTAATGAATGCTGTGCACCTTCTGGGTTTGTTTCCCATCTGGGAGAGGAAAATGATGAGCTAGAGTCATGAGTGGGTTGTATTGTATGACAGATGGTGCTAAATGCTGGAGGGCTCTGGCATGGAAGTGGGTGGAGGTCAGAATAGGCCTTATTGAAGAAGTGATATTTCAGCAAACTTTGAAGGAGGTGAGGATTAGCCAAGAGGCCAGCTAATGGAAGAGGATACAGGCAGGATAAAGGTGTCCAGTGGCATGGCAAGTCAGAGAGCATTGCAGGCTGGTGAGGGCTTTTAATCTGCGTGAAGTTAGGAGCATTAGGAGTTTTTCAGCAGAGAAGGGACATAGTACGACTTGGGTTTAACAGGCTGGTTCTGGCTGCAAGCTCTGAAGCCCCAGTGATTTTTACTATTCTGAAAAGAAACACTATGTCCAAGCATGCAAGCCCAAGAGTTAGGAACTACAGCATCTCTCTTGCTGACTGGGTCTCTGGTGTACATAGTCCCAGTCTTCAGAAACAGTCAGGGCCTCTTCTGAAAAACTTGAATGGCCAAGGACCTGTGTTCACCTACTTGCGTCTTCCTGGTACAGGTCCAGTTGGCTCCAGGTCACTGTGGTCATGGAGAGTAAGTTCCTAACTCAAAGGCCTGAGCAGGGCTGCTCTTTGGCACCAGCCTGGAGTTGTTAGTATGTGGTGACTATGTCAGAGGCACTTGGAAGATGGGAACCATGTTTCTCCTATAAGGACAGTGTGGCCTCTGTCCCTATCCTTGTTCACGCTGCATATCTGTAGTAGACATAATATGTAGCCAGCCTTCCTGGTGAAGAGGCTAGTTCCCTCTTGTGGGGGCAGTAGGCACTGACATGCCTGTAAATGTGTCTGGAAATGTCTCTTCCTCTGAAACCAGTAGGGCTGGTTTGGCCGTTCAGGGAGTGACATACTCTGGGACTACTGGGGGACTGCAGGTGCTCCACCCAGTCAGTGACTCTCCCTGCTCTCTCCTCCAGACAAGCAGATCGACCTGAGCACAGTGGACCTGAAGAAGCTCCGAGTTAAAGAGCTGAAGAAGATTCTGGATGACTGGGGGGAGACATGCAAAGGCTGTGCAGAAAAGTCTGACTACATCCGGAAGATAAATGAACTGATGCCTAAATATGCCCCCAAGGCAGCCAGTGCACGGACCGATTTGTAGTCTGCTCAATCTCTGTTGCACCTGAGGGGGAAAAAACAGTTCAACTGCTTACTCCCAAAACAGCCTTTTTGTAATTTATTTTTTAAGTGGGCTCCTGACAATACTGTATCAGATGTGAAGCCTGGAGCTTTCCTGATGATGCTGGCCCTACAGTACCCCCATGAGGGGATTCCCTTCCTTCTGTTGCTGGTGTACTCTAGGACTTCAAAGTGTGTCTGGGATTTTTTTATTAAAGAAAAAAAATTTCTAGCTGTCCTTGCAGAATTATAGTGAATACCAAAATGGGGTTTTGCCCCAGGAGGCTCCTACCAGTTTCTGCTTTCCAGTTGCAGAGTTTGGGGGGTTATTCATTCCCATTTATCTCTCAACCCACCAGTGCTGAAAATACCAGAGCAGGACATAGGGGCTGGGGCCAGCTGATGTGTGTGGGTGTGTACCACTAGAGGGCAGCAGGCACTCAGCAGAAAGGAGGTGGCGGGGGCGGGGGGTGCTGCGCTTGATACCCTGCCCCTTGATACAGTATCTGTCTTACCCGCCCAAGAGAGCTGGAGGCCACAGCTCTAGGAGGAGTGAGTCTGGGATACATTGGAGGGCCTTATATTGTGGCTCAGTACAAGCAAGACAGGGTGTCTGGAGTGTGGTTTTTCCACAAGGATATCTTCAATCAGTGCACGTCAGCACTGACATCTCTATAAAGATGCTGTTGGCCTGGCCACCTACTTGCTCTTTTGTCCATTCCAAGCCTCTGATGTCTGTTCCAGTTTTTGCAAGTCTGGCAGGAGTCAGCTTATACAAAGAGGGAGTGGGAAGCTGCCTTTTGCCTTTGTTTACCCTAGATTAGTCTAACAGTTGAGGTCCAGGGTTTTGCTGGAGTCTGCTTCTTAAGCCACTCTCTGTGGCACTGGTGCTTAGGAAACCCAGTTGTTAGTGTGAGCTGTGGCTCAATGAAGACACCTGTAGAAACCACCTGAAAGGACGGACTAAGAACCAGTGCTTTCCAAGTAATTGGTCTTGCCTCAGATCACTTCACTTGTGTCTCCTAAGCTCAGTTTGCCTGTAGGAGGCCTTGCTGCTGTGGAACCCATTGCTTTCTTCCAAGACCTTTCCCCCTGCACCTGCCTGAGCTACTCCAGGAGCTGCTTTCTCTTTGTGCGAAGAGGGCATGACTTGGTCTGCTCTTCCCCATCGCAAGGATTCTGTGCCAGAAATTGGGTCAGGTTCTACCATGGCTCCAGCAACTGTCCTTGGAGAATGAAAGCTTCCTCAATGGGCTTGAGCACCTGGGCACCCTTTCCCTCACCTCACCTGGGGAGAAGAGGTCGTCCTGAAGGTGATGAACAGGAGGGTACTGGCCAGCGAGGGGTCAGCGTGGCAAGGTGTGATAACTGCTGGCACTATCTGTGCATATGGCCTCTTCATCCTTGGCTCTTACGGCCCTACCTTTCCAGCCTGCTATCTGCCCACAGAAGAGGGTGGGACCCAAGAGTGGCGTTAAAGAGTCTATTCCAACTCCATCAACTGCAACTGCAGGCTTGTCTCTGCTTTCGGTTATTACCTGCGTGACAGCAATTGTCCTCACGGCCTTTTCGGGGACTGCTGCAGGTGAACCTGCACGTGGAGAATGCGCAGAATGTGGGCCTTGGGTCCTGGGCAGGGTCTAAGGATAGGCATGCATTAGTCCTTGGCGCCGTCAACGCCGGATCCCAGGCAGGAGATGCCAACGAGGGTGATGTGGGGTTTGCTCAAGCCTAGTCCTAGGACTGAGGGGATACTACATAAAGAGACCACTGACTGGGTCAATGCCCCAGATCCCAACGGCCATGGAAGCTGCCACTCCTGCTCCAATCAGCGCGGGCTCCAGTGCCTGCAAGAGGAGATAGCTGGACCCAGAGCGGCAAAGCACGGCTGGGAGCACAAAGCGTTAGGTCGTCTCGCCGGCCTCTCAGGGTTCACTACACTCCGCGTAGCCTCAAGCATCGGCCATGCGGGCCGCGCGGTGGCGCCAGAGCGCGCGGCCGGTCCCACTCACCCAGCACTCACAGGGTCACCTGGCACTGGGCGACGCAGCGCGATGAGGCAGGCCCGGCGCGGGTCTTGCTCCGCCCGCCGCAGAGTCACGTGGCAGGACGGCGCACCTTGATAACGCAATGCCCGGCCCCTCGGCGCCGCTCCCGCCCCGCCCCGCCGCCACCGCCGCGCCGAGTCCTTTTGTCCAAGATGGCGGCGCCGGGGGCGCTGCCTCCTCGGCCGCCGCCTCCGCCGCCGCCGCTGTGAGAAACCTACGGGCCGCCCGCCCGCCGCGCCAGCGCCATGAAGCGGCAGAGCGAGCGAGACTCTAGCCCGAGCGGGCGCGGCTCGTCATCGTCCGCCAAGCGTCCGCGGGAGCGCGAACGGGAGGCGGAGGCGGGCGGGCGGCGGGCGGCGCACAAGGCCTCTGGCGGCGCCAAGCACCCGGTTCCAGCGCGGGCCCGCGACAAACCCCGCGGCAGCGGAAGCGGCGGGGGCGGGCATCGCGACGGCCGCGGCACCGGGGACGCGAATCACCGCGCGAGTAGCGGGCGCTCCTCGGGCTCCGGCGCTGGCGGCGGGGGACGCGGCGGCAAGGCCTCGGGGGACCCGGGCGCCTCCGGCATGTCGCCCCGCGCGTCTCCTCTGCCGCCGCCTCCGCCACCGCCTGGGGCCGAGCCCGCGTGTCCCGGCTCATCCGCGGCCGCGCCTGAGTACAAGACGTTGCTCATCAGCAGCTTGAGCCCCGCGCTGCCCGCCGAGCACCTCGAGGACCGGCTCTTCCACCAGTTCAAGCGCTTCGGCGAGATCAGCCTCCGCCTGTCGCACACGCCTGAGCTGGGCCGTGTGGCCTACGTGAATTTCCGGCACCCACAGGACGCACGCGAGGCCCGCCAGCACGCCCTGGCCCGGCAGCTGCTGCTCTACGACCGCCCGCTCAAGGTAGAGCCCGTGTACCTGCGTGGCGGCGGCGGGAGCAGTCGGCGAAGTAGCAGCAGCAGCGCCGCCGCTTCCACGCCTCCCCCAGGGCCGCCCGCGCCCGCCGACCCGCTCGGCTACCTCCCGCTACACGGAGGCTACCAGTACAAGCAGCGCTCGCTGTCCCCCGTCGCTGCCCCGCCCCTGCGGGAGCCCCGTGCCCGTCACGCCGCCGCAGCCTTCGCCCTGGATGCCGCTGCTGCCGCCGCCGTGGGACTGTCCCGGGAGCGGGCCCTGGACTACTACGGGCTGTACGACGACCGTGGGCGCCCCTATGGCTACCCAGCTGTGTGTGAGGAGGACCTGATGCCCGAGGATGACCAGCGGGCCACGCGCAACCTCTTCATTGGTAACCTGGACCACAGCGTATCTGAGGTGGAGCTGCGAAGGGCCTTCGAGAAATATGGCATCATCGAGGAGGTGGTCATCAAGAGGCCTGCCCGTGGCCAGGGCGGTGCCTATGCCTTCCTCAAGTTCCAGAACCTGGACATGGCCCATAGGGCTAAGGTGGCCATGTCGGGCCGAGTGATTGGTCGCAACCCCATTAAGATAGGCTATGGCAAGGCCAACCCCACCACTCGTCTCTGGGTGGGTGGCCTGGGACCTAACACGTCACTGGCGGCTCTGGCCCGAGAGTTTGACCGCTTTGGGAGCATTCGGACCATTGATCACGTCAAAGGAGATAGCTTTGCCTATATTCAGTACGAGAGCTTGGACGCAGCCCAGGCCGCCTGTGCTAAAATGAGGGGTTTTCCCTTGGGTGGACCAGACCGCAGGCTCCGCGTGGATTTTGCCAAAGCAGAGGAGACTCGGTACCCCCAGCAGTACCAGCCCTCGCCACTCCCTGTGCATTATGAGCTGCTCACAGATGGATACACCCGGCACCGCAACCTGGACGCCGACCTGGTGCGGGACAGGACGCCCCCACACCTTCTGTACTCAGACCGAGACCGGACTTTTTTGGAAGGGGACTGGACCAGCCCCAGTAAAAGCTCTGACCGCCGAAACAGCCTTGAGGGCTACAGTCGCTCAGTGCGCAGCCGGAGTGGTGAGCGTTGGGGGGCAGATGGAGACCGTGGTTTGCCCAAGCCCTGGGAAGAGAGGCGGAAACGGAGAAGCCTTTCCAGTGACCGTGGGAGGACAACCCATTCACCATATGAGGAACGGAGTAGGACCAAGGGCAGTGGGCAGCAGTCAGAGCGGGGCTCCGACCGCACCCCTGAGCGCAGCCGCAAGGAGAACCACTCCAGTGAAGGGACCAAGGAGTCCAGCAGCAACTCCCTCAGCAACAGCAGACATGGGGCTGAGGAACGGGGCCACCACCACCACCACCACGAGGCTGCAGACTCTTCCCACGGGAAGAAGGCAAGAGACAGCGAGCGCAATCACCGGACCACAGAGGCCGAGCCCAAGCCTCTGGAAGAGCCAAAACACGAGACCAAAAAGCTGAAGAATCTTTCAGAGTACGCTCAGACACTACAGCTGGGTTGGAATGGGCTTCTGGTGTTGAAAAACAGCTGCTTCCCCACGTCTATGCATATCCTAGAGGGGGACCAGGGGGTGATCAGCAGTCTCCTCAAAGACCACACTTCTGGGAGCAAGCTGACCCAGCTGAAGATCGCCCAGCGCCTTCGACTGGACCAGCCCAAGCTTGACGAGGTCACACGACGCATCAAGCAGGGGAGCCCCAACGGCTATGCGGTCCTCTTAGCCACCCAGGCAACCCCCAGTGGGCTTGGCACTGAGGGGATGCCCACAGTAGAGCCCGGTCTGCAGAGGCGGCTTCTCAGGAACCTGGTCTCCTACTTGAAACAGAAGCAGGCCGCAGGGGTGATCAGCTTGCCAGTGGGGGGGTCCAAGGGCAGAGACGGCACAGGCATGCTCTACGCCTTCCCACCCTGCGACTTTTCCCAGCAGTACCTCCAGTCAGCACTAAGGACATTGGGCAAGCTAGAAGAAGAACACATGGTGATAGTCATCGTCAGAGACACTGCCTAGCCCAAGCCTGTCTTTCCCAGCGTCATGTTTGTGTCACAAAAGCAGTTATTTTAAAATCTGATCCCCTCTCTACCCTACCACTTTGGTTTGAATTATCTCCTGGGTTATTTTGGTTCATTTGGGTGGGGATCAAAGTCCTGTCCACCACCAAAACTAAGTTCTTAGATTTTGGGGGATTTTTTTTTTTAAACGATGAGAAGGGAATCCGGTTATGTTGATTTCTAGTGTACAAGATACTGTCTGCTGTGGTTCTGTATTTTTTTATTTTTTGACCAACTGTATGGAAAGTTGTCAGTAAAACCTTTGACAGAGGATGGATTTTTAAACCTGTTCAGAGTCCTGGTTTAATCAATCAAGCTAAAAGAATCGAAGACATCCCTAGTGCATGTACACGAATGCCCTACGTCATCCTTCCAGCACCACTGCTGCATGGGTCACTCTCGGCCTCTCAATTCTTCAGGCTCAGTCTGGACTCTACTTACACTCATTTTTATCTTGGCTGACAGCAGGCAAGCTTCAGTTTGGGCTGTGGACGCTGCCACACAAGCCTGAGTAGAGCCCATGCAAAGGAAGGGATGGGGTGAGCGCAAGGCCTGTGGTCAGCAGCTACTGATGGTTTTTTCTGCCTTAAACCGTGTGTGTGTCCATCATCATCAGTTTGAGCTGTGGCTGTTTGTTTGGGACAGAGTGCCCACTCAGCATGTTTGGCAGCAGGTAGCCTTCAGCAGCTGTGTAGTCTTGTACAAGGAGAAGCTGTGCACTGTTGATGCCAGGGGGTCTCGGGGCCCCTGATCTGTCCAGGCTCCTGGTTCGGCCTACTTTCTAGCCTCACTCAGCCCAGGGATAGCCAGTGTTGGGAGACAGAGTTGCCTCAGGTTCCCAGGGGCCCGGGAGTCCAAATACTGGAATGGAGGGTTGGAGGCAGCCTTCCTTGGATTTACTCATGAACTTTGCCTAGTTGTTTGTGATTTTTGGCTTTCTCTGGTCGTTCAGGGGTGATGGGTAATAGAGCAGGCCCGTGTCCAGTCATACCTAGAGATTTGTGGGGGGATACTGAACCTCTAGACTGAAGTACTTACCGGGGAGCACAGTGGACTAGGGGATGCCCTTGATAATGACGGTTTCCTAGGTGCAAGATCAGAGCATGTGCCTACACCTTGTGCCCTGATGCCGAGGTGGAGACCATTGGGAAATAATTAATAGATATTTTTCTGGGGGGAAATCACAAGTCACTGAGGTGTTTGTTTGTTTGTTAGGCAGTGCTAGAGCTTGAAGCCACTCAAGCCAGTTGGGGAGGAAAGGGATGCGGAGGTACCCTCTAGCTGGGAAGAAGGGTGAGATTCCGTCTTCTTCCCTGTCTCAAGTAAGTAAGGAAGGTACTGCGGACAGTGTGGGCCAGGGAGGAAAACCAGAGCACACAGTTTTGTCACCATGGAACACCCCAAATGCCATTCTTCAGCGTGTCTGGTACCTTGGATGTTCAAACAGGGAACACTGTCAGGGCTGAGGAGAACAGAAGCTCTGGTAAGCGAATGAGCCCCTAGATGATAACCAGGAACTCCAGGTTCTGCTGGCCGTGGCATCCTCTCTCCAGGTCTGCTCCCTTACCGGAGCTAGGATAAGGTAGCATGAGTGACACCTGAGATTAGAGGCTGGGGCTCACTGCAGGCTGTGGAGAGGTCATGCTGGTCCACAGGAACACTTGGCAGTGCTCTCGTAGACCCCTCGGTGATGTGGAATGGACAGGTGCCTCGCAAGAGAGCAAGCACGTTCATAACAAAACAGCAACACAAAGACATGTTAAGCATGTTTATTTATTTGCCTGTTTTTGTTTTTTTACTTGAGCTGTGGTCACAGCTGCCAGGTACCTAAGCAAGTCAGTTGGGTACAGCAGGACACGCCACCATTCCAGGGTAGCTGGTACCGCCAGAAACAGGAGTGGGTCTTGTCCTGTTGCAGGCACACTGCAGTGGTTTTCCTGCAGCTCTCCAACAAACGCCTGAGTCACAGGCCAGAGCTGCCTTGGTATGTTGTTAAGTCCAAAACTTCTTCTCTGGGCTACCTATCTTCCTTCATGAAGCAGGTGCTCAGGACCCGGAAGAATCATCTACCTCCCAGCTTTGTGAGACAGAACCAAGTAAAAGGAAACATGCTAGAAAACGTGCCTAGAGAAGACACTTCAACCTTTGCCTTATCCAACCCCTCTTCAGAGAAAGGTGTCCCATGGCCCCAAAAAGAACTGCCAAGTTTTGGTGAGGAGTAACACCCTGGCATGACATTCCTTCTCTTTCCTGGCCCTCAACCACTTCCTTCCTTTGGCTCTTAAGACCTAGCAGGTTCTGTGAACTCTCAGGCCTTGGCCAGCACTAGTTAGGGGAGGTCAGGTGGTCAATGTCCTGGTGATTTTATGAGACTGCCCCACTGAGAAAACTTACTTACTTCAGGCATCCAGTGCCCCCACCCAGGGTTCAGGCCCTGTCTAAGGTGTTGCTTAAAGACAAAAAGGCAACATGTGCCTCACTGGTGGTGTGCCACTGTTCTCATGCTGCCTCCTAAGTGACTCCGATTTTCAGCCCTGGTAGAATAAGGAAGACAGCTGATGCCTCCTTAGCCCCTTAGCACATGTTCCTAAGGTGTGTTGTCAAGCCAACCTGAATTCTGCCTCCCTGTTATAGTCCCTGTCTCCCCCACAGAGACCTGTGGGTGCTCCCAGCAGAGTTGAGACTGGCTCCGTTGAGTTAATGACTAGAATATAGTGCTTTCACTACTTGATTGTTAACCTGTTTTCTTCTGATGCCATCAGTACCAGCAGTCAGACTATTCCACTGGTTAAGTGTTTACTACCATTAAAGCGAGGCATGAAGCAAAGAGCTGAGTGAGTCCTCTGCTCTCCAGAGGACCAAGAAATACCTGTGTGACACAGACCCACTTCAGTGTGTACAGCAAATTCTATAGTGCTTCTGAGCCCAGCAGGGCTTTACCTGCCCCTGGAGAGTTTTAGCCGTCTTGTGTTTCTTGTTTACTTCACAACCAAATTTGTCCCCTCTTCTCTCTGTTAAGGGAGAGAAGTCACTTTAGCTGGATAATACCTATGTAACAAACTGAGCAGCTGTTATTTGGGCAAAATCAAAGGAAGAAAGAGACTATGGTCTTCTATTTATTGTGGGAAGGAAAACAGGGTGGGGCGGGTGAGTGAAAAGGTGGAAATCCCTGGTACCTTGCCTGGTGGTTACACAGTTTAACCATAGGCCAATTTTAGGGGCCTCTGAAGTATCTTTCTACAAACGCAGACAAGCTCCACTACCCCTAACCTGCCAGGATGCTCAAGTCCACTGTCACAATCCCTTTCAGAAAACATTAGTGGCCGCTGCCCCAGCTACAGAGACGGCCGAAATGCTTTCACTCCTTAGCTTTGCCAACTCCATCCTCCAAAACTTCCCAGAATACCTCCCTTTCCAGTTCTACCAAATCTGTACTTGGGAGCAGCCTGCTGGATCCAGAACATGACAACAGAGAGCTGCGTCCACAGGGAACAAAGCCCTGACCTCTCTCTCCACATTACCCTTACAAAAACAGGCCCTCCCCATGAGAGAGCTACACGGCAGGGGCAGACACTGTGAGTATAAGCTACTTTCCTCCCTGGAGTGCTCTATGTGGGCAGAACATGCTCTCCTTGCCTCTCCTGGAAGGTGTCTTCTCTATGGCCTGGCTAGAGCTGCAAAAAAGGGACACACCCCACTTCGGTAAAAGAAAATAGGGAAAGGCCATAAACAAAGACAGACTTGTAGTTTATTTTGTATTTTTTTTAAATAAATACACTTTACATTAAAGAAAAAGGCCTTTGATTTGTAATTTCCACAATGGGGAGAAAGGGAAGAAAAAAAGATTTTTGAAAAACTGAATCACAAAGAAAAATAGAGGGAGTGAACTTATATCCTAAGTTCCCTCAACTCCACAAAACCAATATCCACAATGACCATGCTGCCCCCAAACCATGAAGGTGAGTGAATTTAGGCATTTACCCAGCAGACAGAGTGCCTTCCTCCCCACCTCTGGCACGAAGGAAAACAAATTAACCTGACAGCATATGAGGCAACAAAACAGGTTAAAAAATCATATATTATATTTATAATAAAATATTCTTAATCCTTATCAATTTAAGAAACCACGATTTTCCTTTTCATTTAAATACGTATGTAAAAATGCCTCTATATTGTTCTTTAGACATCATTTTCTTCCAAAGAAAATGAAGTGCAGGGACAAGAGACCTGGTGGATATAAGTTCATACCCTCAGTTATAAATGCCTGTTTTTTTTTCCTTTTTAAAGTTTTATAAAAAACTATTTCTTGTTCTTTAAGTAAAGAACACTATACAAAGAAAATATATTGTGAAATACCCCAGAGACATGGTTTTTTTTTCCCCTTGAAAGATATGTCCATCCTAGGAAATGGTGGGGGGTGGATGTGGGGGGTGCAGAGTAGGGCCTAGTCCCTGTTGTCATTTTTGTGGTGGTTATTGATTCTGGAAGGACCCTCGGGTGCCAATGAGGCTCTCTAAGCCATAATCTTCTGAATGCAGGGCATGCAGCTCCTTAAAAGACAGACAGCCCTGGGAGAAAGAGAAGGGAATATGTTCTGAATTCATTTGACTCAGTTTCTCGCCTGCCAAGAATCTCTTCCAAGCAGTGATGGCTCCTCACTCATTCAGAGATAAGATGATGTCATCTTCCAAATCAGAGTTGTCAGAGCTGTCAGCTGAAAGGGAAGAAAAGGGAGAGACAAGATTACACACTAGGCTTATAGGAAGCTTTCCTACAGAAGCACCTGCACTCACATACATTCATGCCCGAGCAAGGTTAACTACCAGTTTCCAGAAAGAAGAAAACACATCAATTAACTCCTTGGAGCTGGCTCTGGAGAATACTCCTGTTGCTTGGCAGTTGTATTCTCCCGGAGACCTTTTGCTCTCCTAAGGGCCTGGACACAGTTCCCCTGCTTCCTGCCTGGGAGGCGCTGAAGGGATCAAGCGAGTGCCATCTGAAGCTTCCCCCCATGCCACTTTAAATGGCTGCAAAGGGGCAGAGCTGACGGGAGCAGTGAGTAAGCCTCCATGGCCCTTGGCCTCTGCTGTCCTTCAAGGATACGCACAGGCCTGCCTGACCCCAAGAGACCACTAGAAAGGCAGGCTAAGACCAGGCAAAAGTGAGAGATGTATCTTTTCTGAAACACCTTAGTCACTCCCTTCAATCCTCAGAAGACCGACCACCAAGGCAGAGATAGTCACCCTAGATTCATGCCTCTGTAATTTCAGAATATAGTCTGCAAATTATATTCCCAAAAAGGTGCAGGCCAATTTGCAGCAATACAAGAGAAGTAGCTACCCATCCAGAGGCAGGAGGCCAGCGGGAGCAGTGTGACGCCCTGGAAGACAGCACTGTCTCTGATGAGGACCCTCTCTGCTTGACAATCTGCCTTCTCTGGCAGCACACGGACACATTAACACTTCTGGAAGGATCTGTTAAGGGGTGAAACTTAAGTGGTAGCAAAAAGGACCCTCAAGATGAGGTAGATACACCATGTCTGGCTGATCAAAATCAGAAAGAAACAGGGTACCTAGCTTGTAGGGACTCTAATATTCGCTGAGTCAAAGAAAAGGAAAGTTCTCAGTGCCCAATTTGATTACTCGTAGCTCAGGAGGCTATGAAACCATTTTACCTAGGTCCCCCATAAAACAGACAAACCCTGAGCCCGTAAAACAGACAAACCCTGAGCTGGAGCCCTGCAAATGCCCCATGTGGTAAGGGGCAGCCACTAGATGCAAAGAATCCCTCATCAGCCTTTTTCCAGTGCCTAAGAGAATCAACTCTTGGACAAACAGAGAGCAATCATGTTCCCAAACCTTCCTTCATTCATTATCCCCAAACACAACTTCCTTTAGGAGGAAAACTGAAGTGGACAAAGGAAAACCAAGAAAAGCATGGCAATGATACAAAAAAGTCTGGAAGTAAGCAAAAGAAATGGCTGACAAAACCAGTGTTCCTGGGTCTAAGTGGGCACAAGAGTGGCCTGACTGTATTGGTGATGTATTGGTGAAGAGTAGGAAAACAAGATGGAGATGGCAAAGAACTATTATCTAACACAGCTGAACAAAGCAAGCCTCAGCTCCTCTGCTGTAAGAGCTCCAGGAGGAAGTGTCACAGGAGGGTGTGGGGCCTCCTCCCCAGAGCCAAGTCCAGCACTGTGTCCCCACCCCATACCACAAACTTGCCTGGTCCCTGCGGCAGCATCCACAGCATCCCCCAGGACTCATGCTCTCCACAAGCCAACAATGCCAGACCCACCGGCCTGAGACCCTTCTGCCCAGCAGCTATGCAGCTCTTAAGAACTAAGAATCTTAACCACGCTGTAGCACATCTAAGAACTGTAAATGCAGCTTAACGAGGTCACAGCACAATCTTCTTTAAGCAAGTAACTGTCAGGCTCAAGGTCTGAGAGAAAACCTCCAGGGCTTGGGCACCAACTCCCCTCTGGTGGTCAGACCATAGGACGCCTTTCTCTACCTTCCTTATCCTTTCCCCACCTTCCTTATCCTTTCCCCATTCTCCAAGTGTTGAAGTGACCCAATCCCAAACCCTGGTTAGGACCTCCCATTCTGAAAGGTCGCTAAGGCAGACAATCTAGGTATAATTAATCCCTGTAGTGTTTAACCTATCGCTCTACAACATACAGGTTCTGGAGGCAGGGCTGACAAGCAGAGACACATAAAGATCTCAGAATCAGGCCGGGTGCAGTGGCTGATGCCTGTATCCCAGCACTTTGGGAGGCCAAAGCAGGCGGATCACGACGTCAGGAGATCAAGACCATCCTGGCTAACACGGTGAAACCCTGTCTCTACTAAAAATACAAAAAATTAGCTGGGGGTGGTGGCGGGCGCCTGTAGTCCCAGCTACTCAGGAGGCTGAGGCAAGAGAATGGCATGAACCCGGGAGGCGGAGCTTGCAGTGAGCCAAGACTGCGCCACTGCACTCCAGCCTGGGCAACAGAGTGAGACTCCATCTCAAAAAAAAAAAAAAAAAAAAAAGATCTCAGAATCAAGCTGTTTCTCTTCCTAGGGCCAGGGCTCTGCATCTGCAATCAGGGAGTCCCTGCAGACTCCAGGGCCTACGTAAAGGTACGTGGGGGCGCATGGGTGTGGTTTTCTATAGTTTCTATGGCTTTCACCCTATCCTAAAAGGGCTCTTCATAAGCCCAGTAAGGTTCAGAGCTACTGCTCTAAAGGATTAGTGTTAGGCAAAACCATGGGTGCTAAGAATGCTCTCCTTGCTGACAGCAGCTGGCTCTTCTATGAAACACAGAAAGAGCCATGGAGTGTGCTCCAGATGCCACCTCTGCATCTCCACCTCAATTCTGAAGTCCACTCTGAGACGTCCTCAAGTTGTGATCCATTATTTTCACATCGTAAATATTCTCATAAAGTAACAACATTCTCACAACTGATAGAGTTAAAGTTTTCCAGATTACCTTTGGCTTGAAAGAAGGAATTTCCTCAACAGCTAAAAGAGGCAGTAATTGTACAGGCCAAATACAAACTGAGTGGCTTTATATTCAAATTAAGAATGGAAAAATTAAAGTGATGCTCTCTTATTTTGGGAGCACCACCATCAGCTGGCCTGCTGTTTGCTGACCCTGCGAACCTGCCCTGCTAACTACTTGTAATTGAAAGGAGGTATAACTTGTTTCCCATGTCTCACTATTCACACGTGACAAAAACGTTCATTAAAACTTTGTCTGACCAGGCTTCGGCCTACTCCACTGAATCACCTCAGCCTCCAAGTATGAAAAAACAGAAGTTGATGAACAGCAGATGAACATATAGAAGACACTCCCCTACCCTCCCACCCTCAAGCTTCCTCAAAATACAGCCTTGGTAAGAAGATTCATGTACAGCTGCAGAGCTAACAGCCTCTTTGAACTATTTGCTGATTTCTGCAGGATTCATTACCATAGTCAGGGGACAACTTGACTTCAGAAACCTAATGGGAAATAACTAGAAGAACTGGAGTTTGTTCCTCAAAATTTGGATTAAGAAAAAAAGGTAAATAAAAGGAAGTGAATAAACCAGAAGCCAAAGGGAAAATATTTTCCCCTTGGCTGTTAGGAGGGATTAGCCAAAGGGAGACAGGAAAGGGCTCCTCCACAAGAGGGCCTGCATTTCTTTATAATTCACCCCAAAAAGAACAGCACCCCATGAGGGGCTGCTTCTGACTGATTCTAGCCATGCCTCTCGGCGGAGAGCTACACTTTGGCCTTTCATTCTAAGGCTAATCCTCTGAAGCAGGAGTTGACAAACTACAAGCCCACCACCTATTTTTGCAAAACAAAGTTTTATTAGAACACAGCCACAATCATTCATTTACGGATTGTCTATGACTGCTTTCTCACTACAACAGCAGAGTTGAAGAGCTGCAACAAAGGCCATATACCCTACAAAGCATTTTTTTTTTTTTTTTTTTTTTTTTGAGATGGAGTCTCACTCTATTATCCCAGCCTGGAGTGCAGTGGCACGATCTCGGCTCACTGCAACCTCCGCCTCCCAGGTTCAAGCGATTCTCCTGCCTCAGCCTCCCAAGTAGCTGGGATTATAGGCATGTGCCACCACGCCCAGCTAATTTTGTATTTTTAGTAGAGACAGGATTTCATCATGTTGCCCAGGCTGGTCTCGAACTCCTGACCTCAGGTGATCCACCCGCCTCAGCCTCCAAAGTGCTGGGATTACAGGCGTGAGCCACCGTGCCCGGCTGCATAAAATATTTACTGTCTGATCTTACAGAAAAAGTCTGCCAATCTCTACTTGAAAGATAAGAAATGACAGCCATTTGGTTGGGTTCCACAGTCTGACAGGAGAGGAGGGCAGAGATGCAAAGGTGCTTTGCCTCAAGAGACCAGAGTAGTGAATCAAATTATGGGGCACAGAACCGTGGTATGGCTTGCCCTCTAAGTTGTATGGGCACAAAAGAAGGGATCTTGCCCTGGGTGCCAAGGCTCAGCCTGAACTCTGCCCTATACTTACTGTCCCCCAGGATCAGTTCCACCTCCTCATCTGCATCAGAGTCTTCATCCTCCCCGTCCTCTCCCTCCTCTAGAAGGTTTGCTAGCTCCTCATCAGAGGGAGAGAAGTCATTGTCCCCATCTTCCCCTGCGTTCTCATTATTGTCGTCCTCCTCCAACTCCGCCTCCAGCAACTGGTCAGTGTCAAGCTCATCTAAATCATCGGTGTCATCATCATCTTCATCATCATCTTCTTCCTCCTGTTCTTCCTCTTCCTGGTAAGAAAGCGTAATGTTCATTAGTACAAACACAGAGGCCTGACCCATGGGGGCCACATGGCGGGTCGACCAAAGAGACAGGGTAGGAAACTGTCAGTAGAGGGTAGTAGTGATCTAGACGAGCACAGACTTCATGAGCCAGCCAGACTTGTCAGTGATGGCTGAGATAGGCACACATGTCCCTCAAGACGGTCAAAGCACCCCTCAGACAAGGATTAATGGTCACATAGCCCTTATGCAAGGAAACAGACAACTCGCTTCACAGAAGTCTCTGCCTTCAATATTCTAGGAGCCCAAGGGGACTCTTCTTTCTCACCTGCATCAACCAAAGCAAGTGAAATCAGCTGAGACACTAGAAAAAATCCTTTTACCTGGAATCTAAAATGCAATGCTTTAACAAAATGGAAGAACACAACTGCTCATTATCTCCTCAGCCCTTCAAGCTCTTGCCCTTGATCTTCTAACCAAGAATGTGGATAAGCTCCTAACTATGCTATCACAAACATTTGATCAGAACAACATTGCAACAAAAGACTTAAAATATAGAACACTAACAGAAACCCATATTTCCTGTCATAAGCCAAAAAGAAAAAAAAGTATGCTGGAGAAACTATCTTTCTTTCCATTCTTACAAGAACTTGCAAAGGCAAGAAAATTACCAGAACATCAATGAAATACTTTGTTCTAGGGACTCTGGGCTTTGTAAATGGTACATTCTGGCATCTGCCACAGATTTCAGGTTTGCATTAGAATCCCAACTGTTTCCCTTCAAAAGGGAGAGGACACAAAGATACCTCTTTGCTTTGACAGGGATAAGAGGCATTTCCAAGTAAACGTAGCTGCCACTCAAGACACTTATCTTTCTGCTCAAACATCAACTGTCAGCCTTGCCAATAGCAAAGGATTCTAATTGTTACAATAATAAAATGTAAAATTCATTTAATACATCAACCTAATGAAATTCAAGATGGAATAAGCCCAACGTAAGCACAAAAAAATTTTTTTTGTTCTTATTATTTTAAAACTTATACTCAGTGGTTACATCTTTTTTCATTTTGAAGGTGTTATTGCCTGCCAAGCACTTAAAAAACAAGCATTTTGTGCTTACCCAGCCACTAGAAACCAGTGTGTAACATAAGCTAGGATCATTCAGCAGGGTAGCTCCGCTTTGTGGACTTCTGGTAATTTTGGAACCACCATTAGTGACTTTTTGATAAACTGTGTAATTCAGTAATTTAGACTCTTCAAAATTTCTGCCAGTTATGTTGGAAAAACTGAGCCCCTTTTAAATACCTAGTACTCCTAATACTTGTGCAAGTGCGTGTATGGTCTGTACCAGATTCGGTGGGAGCATTTGTGTATGTGCCAACACACACACACATAGAAGGCCTGAGACTATTCCAAAGCCTTGGCCACACATCCCCTCCAGAGGTGAGTGGATAAATAACTACTAAGCATTCACCCGCCTCAAAGGAACTATGAGTGTCTGGAGTCAACAATGATAAACTGAAACACAGACAGGCTCTCAGCCCCTACAAGCACATAAGCTCATACAAATAACTGGGAAAGGAGAGCGGGGTCAAAATTCAGGGGATATCATCCAAGTGCTTACCAGATTACAACTTTTGCCTCTTTTTCCAGGCGTATTTTCATAGACTTGACCAAAATTAGCTAATCCACTAACAAAGTGCCACAGTTAAAAATAAGTAAGGAAGAAAGTACCCAGGGCCCTGTGTCTTAAGGCTTCGTGGACAGAACACTTATATTTAAAATTTAAGATAGCACAACTAAAGGTCCACGGTTGAGTGTGTACATGAAAGGTTAAACTGCTCAAATAGGCATGGGCTAGCCAGAAAATTCATGAAGACAATTCTCTTTCATTTTGAAGAACATTGAGGCTTAGCTGATCTAGAAGAACTGAACAAAAAGCTTCCATATCAAGAGCAATCCTGGAATATTTTCAAGCAGGGTCTAAGCTTTGAACTAGATACCATTCCAAACTCTTCCAGCAGCAGACAAACCCAAATTTTACTTAATTTTATAGCAGAAGAAACAGATGTATATATATTCATCCCAGAAGGCCACAAACACATATGTGACCATGAGAGAGAGGAGGGGAAATTAGTAGGAAAGAGATCTACCTGAATCTCAAGTTGAGCACCTCACTTTGTCGTCTCTACTTTGTATTTAATGCCCAATGCTGATTTCTCACCATGCATTTTGTCACACATGGACATAGCCATAAACTCACTTTCCAAATTTTAAATCTGAAACTGGGATCATGAAGCAGAGGCTCACAAGACTCATCCAAAATGCTGTGGCAGAACCCAAAAGAGATTCTAGGAAGCAATTTTAGGTGCATTCTCTGCTGGTCAAGTAACTGGTGGCATGAACCCCTCTCCTTCAGATCTAAAGAATAAAGCTTCCAATAATGAGTGGTCCAAAAAGTAAAAACTAAAAATAATTATTTAATGAAAAAGCAAAGCTTAGCTGGGCACAACGGCACACACCTGTAGTCCCAGCTACTCAGGAAGCTGAGGCAGGAGGATCACTTGAACCCAGGAATTCAAGGCTACATTGAACTACGATTGTGCCACTGCACTCCAGCCTGGGCAACAGAGTGAGATCCCATTTCTTTGAAAACAAAAACAAAAACAAAAACAGGCCGGGCGTGGTGGCTCACACCTGTAATCCCAACACTTTGGGAGGCTGAGGCGGGCAGATCACGAGGTAAGGAGATCAAGACCATCCCGGCTAACACAGTGAAACCCCGTCTCTATTAAAAATACAAAAAATTTGCTGGGTGTGGTGATGGGCACCTGTAGTCCCAGCTACTCTGGAGGCTGAGGCAGGAGAATGGCATGAACCCAGGAGGCGGAGCTTGCAGTGAGCCGAGATCGCGCCACTGCACTCCAACCTGGACAACAGAGCAAGACTCTGTCTCAAAAAAAAAAAAAAAAAAAAAAACCAAATTTTTCTAGAATCCTGACTCAACTCTGACAACATTTAGAAAATGTTTTGGATCCAGGGATATTGTTTTTTTTTTTAATTCTCTAAGACTTCTTTTAGGGCTTAGAGGAATTCAGGGCCAGGCCATTTTAAATTAAGGTACTAATAAATTTCTCTACAGAAAGAATTCTAAAACTCTTCTCTCCTTAATTCCACCTACATCAATTTCATGGTTACCCAAAGCCCCCAAACCCTGCAGATAAACAACTCACCCCTTTCCTTTACAGAAAATAGGTCAACTGGCATAAGCTCCCTCCGCTGCTCTCTGGTCCCCTCTACATCTAAACCTGGCTTCAGCCCTGGTCTGAGGAGGAAGCATGCTACCCACTCCTGCTCTGGATCTCAACCAACCCTGAGACCCTGTTACCACAGACACTTTTCTCATCCCCACCTCACCACCACCTTCACACTGGCTTCTCACTTTCTATGCCAAGAGGTTCAGTTCTCCCAAACCTAATAAGCTCTCCATCTACATAGGCTTCAGATGCCTTTTACCTACACTTTGGCTGGGCGCAGTGGCTCACACCTGTAATCCCAGCACTTTGGGAGGCCAAGGCGGGTGGATCACCTGAGGTCAGGAGTTCGAGACCAGCCTGGGCAACAGGGTGAAACCTCGTCTCTACTAAAATACAAAATTAGTCGGGTGTGGTGGCACATGCCTTTAGTCCCAGCTACTTGGGAGGCTGAGACAGAAGAATTGCTTGAACCTAGGAGGCGGAAGCCTGGGCGAGACAGAGTGAGACTCCATCTCAAAAAAAAAAAAAAAAAAAAACAACAACAAAACCGTCATTCAAATCTGATCCTGACCTTTATGTAACATGTCATATTTTGCTAAATGTATAAATGCCTACTTTTTAAAAAATACTTTTTCTGTCCTTAAAGGCTATAGGTTCACTTTAGGGTCATAAATGTTTGTTTTTCTTTCCTCAATGGCAGAATCTAACTCAAGTTACATTTCAATTCTTTAAGAAAATGAGGCCTTTCAGGAATCAACACATTCAGCTCTGACCAGGTGTGTGTAATCAGTAAAGACTCTTAACATCCGCTTCTAGGCAGTGGAGAACACACAGGAAGCACAGCACACAGTGTGTCCCAGACTCCAAAATGGAGTGGAAAACAGAGAGCATTATTCCTTTGTTGAGTTTTTTATTATAAATTTAAGGTTAAGTATAATTAGCTAAAATGTATTGGCTTGTCAAAATCTAGGAGCAATGATCAATTACTTATCTTGGGTTTTGTAACTTTTCTAAAAGTCAAATCAAAGATGAATGAACTGATTTCTAAAAACACAGGCACCAGGTTGGGCGCGGTGGCTCATGCCTATAATCCCAGCACTTTGGGAGGCCGAGGTGGGCGGATCACCTGAGGTCAGGAGTTCGAGATCAGCCTGGCTAACATGGTGAAACCCCATCTCTACTAAAAATACAGAATTGGCCGGTTGTGGTGGCAGGCGCCTACAATCCCAGCTACTCAGGGAGGCTGAGGCAGATTTGCCTGAACCTGGGAGGTGGAGGTTGCAGTGAGCCAAGATCGCAACACTGCGCTCCAGCCTGGGTGACAGGGCGAGACTCCATCTCAAAAAAAAAAAAAAAAAAAAAAAAACAACCAGATACCAAACTTCTAATGGATAATAATGAGCTGTGATAGGTGACTAGCTTATCTCTGCTTTCATCAAATGCCTGAAGGCAGGCAGACTAGCAGCCTCAGGAACCAAATATTTATGGGTGTCCAATACATTGTTTAGGTTTTCATTCATCTAGATACAGCTAGCTGTACCTTTCATCCTTTCCTCTTAATCTCCAAGCTTATTTAAGCATAAGGACAAAGGACAAATATTTTATGGCATGTCAATTATATCTCGATAAAGCTCTTTATGCTGGACCATTTTATTAGATGACGGCTGACCATTCAGGCTTCTGAATTTATTTTGCTATAATGAAAAGGCAAATTCAAAGGTGTTGGTCACAGGTGCCTGTATCCCTGAGCCACATAAGTCATATCTGGAACATCTGAGAAGACCTGAGAACAGATATCTAGACTAGGACAAAACTTTGAATAGCAAATGATTCATAGGAAAATGAAAAGTCTCTAGTTTTAAAATCAGGTGAAGCGTACAAAGCAAAGTAAAACTAGAGACTGGTTTTCCTACAAAGGAAAGTGAGTTTAAAAAAAATTCAAGCTGGCACACTGTGCATGAGAGGCAGTAGGCAGAAATCTGATGGAGATAGTAAAAACAGCCAAACTCCACCACAAGATTCTAGAAGGAGCATGGATCAACAGAATTAAGGTTACAAAAGAGACCTACTCAAATAGATACGGTATTATCCCGTATCTCTAAATCAAACATCTCTAAATCAAAAATCAAAATGCCAAGGGCTTGAGGGGATAAGCAGTTCTCTAACAGAGGTCCTTCAAACATGAAATGCACCAGATGATCAATAAAAGCTGTAATATCAGTATGGAGTGAAACATGCCTAGATCCTAAGAAATCTGGAAGCCACAGTAATAACTTAGCCATGTTGCACACCTACCCTGCCACCTAGTCTTCTCTGAGCTAGAAAGCTTTCCGGCTCTTCTACAGGCTGGGCTCCAGAGCCACTCCTTAGAGCCCTCTTGACCCTGCCCCTCTCACTCTTGGCTGTCACGCTGAGGCAGCCTCTTGCTTTCCTTCCTGCATCCAAGTCAAAAGTCCTGACCACTACCATATGCCCTTCCTAATCTCTTTCTCCCTTAACTTCTCAGAAGTTAAGCAGGACAAAAGAAGAAGAATTAGTCAGTCTTTTCCCTGACCCAAGCCTTCCTGGAGAGAGTGGGATAAGAGGAGTATAACTCTTAAATTATTCCCTTATGGTGGCCTCTCGCTTCCACAGCCAGCCACCAACCTCCAGTGCCTTTGCCTCTCACCACTCCATGTCTGCAAGAATAAGGCGAACCCAGAGAATAGCCTTCCAACTCCCAAGGTGTCTAGGGCAATCTCAACTTTCCTCTGAGTTGACCTCCCCCTCAAAGACAGACACCAGGCATCACATGGACCCAGGTGATGGTTCCCAGAGAAGACTGCCGCCCACTGCCTTATTAAATGCACGGATATGGGAGGGCTGGGATAATGATGTTGACAAACAATCCAGTTTTGGCCTCAGATTTATGCTTCAACATGTAACATCCAAGAAGCCTGATTCAGAACTGATACTTGGTAGTGATGAATAAACCCACGGAGGACAAAGCAGTCGACAGCCACCCATACCATTGTAATGTACGCGCAAATGGCCTGACAACTGCACCCTCTGTATGGACTCAAGAATAAACTACATCTTGTTTCATGATAGCTAATGTGAAAAAGTAGGCATTAAGGGAGTGAGGTGTCTAAGGTAGCAAACTGAAGTGAGAATAAAAGAACAGGCAGTATTAAGAAACCCACTCAAGGCAACCACATGAAATTTGGAGGACCTAATACCAAGCTCTGCTACCCAGAAAGACTAGAAACATGTACAAGCTGTAACAGCACAGCACTCAAGAAAACACTAAAATCCATGTCACAAATAAATCAAAGATTTCAAGTATCCACTGGAAAACCTCTCCCTTCTACCCATATCTCATAACTCACATGAGCTTTAGACACTGCTGGCTCCTCTCACCCATGAAACCAAGGCCCCTATAGAGCCCATATAGCTGGAAAGCAGTAAAGGAAAGCCTTTCTACACTAGCAGATCCTTGGCAGCATTTGGTGAAGTTGTTTCAAACTCTACAGCCTAATTATCCTTTACCAGGCCCTGAGGAAGGCTCTGCTCTGATCCCACCATGGCCACCAGCTGCCCACCACACAAGAGTCTCCTCACTCTGCTCAGAAGCCCATTTCTGCAGATCACGAATCATCTCGGGCCTCTAATAAAATGCATGCTTAGACAGTCAAAACAGTGAAGACCAAGAGAGCACACACAGGGGATTTTAGGTTGAGTCTCTGTTCTAGCTTTTTTACCCAGGTGTATCTGATCCAGGTATACTGTGTCATCTTTGATGTACAGGTGATGCAGTATTCAAAGGATTTGATTTACAGAACAAATGATATGCTCATATCCTGTAATGGCCAACAGTAAAACACATAGCTAAATCTCAACAAAACACTCTTGCTTAGTCAGTACTAAGTCCCATTAGAGAAAAACATGGGTCCTTTGCCCTAGTATTAGACTTACATCCTTACAAAATTACCATTTTCAAATATTACCATTTTCAAAAATTCTTGCTTTTAAAGAATTATTTTAAATGTAAGTACAAGCTGTTTTGAAAGGACGCTAAGAGAAAGCTATTACATTAGCCCTAACCATTGAGCATGATTTATCAAAAAGTAGGGAAGGATGAGGGCAAGAGAGCTGTGGCAATGCAAACTGAGGGAAGTGTACTTTCCCCGGTCCTGTGATGCCACTGCTTCTCATCCAGAGCACCTCTGTGCCCTTAAAGAGGAGACAAAGCTGGCTGGGCGTGGTGGCTCATGCCTGTAATCCCAGCACTTTGGGAGGCTGAGGCGGGTGGATCACCTGAGGTCAGGAGTTCCAGACCAGCCTGGCCAACATTGTGAAACCCCATCTCTACTAAAAAAAATACAAAAATTAGCTGGGCATAGTGACATGTGCCTGTAATCCCAGCTACTCAGGAGGCTGAGGCAGGAGAATTGCTTGAACCCCAGAGGTGGAGGTTGCAGTGAGCCGAGATCGTGCCATTACACTCCAGCCTGGGTGACAAGAGCAGAACTCCATCTCAGAAAAAAAAAAAAAAAAAAGAGAGACAAAGCACCAAGACTAAAGAATACGATAGTAGGGGGAAACAGAAATGAACCCAAGAACTGGGGAAGAAAACATTTTTAGCTGCTTTAATATCTGAAGAGCAAAGTCAAATCCTAGTCATTCATTTTCAACTTTACAGTACTCACTCAGCAATAAATATTTCTCAGAAAATTAGACAAAAGAATCTGCCCTGGAGAATGTACTCTTGGAAAGAGAATGTGCTGTGAGCCCTGTAGGCTGGAAAAAATCTGCTGAAACTCAGAAGTTTGAGAAACTCTTCAGAACCCATACTGACACACCACACAGGCAAGCACCTAGCGTAATACAACCACAAATTAAAATTCCCTATGAAAGCAAAATGCAAAGACTGAGGGACATGATACTATCTACCCACATTTTATATATGTTTAATTTCTCAAAAGTATCAAAATCTTATCTTACCTATAAGTTCAACTCTTACCCTAATAATAGACTATGCCATAAAACTGAGAAAATATAAACCAGAACTTTATAAAGGTTAAGCCATTTCTACAGTCCATCTCAGCAAAGTGATTGTTCTGTTTTTTATTGACATTGGGAGATGCTTATCTGAAGCCAGAACGGGGCACAAAGAAATCTCTGAATGAAAATCAGAGATTGCCAGGATGAGTGCGGTGGCTCATGCTTATACTCCACGCACTCTGAGAGGCCGACGTGGGCAGATCATCTGAGGTCAGGAGGTTCGAGACCAGCCTGGCCAACACGGTGAAACCCCGTCTCTACTAAAAATACACAAAAAATAGCCAGGCGTGGTGGTGGGCACCTGTAATCCCAGCTACTTGGGAGGCTGAGGCAGGAGAATCACTTGAACCCAGGAGGCAGAGACTGCAGTGAGCCGAGATCATGACATTTCCAGCCTCGGCGACAAGAGCAAAACTCCATTCTAAAAAAAAAAAAAAAAAAAAAAAAAAAGCAGAGATTGCTAAGCTTTAAATTGCTCTGCAAATGGAATTCACGGGATCATCAGGTACTGGTTAAAATCTTATAATAAAATTTCTTCTGAGTTTCAGTGATCAAGGGTACATGACAAGCCTTATGAATGTGGCAACAGGTAGCAAAGGTTGAGTAGACCTTTAAAACCTCCTACAGCAAAAAGCAGAGCATAACCTCTATTAAGCACTGTTCAGCAGAAAGAAATCTCAAAGACCACTGACCTGGTCCTCCTCTTCATCCTCATCCTCTGCCAGACGCTGCCTGCCCACTTCATACAGCCTGCATACTGTGTCCATGTTCAGGGCATCCATGCTGCCTTGATTCTGAAATAGAACATCCAGTCCATAAGGAGCAGTTACTTTTCAGAAGGTCCACATCCACGCCTCAGCCCTGACTGGTGCCCATGACCTTGACCCTGTAATTATTAAAGCTTCTGATACCCGAAATTCTTGAGCTGACTATGAAAATGTTATACCTAGGACACATAAAGGGGAAGAAAAACAGAATGAAAAGACTTGGTGAGGAACCATCACCCTTGGAACAAACCAGTCTTGCTCTGGTGAGAGATCCAGATTCCTCTGAGAAAGGGATGACAGTGTGAGTCCAGAAAAAAAGGAGACAGGATCCTCTAAGCTGTCTTATATTGGGATTTTCTTACTATTTCTCTTTGTACTGTACATCTCCCAAGCCCCATCAAATGAATAGGTTATCAATAATCTACCTTCAGGAATGTATTGACTTTACATCTTATATCAGACAAAATGTCTGTAGTACAACTTGAAAATTATCCTAAACATCAGAACAAAAGAGCAGGGCCTCTGCAAGCTCCCTTTACCTCAATGACAGCAAGATAGCAGTCTTTGGTGTCTGTACACAGGTCAAAGATGTTCCGTTTCACATCAATGGTTGCTGGAAAATAGAATGTGAGAAGATTGGGATTGGACTATTGCTGTGACCCTAAAACCTGCTTTTCCTCTAAAGGAATTCAGGATGATTGCTCAAAAGTATTTCCATAACTTCTCTGTTTTTCAATAAAAAATTACAGGCCTCCAGAAAATGAAGGATCTTAAATAAGGAACACCAAAACACGACAAAATGTTCAATGTCTGTCCCTTTCTGCTTACCTATAGGTTTGTAGTCAGTTGCATTAAATGTTCGGAAGGATGACCCAAAGGGGCTTTTCATCCTCTCTTCCATTAAGTCATCTTCATCATCTGCCTGCAACATAGCTTGAGGGGGAGTGGGGGAGGAAACACTATTAGGAATCACAAACATCCCCTCTTCACAAGTGCAGAAAATGTTAATGGCCAATCAAAACAATCTACTTGCATATAGGTTTACATACAAATTCCCTTGTACAGAAATCTACTCTGCATCTAGTTAGCTCCTCTCAGAGCATCTTCCTTGCATATCCCACCTATTGTGACAAATAATATCCTCAGCCTCTCATCTACCTCCAAGAAGTGTTACTGTACTTACAAGGCTTATAACAACACAAGAGGACAAATGCAAAAGCTCTTAAGTTCATAATGATACACTGGAAAATACTGCATGAAATTTCTTTCCATACAAGATTTCCTTGTTATCTTCAAAGTAAGCTGCCTTTCACCCTAAACCAACATTATTTTCATATCTTTTGTCACCATTCATACTATCAATTTTTTATCTTTTATGTTACAACTCTCAAATGCTTTCCAATTCACAAGTGAGAGATGGTTCCAAAAAGAAGTATCAAATTAAGTGAAGGGGTAGAGCAAAAGGAAAGAGAATAATGAAGGATAAGGTTTATTACCTCCATACATCACTGTTCCCGTGTGATTGAACACCACGCGACACTGATCCAGAGCGGGAACAGTATGCAAAAGATGAAAAGTTCGAAGGTCCCACTAGGAGGGGAATGGTCAAGGAAAACTATTTTACACAAAACTTATCTAATCTCATGGGAGGAAATTCTAAAATATCACTTTTTTTCCTCCTGCCAGGTATTGATACTTTAAAAGTCAATGAGATCAAGGTAAAACAAATACATGTAGAATGCATATTATTGAATGATGTCTCTGAAAATATCCTAGGGTATCCTCATATACAGGAATGCTTTATGAGCTCTTTTCCTCCCAACAGTAGTACTTCATTTTCCTCTTATGTGGCAACTGATTTTTTACAGAGCAAAAGTAAAATCCTTCTGAAGACAGATAAAAGCTAATTCAATTCTTGGAGAACTGGGAGGTAGGAAACTGGTCACTCTTACCAAATACATAGAAAACATGCTAGTGAAAGTTGTCAGTAATTACTAACATTGGCAACAGTGCTTTGGAGATTTCACTAACATTTCAAACCAAAGGACAGGCACCATATTATTACCAGTGTGGACACTTTAACCAGGTATTGGTATAAAGATAGAACAAATTATTTCTGCACCACAAACCAGACAACAAATGGAAGGTAAGACATGAGTATAAAGGATACAATCTCAGTATTAATGATCACCTCCAGTCCATTTGGATGGAAAACACCACTGATGTTCATATTGAACTTGTCAAACTTGTGGATGGCCTGTGCAGAGCGGACATCCCAGAGGACGCCATCATTTAAGACAAGATCATCTGTAGGATTAAAGGTGGCACAGTTCCTCTTGTAGTTGTTGGCAAGATCTGGGTTAAACAGAGTCAACAGCTTGTTGCCAGTCTGAATATCATAAATCTTTAGAGAAGAAGGGATGGGAAGAGAAAAATCAGACCAATCCATCCACTGACAAATTAAAGAGAAAATGTGCAAAGCAGTTTCTAAAATTAACACACAAATTCTCCACATGGATCAATGATTACCACAGAATACTGCCTCCCAAAGTGCTGGGATTACAGGCGTGAGCCACCGCACCCGGCCAGGCACCTCTTTTTCTCGGGGTTCCATTCTGCCTTACTGGCCATTATATTTGATTTCCTTCCCAAGTTCCTCATTTGGCAACTCCTAAACACATGCCAGGGTTCTATACCCACAACTCTTCTCTAGTCCCCTTGATGATCTCATATAAGTTCATGGCTGTAAATACTATCAGCTGGGGACAGTGACTCATGCCTGCAATGCCAACATTTTGGGACACCAAGAAAAGTGGATCACTTGAGCCCAGGAGTTCGAGACCAGCCTGGGCAACGTTGGGGAAATGCCGTCTCTACAAAAATACAAAAAAATTAGCCAGGTGTGATGGTGCTCGCCTGTAGTCCCAGCTACTCAGGAGGCTGAGGTAAGAGGATTGCTTGAGTCCAGGCAGTCAAGGCTGTGGTGAGCTGTGATCGTGCCACTGCACTGCAGCCTGGGTGACAGAACAAGACCCTGTCTCAAAAATAAATAAATAAATAAATACTGTCAATATGTGGACAAGTCCCATATTTATATTTCCCAACCCACACCTCTCTCTTGAACTCCCAATTTTTTGTTGTTTTTATTTTCAGAGACAGGGTCTCACTTGGTTACTCAGGCTGGAGTACAGTGACATAATCATAGCTCACAGCAGCCTCCAACTCATGGGCTCAAGCAACCCTCCCGTCTCAGCTTCCTGAGTAGCTGGGACTATAGGTCCCAAGCCCACCAAGCTCAGCCAATTTTGTTTATTTTTTGTAGAGATGGGGGGAGTCTCTCTATGTTGCCCAGGCTGGTCTCGAACTCCTGGCCTCCCACCTCAGCCTCCCAAAGTGCTGGGATTACAGGCAGAAGCCACTAAGTCTGGCCAGCTCCCAACTTTTGTATTCAATCCCCATTCTCTACTTGAATGTCTAAGAGAATCTCAAATTTCATGTGTCCAAAATCCCAGGGCCAAGGTCCTCCATTTCTCATAGCCTCTACCATGCCTACCCAGGCCCAAACCCACAGCTCCTCTCATGTGTCAGGTGGTACAACACCCTCTGACCTGGAAGGCTGCTCTTGCTTCTCTCACAAAAACCAGAGTCACACTTCAGGAACTTTACATCCACTCATGTATCCTCTACTCACCCACCAGTGTCTTCATCTCACTCAAAAAAAAAGCTAAAGGCCCTAACTACCACCTACAAGATGCTACCAGATACAGGCCCCTCACTGACCTCAGCTCTCCTCCCACCTCCCAAGCAAGGGCTTTTCCCTTGCCATTTCCTGTGCCTTACGCTGTTCCTCCAGGTATCTTCCTGAATCTCGCGTTTCCTTCAAGGCTCTGCTTAAACATTACCCCATCAGTGATGCTGTCTACCCTAGATAAAAGAGAAGTCCCCCACACCACCACCAAGCATTTCCTACCTCTTACCCTGCTTTCATTTTCTCTGAAACACTTACCACCTAAATTTACCGTATATTTGCTTCTTTATTGTCTCCCCAATGAGGGTCCATAAAGGCAGGGGTTTCATTTCTAATCTAAAACTTACTAAGAATTCAAAAATATCTGTGGTGCTAATGACATCTTTCTCAATGTCACATTTAGCCCTTATACATTTTTCCCATACAGCTCAGAACTATATTATCATACTTTTAGATTCTAACTAGAAGGAATATCACTGATTTCTAGTTGCCCAAAGGACTTAGGTCCTCACATTCTATCAAGAAGATTTCAGTATGAACAAATGGGTATGATCAGCTTGAAAACAGTGGTTCTTAAGTACTTACGTGGGCAATGTCTCCTTTTGTGCCGATGACCCGATCCTGGGAGTGCTTACTGAACTCAACATAGTGATCTTCTGTGAAGGAATGCCTATGGACAAACAACAGGAGCACTGAAGTGACAGATCTTCAGGACATATTCCTGCAACCAACTGAAACACAGGTGACCCCCAGCCTCTTGCACAATCACACTCACCTAAAGATCCTGGACTCCCAAAGAGGAAACAATCATACACTTAGATTACAAAGAAAATTCCTTCTATCACCTTAACCAAGCAGATACAAAATAATGAATGGGAATTCCTTAGAGAAATGACAAACAGGGCACATGTGCCTTTGAAACACGCAGCAAAGGGGCCAGGCATGGTAGCTCACTCCTACAATCCCAGCACTTTGAGAGGCTGAGGCAGGTGGATTGTCTAAGCTCAGGAGTTCGAGACCACCCTGGGCAACATGTCGAAACCCTATCTCTATCAAAAATGCAAAAAATTAGCCAGGCGTGGTGGCATATGCCTGTGGTCCCAGCTACTCAGCAGGCTGAGATGAGAGGATCACTTGAGCCTGGGAGGTGGAGGTTGCAGTAGGTCATGTTTGTGCCACCGCACTCCAACCTAAGTGACAGAATGAGACCCCGTCTAAAGAAGGAAAGAAAAGAAAAGGCCAGGTGCGGTGGCTCAGGCCTGTAATCCCAGCACTTTGGGAGGCCAAGGCCAGCGGATCACAAGGTCAGGAGATCAACACCATCCTGGCTAACACAGTGAAACGCTGTCTCTACTAAAAATATAAAATATTAGCCAGGTGTGGTGGCGGGCGCCTCTAGTCCCAGCTGCTCGGGAGGCTAAGGCAGGAGAACGGTGTGAACCCGGGAGGCGGAGCTTGCAGTAGGCTGAGATCGCGCCACTGCACTCCAGCCTGGGCGACAGAACGAGACTCTGTCTCACAAAAAATAAAAAAAAGAAAAAAAAAAGGAAAGGAAAGGAAAGGAGAGGAGAAGAGAGGAGAGAGAAAAGGAGGGGAGGTGAGGGGGGAGGGGAGGGGAGAGGAGAGGAGAGGAGACACAGCAAAGACTGCAATGTCCTATGTGAACATGGGAAAATACATAGATTCTGGGTCGGGGTCTGCTGCATAATGAGAATGTATATACCTCATAAAAGTATCTAGGAATTAAGAAAGATAAAGTCTTATTAAACATGAGTCTTAGATGAGGAAGAGAGAAGTTAACAATAACCGACAGCATCCTCTTTCCCCAAAAGGCTTCCAGTCTAAGAACCAAATGAAGGGGGGTATAAACTAGGTAAATAAAGCACAGACTAGGTTCCAAAAGCAGATACATACTTCATATCAAATACTGACTTCATTCCCCAAAGTGCAGACAAAGGCTGGCTCCAAGTAGCAGATGTCAGCAGCAAGGACCCATCCTAAAAGAAAAAGGCGCAAGGTGGGTAACCACGTATTTACATACATGCAGATGTCACTACCTGCCATTAGCATTTTTAAAGATTTGCATAAAAATGTTGTTGAATTAAAGAGACAATTTTATAATCCCCAGAAACCAAGAAATGGTCAGAAGCCACTAGGATTTGAATACATACACCTATAGTGTCCTATAAAATAACCAAACTTAAGAGAATATTAAATCCTACTGAACTAGCCACAAAAATAGAATAGATAAAAGGGAGGGGGGAAAATGAGAAGATGTCAAAGATGGTTCCTTTCTTCCTACTAACTTTGCCATATTCCTCAGTCTCCATCTGAAATATGAATTAACCTCAACTAGACTTTCCAGTTGAGGACTCATTTAAAAGAGAGAGCTCAATAAAGGGTAAGCCTCCTTTACTCTAGTTCACCAATTCATCTTGGAAGAATGACTGAGAGCATCCTAGGAAGGAACCCTTACCCTGGAAGGTTCAAGATGTGTGATGGCTGAGTTGTGACAGTTATAGCTGGCCTCCTCCTGTCCACTAAACACATTATAGAGCTTCAGCTGCCCTGTGCAGGTGCCAAGCATCAGGAACCGCTCCCGTGCTGAGAATGCACAGCAGGTGAAGCCACTCTCATCTTCATTGGCTTCCCGGAACACTGAAATAGGACGGAATCTAAGCAAAAAAAAGAGAGAATCACAGGCAAAGAATGTGCAGGGACTCAGAAAAAGCAAACTGCTAGGATAGAAGAAAAAGCACAGAACATTAATGTTTCAAATGGCTTCTTCCAAAATCACAGTGACCTTCAGTGCTTTTTATTTTAAATAAGAAAAAGATTTCCACTTACAAATTTAAATAACAAAAATTCCCATGTTTAGGCCAGACACAGTGGCTCATGCCTATAATCCTAGCACTTTGGGAGGCCGAAGGGGGGGTATCAATTGAGGTCAGGAATTCAAGACCAGCCTGGCCAACATGGTAAAACCCCATCTCTACTAAAAATGCAAAAATTAGCTAGATATGGTGGTGCCTGCCTGTAATCCCAGCTACTCAGGAGGCTGAGGCAGGAGAATCACTCGAACCTAGGAGGCAGAGGTTGCAGTGAGCCAAGATAGCACCACTGTACTCCAGCCTGGGCGATAGAGAGACTCCGTCTCCAAAAAAAAAAAAAATTCCCATGTTTAAAACCTGTGATCCCGTAACCTTTATGTAAGATTTGTCAAGAATCAGAACAGGAAGCAACTTGCACCAGCACAAGTTTGGGAGCCTCCTTATGGACAGTAGTAATGAGGGGGTGTGGGTTCTAGAAAACATACTAGTTGAGATGAGAACACAAACGATTATATCAATATACTGCCAACAATCACACAAGGAACCCATGGTTGACAAAAGGTGGTACAATTACATTGTTCAAGTATTACACAAAGTAACAATCAGTGGTATTTCAGGACAACTATGCTGATACTGCCCAGTTTGATTTAAATAAAAGAATCATTCCAATTCCCAGGGAGTAAGAAGGGGCCTCTTCTTACCTGCTAAAGATAAGGTGCCTATCAAAGCATCCGCCATCCACCCCTCCATACTTTGGAAATGATGCCCTGCGGTTTAGCCTTGACGTAAAGTTTATTGGCGCTTGCCGCCTCTGTTTTGGCTCAGGACATTGGTGAGGAGTAAAGAGGGAGAAAGGTGGGCAGGTGGCAACTGGATTCTTGCAGCGAGCATGTTGTTCTCTAAGATACTCTGTGATTATACTGTCCAGCGTAGGTGGGGAAGGAAGATGTCTGTCCAGCTGTTTTTTTATGGCTGGGCTTTGGCTGTAGGCACCATGGTCCGACTTCTGCCGCAACACTCTGATTTTCCTGCCATTGCAGGGTGATGGCCTCTCTCTGATAAAACTGATTCTACCAATCAAAGGGGAGTTGCCTGCATAAGATGGGCCGGGCAGAGCTAGCGGACCCTGGGGGGGCCGTGGCTGAGGATGAGCAGTAGGGGCAGAAGGCGCAGAGGCACCCACAGCAGCATGGCTGCCCAGACGAGTTGCAATGCCATTAGCGATACGAGGGGTTCGGGGTAGAGAGACAGGAGAAGCAGCAGCAGTGACTGGGGTAAAGGCAGAAGAATGGGAGGCAGCAGTCATGGGCAGGTCAGCCTCTTTTGTCAGCACGGTTGCTGTTTCTCCAAGCCCTTTAGAAATAAGATGGTTTCGTATCAACAAAAGCAGCTCTTTCTCAGGGAAGGAGATCCTTGACTGGGCAACAACATCTGCTTTCTGCAGTCGTGCTAGGGAAACATCAGTGCCAATGAGAAGTGGTTTTCCTGACACCCGTTCAATGAGTTCAGCAGCATACTTGCAGAACTTGACATGGTCACTGCGCTTGTCCTGCAGCACAGGCTCCTTCATCAGCTGCTGGATCTGGCAGCTGCTGAAAAGGGGCAGTTTACTGATGATCTGCCGGACAGTGCTACTGCGAGACAGGCCCACTAGGGCTTTGCAGGCCAGGGCCCGGATTTGGTCTGCATCTGTGATGGGCATCTTAATGGACAGTAAGGACAGGAGCACCTTGATGCCGTTGTTGGACTGAACCACATTCCACATCTTGGCCAGGGTGTGCTCACTGCTTTTAGGGTTCTGAGGCAGCTTTCTCCGAGGAGTACCAGAGATAAATTTACCAATACTGGATATTCGGTTATCTGGGCCACACACACAATTGATGATAATCTGAAGTGCTGACTTCTGAATTTCAGCATCATGGATGAAGAACTCACCCTCAGCCACTCCCAAAATAATGCTGATACCTAATGGGAAAAAAAATTATGTATTATTCACCATAAAACTAATGGCCAACTTCAATAGTTGTTCCAGAGTCAAAATTTGGTGTTCTACTCACTTTTACTTTAAAAAACTATATTACTTTTGTAAAAACTGCAAGGGTTTGTATAAAGTGCAGACAGTTCTACTACAATGTATTTTTATGGTATCTCATATGCAGTTATTAAATAGGGAAATCATGTCATAATTATGGAAAAGTAATCAAGGTTCATGTGCAATTTTTTCTGGTTTTATTATTTTTTTGAGGCAGAGTCTCGCTCTGTCGCCCAAGCTGGAGTGCAGTGGCGTGATCTTGGCTCACTGCAACCTCCGCCTCCCGAGTTCAAGTGATTCTCCTGCCTCATCCCTGCAAAGAGCTGGGATTACAGGCGCCTGTCACCACGCCCAGCTAATTTTTGTATTTTTAGTAGAGGTGGGGTTTCACCATGTTGGCCAGTCTGGTCTGGAACTCCTGACCTCAGGTGATCCACCCGCCTCGGCCTCCCAAAGTTTTGGGATTACAGGTGTGAGCCACTGTGCTCGACCTTTTCTGGTTTATTAATTTTAATACACTAAAACCTTAGGAACGGAGAAAGCCCTCGGTTGGGCTGCTACTGTGGAAGCAGAACCCTTTCCACTCTATTTTAAGAAAATTAAAAACCAAGTGCCTGTGTCTTAGTCCTATCCTGCATCTTGTCCCATCACACGACTTCCCATGCTCACCCCAGCAGTGCCCTGATCAGCCTTGCTCTTAATAAAGTATATTATCAAAGTATATTTTCCTTTTTTTATATATGTATGACGGTTTCTACCCATTTTGAGCTACCTGCCAATTACTGACTCAGGTTACAAAACTGCTTACTTTGTTGTTTTTTTTTCCCTTTAACTCCTGGAAAGCTGTGATGCTTAAGTTTTTTACTATCTGCCTCAACCCATTTTTCCCATGAACTTTATTTTTAGTGCAAGACTCTTCAGAGTGTGAGCTTTTCAGGAAAGCTATAATATACCATTATAGCAGAAATGCCAGTACCACTCAGAAAACCTGAGTTTACTAGCATGACTCCCTTACATCAAACTATCTGGTCCTACATTTGTATTTTTGTTTTTTGGTTTTTTTTTTTAAATTAGTTCCTGATCTGCTGAATGGTACTCCTTATAAAGGACAGACAAGGAGCCCCCCTCTACTACTTCTGTTCTAAAATCCAAAATTAGGTCAGGTAAGTAACCAAGACCAGAGTGGCAAAGAAAAAACAAATCCAGACCAAGAAACAACAAAAATGGCAAAGTACAACCTACCTACAGTAGAGACTGTAGATCCAGCCTCATCCAACACGTCCACTGATTCTGCCAACTGGAGCTGGATTTTTGGCACCACAGTAAGAATAGCCAGGACATCCAAAGCAAAGCGCACAGTGTCATTCCTGGACAGGAAGAATTAGTCAAAGGGAAATTAGAGTATAGCCACAAGAATCAAGAGAGACAGAGAGAGAGACACACAGACAGATAGACACATACACACAGAGACAATAAATCAGAAGCACTACCAGTGTGGCTCTATCTCAAGCTGTCGCATCAAGAGAGGATTTTATAGTCACCATGACATTACTTCCAAAAAATATAGCAATGGAATTTTTACCTATTAAACTTCTATGATAAAAAACATAGAATAATCCTGAATCCTTTCATCCTAGTGAAAACATATAGAGACACGTACTCTCAAAGTTTTGGTGAGAGTAGAAATTAGTACACTCTTTCCAGAAAGTAATCTGGAGGCCAGGCACGGTGGCTCAAGCCTATAATCCCAACACTTTAGGAGGCCAAGGTGGGAGGATCACTTGAACCCAGGAGTTTGAGACCAGAATGGGCAACATGGTTTTATCTTTTTCTATAAAAAAAAAATATAAGATATTAGCCGGGTGTGGTAGCACGTGCCTGTAGTCCCAGCTTCTCAGGAGGCTGAGGTGGGAGGATCACCTATGCCCAGGAAGTTGAGGCTGTGGTGAGCCGTGATTACACCACTGCACTCCAGTCTGGGCAACAGAGTGAGAGCCTGTCTCGAAAAACAAAAAAAAAGAAAAATGAAAAAAAAGAAGAAAAAGAAAGTAATCTGGAAATATGAAACAAGATTCTTAAAATGTTCATAAACCTTGTCCTAGAAATTTCACCTCTGACAATCTGTCCTAAAGAAATAATCAGGCCAGGGCCAGGCGTGGTCTCATGCCTGTAATCCTAGTGCTTTGGGAGGCTGAGGCGGGCAGATTGCCTGAGCTCAGGAGTTCAAGACTAGCCTGGGCAACATGGCCAAACCCTGTCACTACTAAAATAAAAATTAAAAAAATAAATTACCCAGGCTTAGTGGCGGGCGCCTGTAGTCCCAGCTACTCGGGAGGTTGAGGCAGGAGAATTGCTTGAACCCAGGAGGCGGAAGTTGCAGTGAGCTGAGATTGAGCCACCGCACTCCAGCTCGGGCCACAGAGAGAGACTCTGTCTCCACAAAAAAAAAAAAAGAAAAGAAAAAAGACTCAGGCCGGGTGCAGTGGCTCACGCCGGTAATCACAACAATTTGGGAGGCTGAGGCAGGCGGATGACCTGAGGTCAGGAATTCAAGACCAGCCTGGCCAACATGTTGAAACCCCATCTCTATTAAAAAATACAAAAACCAGCCAGGCATGGTGGTGGGCATCTGTAATCCCAGCTACTCAGGAGGCTGAGGCAGGAAGAACTGCTTGAATCTGGGAGGCAGAGGCTACAGTGAGCCAAGATCACACCACTGCACTCGAGCTTGGTCAACACAGTGAGACTCCGTTTCAAAAAAAAAAAAAAAAAGAAAGAAAGAAATAATCAGAAGAATTTATGTATTAAGATGTTCATTAGCCACATTAAAATAGCAAAAGAATGAGAAAACCCACATAGACAAGAGCACCATATGTGTTAGAGTATAGTACACTCATAAACTACAGCCATTGACAATCATTTTCAAAGAACCCTAAAGAATGAGGGAAAGGGTTCAAAATACAACATTAATGATATAAAAATAAAAAATGTAAGATATAAAATTAAAAATCTGACAATACCAAGTACTGGCAAGAAAGTAGAGAAATGTTGGATGTCTTTTGTAGTTAAAAAAGAAAAAACCGGCTGGGTGTGGTGGGAGACCAGGGCAGGTGGATCACGAGGTCAGGAGTTCAAGACCAGCCTGGCCAATATGGTGAAACCCTGTCTCTACTAAAAATACAAAAATTAGCTGGGCATGGTAGTGGGCGCCTGTAGTCCCAGTTACTCAGGAGGCTGAAGCAGGAGAATCGCTTGAACCCAGGAGGCGGAGGTTGCCATAAGCCGAGATTGCACCACTACTGCACTCCAGCCTGGGTGACAGAGCAAGACTCTGCCTCAAAAAAAAAAAAGAAAAAAAAAAGTAGAGAAATGAAAGCTCCTATATATTGCTGGTGGGGGATGACAATGGTATGAACATTTTTAGAAGCAATTTGGCAATATCCAATAAAGGTAAGAACACAGACACCCTACAAACCAGATGCTCTACATCATATCCTCAAGAGAGCCTCCAAAAGGAGGTTCATGATACCATTTATTTAATAGCCAAAAAAACCAAACAAAAACACTAAATTAGCCATCAATGGCAGAATAAACTGCAGTATAGAAATACAGCATTTTAAATAAATATCAACATATATAAATCTCAAGAATATAAGGGTAAAAAAAGCAAGCTGTGAAAGATGAACTTAGGAAAATATTTATAATTTAAAAACATGCAAAGCAGTATGACGTTATTATTTATGAACACACAGATATATATAGTATAAAAACATGAGTGGGGAGAATATGGTTCAAATTCAGAAGATGGGTGACTCTGGGGAGGCAGAAAAAGAACTGAGCCAAAAGCAAATACAACAACATGCCAATCCTGGTTAATGATGGAGCAGTTGTTAAACTATTCTCTGTGCCTTTCTATGTTTTGAAAATATTCATAAAAAAGATGAATTTGATTAAAAGTATAATATTAATTATGTGTATTTGCAAATATTACGTAGTGAATGCTAAGAGTAATTTTCTTTTCTCTTTAAAAGATTCTGCATATTCTAAAGCAGAAACATTTATTAATTTTATTTCTAAAAATAAATTTTTAAAATCAAGGACATATTTTTTCAATAATCCAAATACAGGCCGGACCGTGTTTCATGCCTATAATCCCAGCACATTGAGAGGCTGAGGCAGGCAGATCACTCAAGGCCAGGAGTTCGAGACCAGCCTGGCCAACATGGCAAAACCCCGTCTCTACTAAAAAATGCAAAAAGTAGCTGGGCTTGGTGGTGCGTGTCTGTAATCCCAGCTACTTCAGAGACTGAGGCACAAGAATCACTTGAACCTGGGAGGTGGAGGTTGGAGTGAGCCAAGATCCTGCCACTGCACTCCAGCCTGGGCAACAGAGCAAGACTCTGTCTCCAAAACCAACAAAAAAATAAATAAACACAGATGTACCAGTTTAAAAAATGTATTTATACCCTTTCTAGTTATCTTGTAAGCTGTCATCTTTTTTTTTTTTTTTTTTTTGGAGACAGAGTCTTGCTCTGTTGCCCCGGCTAAAGTGCAGTGGCACCATCTTGGCTCACTGCATTCTCTACCTCCTGGGCTCAAGCAATCCTCCCACCTCAGCGTCCCTAGTAGCTGGGACTACAGACATGCGGCAACACACCAGGCTAATTTTTTTTATTTTTGGTAGAGATGGGGTTTCACCATATTGCCCAGGCTGGTCTCGAACTCCTGATCTCAAGCAATCTGCCCGTCTCAGCCTCCCTAAGTGCTGGGATTACAGGTATGAACCACCACGCCTGGCCTATCATCACTTTTTAAACAATTCTCCAAATAAATATAATAACCTACTTTTCCAATATTCTAAAACAGCACTTCTCAAAGTATAGTCTGGAGACCTCTAGAAGTCTGAGACCCTTTCAGAAGGTCCTGTGAAGTCAAAGCTATTTTCGTAATAATAAGATGTCACTTTCCTTTTGCACTCTCATTCTCTCATTGCATAGTAAGAGAGTCTTCCAGAGATGATGTGATGTCACAAAAACTGAATACAGAAGCAGATATGAGATATTAGGCCAGACATTTTTTCAAACTTGCTAAAATTATCTGGTTTTATTTTGGAAATTTTTCATGAATAACGCAAACATGCAATGGGTTCACTTTTTTTTTTTTGAGATGAAGACTTGCTCTGTCGCCTAGGCTGGAGTACAGTGGCGTGATCTCAGCTCCCTGCAACCTCTGCCTCCTGGGTTCAATTGATTCTCCTGCCTCAGCCTCCCAGGTAGCTGGGACTACAGGTGCGTAACACCACCCCCGGCTAATTTTTCTATTTTTAGTAGAGATGGGGTTTCACCACATTGCCCAGGCTGGTCTCAAACTTCGGACCTCAAGTGATCTGCCCACCTCGTCCTTCCAAAGTGCTGAAATTACAAGCATGAGCCACTGTGCCTGGCCCACATTTTTAATGCATAAATATTTTTACATTTTCTGTTTTAATTTCTAATACTGATAGATATAACACAAAAACAAAAGCCTTTTAGAGTTCTCAGTAATTATTAATATGGTAAAGGTATCTTGAAACCAAAAAGTTTAATAACACCTGCTCCAAGAGTACCTTACAATATTTAAATGCTGGGATTTAACAAACTTACTATATTCCCCTAAATAAGCCCCTCTCTTATCTTTATGGCAGTGAGTGAATAGGAAAAGAAGGTCAAGCACTCTGTTTATAAACTTTTTTACTATCTTCTCTTAAGACCCCATCTTTTTCAAAACAGTTTTATTTCTTTTTATATCATCTTCAAATAGAACCTACCCAGTTTCCTGATTACATCAGCCACCCTTTTCTGGGCCTTGTCCTGCTCTGCCTTAAACTAATTTGTGAAAATCCTAACAGTATGTCGAATTCCAAGAGTAAAAGGACAATTTTATATGAACGTAATATAAACATTATATATGGTTGTCAAGTAGTAGCAAGACACTTTAAGTACTAAAGAATCCTGGACTCCAGGCTCAAGACAAGACTTTAACCCCAGCTCTGCAGCTGTGGCCGTGTAAATCATGTACCTTCTCCGACAGTACAGAGGCTAATCCTTGCCTATTATGCAAATTTTACAATCACCAAGACCATATATATGAACAAGTGTGCTGTAAATTAAAAATCATATTTTCATGCCTAATCTAATTTCTCAGATTCAAGTCCAAAATTTCAATTCAATTCAACAAATGTTTGTTAAGCATATACAATGTGCAAACCAACATCAACTTTAACAAAAAGATGCATCAAACTTCATTTGAAATCTCTCTCTGGTCCCACCTTGCATAATAGGTCTTCCAATTGCAGGCAATAGAAATAAGCTGCAACAAGAGTTGCACACAAGAAAGTTTGAGGAAAACTTCAGCTGGTTCCCAATATAGCTGCGCTGGGCCATATTCTATCAAAAATTCCATCATTTCCACAATCTGTTCATGAGTATATGAGCATGCCTATAAGGAGAGATATATAGTATTATTATTATATATAACTCTACATCTGCCTACTACCTCCTTGAGCACAGCTCACTGGCCAAGAGATTTTATTTTATTTACTTATTTCAAGACAGGGTCTCACTTTGCTGCCCAGGCTGGAGGGCAGTGGCTTGATCACGGCTCACTGTAGCCTCAATCTCCCAGGCTCAAGCTGCCCTCCTGTCTCAGCATCCCAAGTAGCTAGAACCACAGGCACATGCCACCACACCCAGCTAATTATTTTATTTTTTGTAGAGACAGGGTCTCATTTTGTTGCCCATGCTGGAGTGCAGTGGCATGATCATAGCTCACTGCAGCCCTGAACTCCTAGACTCAAGCGATCCTCCCACCTCAGCCTCCTCAAGTGCTGGAATTACAGGCATGAGCCACCATGCTTGGCCAAGGTTTTAATTATAAATTAAATAATAATACCTTTCAAATTCCACAATTCTTGAGTCAAAAGCCCATATGTGAAGTAATGACCATAGATTGCTTAATCTTTTATCTTATTTATAACTAGACTCACAATATGATTTGTCCAAAAAGATAACAAAAGTTTCCTTTGTGCATATAAGTTACAGCTTAAGAGAAAGAAGCATCATGTGACTGATTTCAATTTGTGACTTTTTTTTTTCTTGAGACTGGTTCTCACTCTGTTGCCCAGACTGGAGTGCCATAGCCCGATCACGTGCGGCCTCAAACCCCCAGACTCGAGTGACTCTCCCATCTCAGCCTCCCAAGTAGCTGACACAGGTGTACCACCATGCCCTTTTTTTTTTTTTTTTTTTTGAGACAGTCTCTGCCCAGACTGGAGTGCAGTGATATGATCGTAGCTCACTGCAGTCTTGAACTCCTGGGTTCAAATGATCCTCCCACCTCTGCCTCCCAAGTAGCTAGAACTACAGATGCACACCACAGGGCCCAGCCAATTTTTAAAATTTTTGTAAAGACAGGGTCTCACTATTGTTGCCCAGGCTGGTCTCAAGAAATCTGCTGGTGATTTTTTAAAAAACATGCAGCTACTCGTCATTATCCCAAAACATATCAAATTCCACAATGATAGTGAAGTGGAGTTATAAACACATTTTCAGAAAAGAAATTCTGCACAGAAGGCAAATCATCTAGTACTTTTCATACAAAAAAGCTCTTTGCCAGGTACAGTGGCTCACACCTGTAATTCTAGCACTTTGGGAGGTCGAGGTGGGAGGACTGCTTGAGTCCAGGAGTTCCAAGACCAGCCAGGACAACATAGTGAGACCCCCATCTCCACAAAAAAATTTAAAAATTAGCTGGGTGTGGTGGTGTGTGCCTATAGTCCCCCAACTACTCAGGAGGTTGAGGTGGGAGGATCACCTGAACCTGGGAGGTTAATGTTGCAATGAGGTGTGGTCACATCACTGCACTCCAGCCTGGGTGACAGAGGGAGACGTATCTCAAAAAGAAAAAAAGAAAGCTTTTTTATACACACTTCAGTTAATCTTTTAGTTCTAGAATCCCAGCAACTTACAACTGGAAGCAAAATAATTCCCTGAAATTCACCTATTACATCCATTTTTCAATTGTTCTGCCTTCATACAGGGAAGTATACTCCAACAATGGACATAGCACAGAGTCCACTGATCTGAATGTGAGTTTCAGGACTGAGATGCTACAGAGAGGGCTAACAGAACTTTCCCTTTCAAGGCAAGGTCCTCTCACCTTGTACGGGGGTTGTGGGTGGACAAGAATGCCACCCTCAGTCCTCTGAAGTGACTGCTTCACTTGTTCCAATTTAATGGCCAGGTGAGCCTCAAAGTATTTGCGCAAGGCCATGCAGGTATGTTTCCCAGTTTGGCGGCTAGCAAATATTTCATCATCACTCAGAAGTGCACCCTGATCTTCCAAATTTAGAATCTCCAAAGTACTGATCTATTAAGATGCAAAATATTGGGGCAAAAGAGGGGAAAAGGCAAGAAGAGTTAAGTAAAAATATTTAAAAAAGGGAAAATATTTTAGTAAACTTTTTTTACTTTCCATACATATTCTGCTTATGTATCAGTAAACTTTTATGCTTAACAAGACTGACAAATATCAACGCATATTTATGTATATCTATGTATATAGCATGCTAACAGTAGCTATATGAAAGCAAAACATTAAACTCATACCAAAAAATGAACAAGCTTTTAATCATATTAAAAAATGTACAGGAATAAAACTATTGCTTTTACAAAGATCAAGATCATCAACTGCCAATCCCCGTTATAAGATTACTATATCCAAGGCAAGTCTACAACGGCACAGTGTCCTCTAACTACTAAAGAAAAAGAGAAATTTGTGAAGAAAGGGAAAAAAAAAAAACTTCACAAAAAGAATGGCAGCAAAACTCCTCTAATCAGAAGCTTCCTTTCTTCAAGGGTGTGCCGTTAAAGGGCAGCCAAGACAACCAGGACCCTCAATCCTAGGGAGAAAAGCACTGAAAGAACCTCACCAAGTTCACCAGACGACGAAGACCATCATAGCGGTCAAAGAGCTCCAAGACGGCCCGAAATGAGAAGCAAATTGAAAAAAACATGGTAGCATGGCAGCATCCTGAAGCATGAGAACACTCCATTAACCACAGGGTATAGTTCACCACATCAGACAGAACATTGTGGGGATGCATGCAAACCTGCAAAAAAATACAAATAAAACAATGCTTTTAAATTGTGGGCAAAGGAGCCCTTGAACAGGATGGAAAATTTGCCAGTATAGATATCTGCAGAATACAATGACCATCTCCAATCAAGTCACTCTTAGTACAAAGTTTAGGTAATAATACAAAGGCAATTTTAGAACACGATCCATTCCAAACCTGAAAACGACCTAAATTTAGATAAATATTTAAATACAACCTATACTTACTGAGTGCCAACAAATATTTACATCATTTAATGCTCACGAGGGCTCCATTATACAGGTATTAGGATTCTCACTTAAAAGAAGAGGAAGAGGTAAGGAACTTCTCCAAATGTGATAAAAGTGGCTCAGATTTCTGATCCTAAGTCTAGGAGTTTGGTATTCATTCTCTGGTTAATTCACACACATTTTGATGTCTACTATGGGTCAGAAAATGAAACTGTAAAGCATCCCCAGGTTTCCTTGATATTTTTTTCTCTATCTTAGCCATAAGTAATTTTGTATGTACACACATAGATTAGTTTATTACTCCCAAAAGACTACCTATCTTGCATAAACACCAAAATAAAAACAAATTAAAACTGATATTATTAATAAGCAAAGATAAATAATGTCATAGCTCGAGAAGAAATTACCCATTTCACTCTACCAGAAAAGACACCAAATAAGAATATTAGAAAAATGTCCCAGAAATAGAAGTAACAAGAGCTTTGCTTTCCTAGGGGATCACAGGAGCCCATCGCTTTTCAAATGTATAACCCACAGCCTGGGCAAAATGGCAAAACCCTGCCTCTACAAAACACGCAAAAATTAGCCAGGTGTGGTGGTGTGCCCTTGTTGTCCCAGCTACTTGCGAGGATGGTTTGAACCCAGGAGGCCGAGGCTGCAGTGAGCCAAGATCATGCCACTGGACTCCAGCATAGGCGACAGAGCCAGACCCTGCCTCAAAACAAAAACAAAAACAAAAAACCACATACGTATGTGTAACCCATTTACACTTTTTAAAAAATCACAAGGCCAGGCACGGTGGCTTATGACTGTAATCCCAGTACTTTGGGAGGCTGAGGCGGGTGGATCACTTGAGGTCAGGAGTTCAGGACCAGCCTAGCCAACATGGTAAAACCCCGTCTCTACTGAAAAAAAAAAAAAATTAGCCAGGCATGGTGGCACGTGCCTGTGATCCCAGCTATTCAGGAGGCTGAGACAGGAGAATCACTTGAACCCAGGGGGCAGAGGTTGCAGTGAGCTGAGATCCCGCCTCTGCACTCCAGTCTGGGTGACAGAGCAAGATTCCGTCTCAAAAAAAAAAAAAAAAAAAGATTATATATGAAAGAGTCTTAACTACAAAAACAGTAGAACCAAATGGAAAACCTCTCTGCAGCCCTAGGAACAGTTGGGATGGTTTTATTATCTCCATAACAAACTATTTGTTAATATAAAACAAGCATCAGCTGAGTGTGGTAGCCCATGCCTATAATCTCAGCACTTTGGGAAGCCATGGTGGGAGGAGTACTTGAGTCCAGGCGTCGGAGACCAGCCTGGGCAACATGGTGAAACCCAATCTCTACAAAAAGTACAAAAAAAAAAAAGAAGTACAAAAATTAGCCAGGTGTGGTGGTGCACGTCTGTGGTCCCAGCTACTTGGGAGGCTGAAGTGGGAGGATGGCTTGAGCCCAGGAGGTCAAGGCTACAGTGGGCTGTGATCACACCACTGCACTACAGCCTACAGCCTGGACAACAGAGCGAGACCCTGTCATTAGAAAAAAAAAAGGCCGGGCATGGTGGCTCACGCCTGTAATCCCAGCACTTTGGGAGGCCAAGGTGCGGGAATCACAAAGTCAGGAGTTCGAGACCAGCCTGGCCAACGTGCTGAAACTCTGTCTTTACTACAAATACAAAAATTAGCTGGGCACAGTGGTGGGCGCCTGTAATCCCAGCTACTTGGGAGGCTGAGGCAGAAGAATTGCTTGAACCTGGGAGTTGGAGGCTGCAGTGAGCCAAGATGGCACCACTGCACTCCAACCTGGGAGACAGAGCAAGATTCTGTAAAAAAAAAAAAAAAAAAAAAGTATAAAAAGTAGCCAGGCATGGTGGCACAAGCCTGTAGTCCTAGCTACCTGGCAGGCTGAGCACTTGGGCAATAGGGCAAGACCCTGTCTCTAAAAATACACAAACATATACACCCCTATATACGATATAAACGTGTGTGTGAATGAATCAGTGAGAGACTAGGTCTGTTGTGTGTTTTTTTTTTTTTAAACGGAGTCTTGCTCTGTAGCCCAGGCTGGAATGCAATGCCACAGTCTCGGCTCACTGCAACCTCCGCCTCCTGGGTTCAAGCAATTATCCTGCCTCAGCCTCCCAAGTAGCTGGGATTACAGGCACCTGCCACCATGCCCAGCTAATTTTTGTATTTTTAGTAGAGACGGGGTTACACCATGTTGGCCAGGCTGATCTTGAACTCCTGACCTCAGGTGATCCACCCACCTCGACCTCCCAAAGTGCTGTGATTACAGGCGTGAGCCACTGCGCCCGGCCTGTTGTTTTTACAATAACTCATAAATGTCATTGCACTAAGACATCGGAAAAGTGCCTGAAGGCTAATCTTAATGCCACAGAAATGGCAAAAACTAAATAAAGCTCCCAGACTCCAATCCACCCAGCATTTTCCCAGAAGAGTCAGAAAAAAATAGAACCATTTCTAAACAATTTTACATTTTTAGAATGCTTTATAAAGACTAGACTTTCATGTTCCTTGTTTCATTAAAATTTATTCCTTCAACTACTGTTTTTTTCTTATCCAAAAGTCATTCTGCGAATGTGATCTTTTAAAGAGGTTATCCCCAACCTAATCTCATCCCCACAAACCTGTATAGATGACTTACTCTTTCCATGGCATCCTGATTGTAGGATAGGTAATACAAACACATAGACACACCGGTTGCAGCCATAGAAGGACGAGGTATTTCCAGTAATTTCTGTACTCCACCATGCGCAACAAATTCTGTGGCAAATTTGTTATGGAGCAGGAGAGATGCTAGGTGCTAAAAAATGAGGACACAAATTACCACAAAATAATCTAGAAAATTAACAAAATCTCTTGACCTAATATTCAGTTAAGCTGTTAAATACAAAAGCCCTCTAAGGAGACAACCAACCCCTCACAAAAGAAAACCCAGTATTATTTAAAGTAAATAAAAAGACTAAGATTCCTTAACATTCCTCTTTTCTTTCCTAACACCAGGAAATTTTTTTTTTGAGATGGAGTTTTGCTCTTGTTGCCCAGGCTGGAGTGCAATGGTGCAGTCTTGGCTCACTGCAACCTCCGCCTCCCAGGTGCAATCGATTCTCCTGCCTCAGCCTCCCAAGCAGCTAGGATTACAGATACCCGCCACCACGTCCAGCTAATTTTTGTATTTTTTAGTAGAGACGGGGTTTCACCATGTTGGCCAGGCTGGTCTTGAACTCCTGACCTCAGGTGATCCGCCCACCTGTGCCTCCTAAAGTGCTGGGATTACAGGCGTGAGCCACCATGCCCAGCCTGATTTTTTTATGAAGGTGAAAGATATTGCTGTAAGGGCTGGGTGCAGTGGCTCACGCCTGTAATCCCAGCACTTTGGGAGGCCAAGGTAGGCAGATCACTTGAGGTCAGGAGTTCGAGACCAGCCTGGCCAACATGGCGAAATCCCGTCTCTACTAAAAATACAAAAAATTTGCCAGACGTGGTGGTGGGTGCCTGTAATCCCAGCTACTTGGGAGGCTGAGGCAGGAGGATCGCCTGAACCCGGGAGACGGAGGTTGCAGTGCACCAAGATTGCACCACTGCACTGCAGCCTGGGCGACGGAAGGAGACCCTGTCTCAAAAAAAAAAAAAAAAATTTACTATAAGTAATGATATTGGTCAGGCAGGGTGTCTCACTCCTGCAATTCTAGTACTTTGAGAGGCCAAGGTGAAAAGACTGCTTGAAGCCAGGAGTTCAGGGCCAGCCTGGACAACATAGCACAACCCCATCTCCACAAAAAATTTAAAAATTAACCAAATGCAGTGGCGCATGCCTGTAGTCCCAGTTACTCAGGACGGTGAGGTAAGAGGATCGCTTGAGCCGGGGAGTTCAAGGCTGTAGTGAGCTAGGATCAATTGCACCACTGCACTCCAGCCTGGGTGACAAAGTAAGACCCTGTCAGTCAATCAGACAATCAGTAACCCTACAACCATTTTACTATTACATATTTAGGTTGGTGAAAAACTGCAGTTTTTGCCTTTGAAAGCAATAGCAAAAACCGCAATTACTTTTGCACCAACTTAATAGCTTCCCTAATGGACTTTTGCTAACTTTCCCATTTTAATCCTTTTAATATAAATAGCTCTATATCCTAGCTTTTGCTCAGTGAGTCATCAACTAATGAATTCCCAAAATCTGCCTTCCTTTAAATTGATCAATATATCCCCAAAAGAAGAATCTTGAGCAAAGTATCTAAACAAGTATATTTTTAGAACTAACCACGTGCATTTTAAATAGATGTCTTAAAGTTTTTTTATTTTTTAAGGTTTTTTAACTGCCTGTTCAAGTCCCACTAGCCTCTCTGGGTGGAGATCTCCTGCACAATGTTATGGGCAAAGAGTATAATCCAAGCAGCAGGCTGCTTGATGACTCTGAACCTAGGCCAACATAGACAGGGCCTTGGGAAAGCTAGAGCTCCCCCTACTGTTTCCCATGCCAAGGTGTCTTCCAGGTACCAACAACATAGATTTGTAATTACATGATATGATATCTGCACAAATCTCACCAAGGTCAATGGAAAAAACAGGGATGTGCCCTCTTCAAAAGTTCTCTCAATAACCAGGCTCAGGCTAACCCTTATATATAATTCAAATCCCTTCTATCATTAACCTACTTTTTGTTTGTTACACAACACTCTACCACACTTCCACCCACTCCTTCTCCCAAGATGCAGCTAAACTGTGTGACACCCATTATAATTCTCCACACAAAAACCTTTAAAAATAGCAACTGCCCAATCCCTTCTTCCACTGCACCTTGTTCAGGACCAGAAATTGCAACTGAAAGCAATATCCTTGGGCCACTGGAGACAACTTTGACCTCCAGCTTCATCCCACTGTGCAAAGTATAACCATGAGCTTACACACTTTATATATACACACACACCAAATCCCACATGTAGAGACACGTTACTCTAATTACATCTGACCTCCTCCAAACTTGAAATTTCTGAAAGTTGAAAGGCAAATTTCCTCATTTCTATTCCATTTCAAAATACTTTGGAACTGTACTACTTTGGCCAACATTGTGAAACCTAGCCTCTACTAATAACACAAAAATTAGCCGGCCATGGTGGCACACGCCTATAATCCCAGCTACTCAGGAGGCTGAAGCAGAATAATCACTTGAACCCGGGAGGCCAGGGTTGCAGTGAGCAGAGATCATGCCACTGCACTCCAGCCTGGGTAACAAGAGCGAAACTCTGTCTCAAAAAAAAAAAAAAAATTATAGGTTTATATGTCTGTCTTTCTTAACAAACCGTAAGTGACAAAGACTTGATTTATTTATTCACTGGCCTCCTTGTATCCCTCGTACCTGAACATAAGTATCTGGCCCATAAAAAACACTCAATAAATGTTCAGCAAAGAACAAAGACAAAAATAAAGTTGCCAAGTGGTAGTAAAATAAGCAGTTCGGCAAAGGGAAGATGATTAAAGAAAAAGCAAGGAGAGTGTTGTGTCAAGATCACCGATGTGCACATCACAAAGTTTGATCCGACCTTGGTCCCAGAGTCTTCATAAATGCTCACTGAAGAAAATTCCCAGGATGATTCGGGGGCCTCTCAAAACTTCTGCTTCAAGACGTTGATAAAGAACCTTAGTAACTTGACTATACACCCCAGTACTGAATTCCCTTCCCATCTACCAGAAAATTCACCCCAACAACAATATACAGGAGCAATGATGCTCAGGGAAATCAGAGATGACTTGCTCTACATGAGAGGGGTAAGAACACTGCTGTTTGCATAGAAAGAAAAGGATGGCAAAATTGAGATACATGTTACTCAGCAGAGTTCTAGGCTTGAAAGAGAACTAACAAACACTGGGCTTAAGAGAGTTCAGAATGAATCAAGTAGTGGACCATTCAGATGTTGCTGCAGTTTCTGCATGTATAACCAATGGGATCCTTCTGAGGATGCTAGAATACGGAATTATGACACTGAGCCATGTCAGCCATAACCCTTATTCTTGTACTTTTCTTTCTTGCTAGTAATTTTATGCAGCAGGGTGAAAAAGCTACCCTATGCTAGGATAGACTGTATACCAATAATTTTGAAATGAGTTCTAGGATGTATTTTTCTTCTTGTATCTTTCCTTCCTATCATGATACTAATAATTTATAAAGGATCTGTGTAGTTTGAACGTATTTTAATAACTTCAGTATACTTTAGCTCTACTGTTTGATTTGACCCAAAGAAGCACCAAGAGGACAAAAGTATTCCCATGTGTTTTAGAAGCCCAAAGTCAGTGAGACAAAACCCAACATCAAGAATTTGAAACAAACTCACTTGTGGGGAAAGAACGTAAAGAGACCGTTGGGTAGTTTGCCTAGAGCATAATAGATTTTCTGGCTTTCAAAAATTTGGACTGCAATAAGATGAAACTTTGTGCTATTTTCACAATTTTCAGTACAAATAAAGGTATGTATAGAGAAATAATAAAGTTGACATATTTGAGTGTCTTTTAAAAAAAAGAGAGAGACAGGTGCAGCGGCTCACGCCTTTAATCCCAGCACTTTGGGAGGCTGAGGCAGGCGGATCCCTTGAGGTCAGGAGTTCGAGACCAGCCTGGCCAATATGGTGAAACCCTGTCTCCACAAAAAATAAAAAAAGTAGCCAGGCGTGGTGGCACATGCCTGTAATCTCAGCTACTTGGGAGCCTGAGACAGGAGAACTGCTTGAACCCGGAAGGCAGCGGTAGCGGTGAGCAAACATAGCACCACTGCACTGCACTCCAGCCCAGGTGACAGATAAGACTCCATGTCAAAAAAAAAAAAAAAAAAAAAAAAGAAAGAAAGAGCAAGAAGACCCCAAACTCAGTAAAGGGAAATTATTTCCTGGGTTGCAAAGGGGCTGAACATGGGAGGGCAAGTAAGATAAGCAAGATCCCCACTTATCCATGATGACTAAGCTGATCTGAATGGAGCAATGTAGTTGAATGAATAACAATGTGGCTATCATACAGTTCTCAACAGGTAACTACTGAGAGATGAGGTCATTAAAATTACTTTTTTATAAAATGTATAACAGGGGGCTGGGCACAGTTGCTCACATCTGTAATCCCAGCACTTTGGGAGGGTGGCAGATGGAAAGCTTGAGCCCAGGAGTTCGAGAGTAGCTTGGGCATTATAATGAAACCCGGTCTCTACCAAAAATACAAAAAATTAGCTGGGCAGGGTGGTGCGCACCTGCAGTCCAAGCTACTTAGGAGGCTGAGGCAGGAGGATGGCTTGAGCCTGGGGGGTGGAGGTTGCAGTGAGCCAAGATCACGCCACTGCACTCCAGCCTGGGTGACAGGGTAAGACCTTGTCCTCAAAAAAACAATAAATAAAATAAAATGCATAACACAAACAACATTGTTGCAGTCTAGTCACTACGCCAGAAAAAAAAGAAAAAAGAAAAAAGAAAAAGAAAGAAAACACTGTAACAATCCTGGAAACCCAAACAAAAGTAATATTCAGTCTCACTTATAACAAAGTAACTTATCATCTTTGTGTTCCATTCAAATCTTGGCTAGTTTTATACCTGTTATATGTTCATCTTAAAATTTTACTTATTACATATTCATTCATTCTTTTCTGACTTCTGCATGCCCAAAATTTCCCTGAAAGTTTGGTGTGGTTATGCATTTTTTTTTAACTGTAATTTCATTTTAAAATTAAACTTTAGCCCAGCAGGGTAACTTCAGTTTTTCATGAAAATCCTTATTTCCATGGTTCAAGAAACAAATATTAAGAGAATTCATTCACTTACTAAGTGACTACTATTTGTTGATTGCTTACGATATACCAGTCCCTGTTCTAAGCAGTAGAAATACAAAGAAAATAACCTCAAAATTATATGCAAAGATGTTCACTGTAACGTCCTTTGTAACAAAAAAATAAAACGGCATAGGTATCTCACAAAACTAAAATAAGAAAATTACAGAGCATCTAATTTGTATAGAACAACCATATAGCTACATGTAAACATTCTTAGGATACAAGTGAAGTTGAATTGTAAAGTCTAGCTAACAATTATTTTCAAAGCAACTGTGTCTATTAATAAAGATTAGAATGAAGCACAAAAATAAAAAGTTATTTTAAGTGAGACTGTGAATATTATTTTCTTTTGGCTTTCAGGATTGTTACAATGTTGTTCGCTGTTATTGCCCAGGCTGGAATGCAATGGCACGATCTCAGCTCACTGCAACTTCCACCTCCTGGGTTCAAGCGATTATCCTGCCTCAGCCTCCCGAGTAGCTGGGATTATAGGCATGTGCCACCACATCCAGCTAATTTTGCATTTTTAGTAGAGACGGGGTTTCTCCATGTCAGTCAGGCTGGTTTCAAACTCCTGACCTCAGGTGATTCACCTGCCTCAGCCTCCCAAAGTGCTGGGATTACAGACATGAGCCACCGCGCTGCGCCGAAGTGTTATATACATTTTTTTAAAAAGTAATTTTAATGACCTCATCTCTCAACAGTTACCTATTGAGGAGAACTGTATGACAGCTACATTGTTATTCATTCAACTATCTCTCTCCATTCAGATCAGCTTAGTCACCTTGAATTAAGTGTGGACCTTGTGAATTAGACTTACTTGCCCTCCTATGTTTAGCCCCTGTGAAACCTTTACTGAGTTGAAGGGTCTGCCTGTTTTGTTTTTTTCAGAGACAGAGTCTCACCCTGTCGCTCAGGCTCACCCTAGTGATCTTAGCTCACTGCAACCTCCGCCTCCCGGGTTCAAGTGATTCTCATGCCTCAGCCTCCTGAGTAGCTGGGATTACAGGTGCAAGATACCACGCCAGGCTAATTTTTGTATTTTTTGTAGAGACCAGGTCTCCCATGTTGACTAAGCTGGTCTCAAACTCCTGGGCTCAAGCTATCCTCCTGCCTCAGCCTCCCAAAGTCCTGGGATTACAGGCGTGAGCTAACGTGCCTGGCCTGTCTGCTATTTCTATTTTTTTTTTTTTTTTTGAGACAGAGTCTCACTCTGTTGCCCAGGCTGGAGTACAATGGCACGATCTCTGCTCACTGCAACGTCCACCTCCCGAGTTCAAGCGATTCTCCCACCTCAGCCTCCTGAGTAGCTAGGATTACAGGTACCTGCCATCATGCCCAGCTAATTCTGTCTGCTATTTCATTACTCATTTTCTGGTTTCTATTTTGTTAATCCTAGGTAATTTTACATTATACAATATGTACATAGTTTAAAAAATTTTTTTGTGGCCAGGCGTGATGGCTCACTCCTGTAATCCCTACATTCTGGGGGGCTGAGGCGAGTGGTTCACTTGAGGTCAGGAGTTTGAGACCAGCCTGGCCAACATGGTGAAACCCTATCTCTACTAAAAATACAAAAAATTAGCCAGGCATGGTGGCAGGCACCTGTAATCCCAGCTACTCAGGAGGCTGAGGCAGGAGAATTGCTTGACCCAGGAAGCGGAGGTTCCAGTGAGCAGAAATCACACCACTGCACTCCAGCCTGGGCAACAGAGCGAGACTCCATCTCAAAAAAGAAAAAAAGAAAAAATTGTTGTTAGCTGATACAGGTAATATCTAAAAAGTAGGGCATAAGCAAGCACTATTTCATAGTTTTTCCTCTCCTATTCAGCAACAACTGAGGCCACCCCATGTCTAGATTCACTTTTTATCTCAACGTTCAGCCTTTTAGATTAACACCTAAGTTTCTGTAGAGATAGTAAGCCTCCTCTCTTCTATCTAAACAAGAATGTTTTGATTGTTACTATTCTGATGCATCTGGCTATAGAAATAACTTGAGCAATAAAATGCAGAGAAATTACATGCTAAAACACACAGGCACATCTCTGTCAATAAAATGCTCAGTGACACAGGGTATGGTGGCTCATACCTATAATCCTAGTACTTTGGGAGGCCAAAGCAGAAGGATTGCTTCAGTCCAGTTTAAGACCAGCCTGGGCAACATAGCAAGACTATCTCTATAAAAATTTTTTTTAAATTAGCTAAGCATGGTGGCATGCACTTGTCTCAGCTACTCAGGAGGCTGAGGTAGGATTGCTTGGGCCTAGGAGTTCAAAGCCACAGTGAGCTATGATCACCCCATTGCACTCCAGCCTGGGTGACAGAGTGAGACCTATCTCTAAAAATAAATAAGTAAAGCTTCACCAGGCGCAGTGGCTCACGCCTGTAATCCCAGCACTGTGGGAGGCCAAGGCGGGCAGATCACTTGAGGTCAGGAGTTTGAGTCCAGCCTGGCTAACATGGTGAAACCCCATCTCTACTAAAAATATAAAAATCAGCCATGCACGGTAGCATGTGACAGTAATCCCAGCTACTCGGGAGGCTGAGGCAGGAGAATCACTTGAACCCAGGAGGCGGAGGTTGCAGTGAGCCAAGATCGCACCACTGCACTCCAGCCTGGGCGACAGAGTGAGACTCCATCTTAAATTTAAAAAAAAACAAAGTTTTTAAAAAATCCCCGGTGACCCAATATTTTTAAGAACTTTACCTTTAGTGCCTCAAATGTAAGCAGGACATCATTAGTTTGCTTCAGGTCAATATAGAACATCATCAGCTCCCGTGATCCAAGTTGCATGAATATGGGAAGTAGCTGAAATGAACACCAAATACAAGTCTTAAATTTTGGCTTTATTGTCATGTATTTCCTATTCCACTCTTTGAGGATAGAAGCCTAAAGAAATGATGCACCTCTTCCTCCCTCCCTGTGAAGATAAACGTGTAAATGCACTTTAATCAAATAGACCATATCAGGAATGACCTGCATAAGACTTGAACAGTTTCATGCAAACCCTTGTTTGTGGTAGAGTTAGAATATATCTTTGTATAAAATACTACCATAAAATACCACAGAAATGAACACAATAATTCCTATGTGTGAACAGTACTCTTCCCAATAAGCTTACCTCCTGATATTCTCCTAGAGGGGTCAAATATTGGAGAATGAGTCGCTGCTCGATAGCAGGAGTCATAGGATAAAGGGTATAATTGGTGCCAATCACCCAGGGAGACATTTCTGACCAACTGCTATTAGACAGCTCAACAAACATGCGATCTGGATCAGAAGATGAGAAACCCAACTTTTGCTTGGCTTTCCTAAAGTTCTCTCTGTCACCCTGTTTTGCTGACTTGTTTTTCTTTAATCCTCCATCCTCAGGTTTGGTTGTTGAGTTCACTCTGCTACTAGTCTTGTGGCCTGAATCAAGATGAAAGGAGATCTCCATGTCTCCAGAAGCTTCCTCTTGGTCTCCATCCACTACATCTACAGCCATGTCACCATAGTCCATATCCACAGCCTCCTCATCCAGAGGCAAAAGGGGTTCAGAAGAGAGCTTCCGTGGACTGGGACGCTTGTTTTCCTGCCGCAAAGCCACTTCCTGTAGCTGTAGCTCCCTCAGTCTTCGAAGCACTATTGCCACCTATCAACAGATAATTGGAGAAAAAGGGGGTGCCTCTTTATTAAGGATTAAGTAATCCTTAATAATTCTTATTTCCACATAATAACTGGAGACTCATGCAGTGAGCCCAACGCCTGTAATAGCAACAATTTGATAAATGCGTTGCTTTGATTCCTATAAGTTGATGAAATAAGTAACAGCTAAGTATTGTTCCTCATAAAATTTTCCAGAGAATCCAAACCAGAAGATTTGCACATAAAATACATCATTGACAACTGATCTGTTTGGGTCAAGTTGACCTGGACCATCACACCTGAAGAGGCAGAAATTAGATATATTCATGATTTTTCTAATGTGTCTTTGAAAACCAAACATGAAAGTTTCTCAAACTTTTATCTACTGTAGGTTGTATTCCATTAGATATTGCCATGTATATTATACATAACTACATTATCATTTTTCAAGTTCTTTTTTAAGTACATACTTTTTGGGCCAACGCTATAAAGTGGTACTGTGTTTCATTTTAAAGAGAGAGGGATGGCCAGGTGCGGTAGCTCACGCCTGTAATCCCAGTAATTTGGGAGGCCAAGATGGACGAATCACCTGAGATCAGGAGTTTGAGACCAGACTGGCCAACATGGTGAAACCCCGTCTCTACTAAAAATACAAAAAATTTCCAGGGTGTGGAGGTGCTCGCCTGTAATCCCAGCTACTCGGGAGGCTGAGACAGGAGAATCACTTGAACCCGGAAGGTGGAGGTTGCAGTGAGCCGAGATCGCGTCATTGCACTCCAGCTTGGGCAACAAGAGTGAAACTCCGTCTCAAAAAAAGAAAAAAAAAAGAGAGGGATTTTGTGTGCACTTTACTTTGAACTGCGTTTTTTAAATCAGAATAGTGGATAGATAAAAGGAAGGGCACTTGGAAGCTGTTATCCTCAGCAAACTAATACAGGAAAAGAAAACTAAACACCGCATGCTCTCACTTATAAGTGGGAAATGAACGATAGGGACACACTGAGGGGAACAATACACACTGGGGCCTATCGAAGGGGAGTGGGAAGAGAAATCAGGAAGAATAGCTAATGGATGCTGGGCCTAATACTTAGGTGATGGGTTGATCTGTGCAGCAAATTACCATGGCACATGTTTACCTATGTAATAAACGTGCACATCCTGCAGAAGTACCCCAGAACTTAAAATAAAATTTGATGGGGGGGAGGGAAAAAAAAGGGCAGATGGATGGATATTATAAGTGTTCACAATCAATTTAGGTGATGTATATATGTAGTTGTTCACTGTAAAATGCTTTCAATTTTACTACATGTTTGAAAATTTTCATAACACAAATGGTAGAAAGGGAAACAGGGAATGTTACTATTCTTTATTGGCATACAATGTCATCATCCTTGACAAGATTAAAAGTAGCTATTTTCTGCCAGACACGGTGGCTCACGCTTGTAATCCCAGCACTTTGGGAGGCCTAGGCAGGTGGATCATGAGGTCAGGAGTTCGAGACCAGCCCGACCAACATGGTGAAACCCTGTCTCTACTAAAAATACAAAAAATTAGCTGGGCATAGTAGTGGGAACCTGTAACCCCAGCTACTCAGGAGGCTGAGGCAGGAGAATTGCTTGAACCCGGGAGGCAGAGGTTGCAATGAGCCAAGATTGCATCACTGCACTCCAACCCGGGCAACAAAGCAAGACTCCGTCTCAAAAAAAAAAAAAGCTATTTTCAATTTTTAAAAACTCTTATGGAAACTAATATTGAAATTATAGCCATGCTCCAGTACAAGATAATCAATATGATCTACTTATTCAGATTCAAGTAACAAGAACCTGTGAATACTCTCCCATTTTATATAAAAATTTATTCTAACACAGTCCTTACCAGCTGTGAATTTTCATCTCTATAGTTGGCAGCAATGTCTTGATTTTCCATAGCACCTCCTAACAGTCCAGTAGAATATGTCCTCAATGGTTGATCGGCCTCTCGGGCCCATTTGAAAAGATTCTCGACAATTCCCTCCTATAGTAAAGGAAATTAAATAGTACATTTCGGAAAAAGCCCAAGTTCATGATTAACAATAAGCAAAGATTTCAGTCTCATGAAAAAAATTTTAATATTTCAATGTTCGTAAGAGTAAAAAAAGTACTACTACAGCATCCAATAGGTTCCTTAGTTATATAAAGTATCTGTGCAATAGAAGCCTATTCAGCCAATAAAACTCAAGCTATCTCTTTTAGGTCTTTGCAGTCAGAAAAAAATAATTAAAAAATAAACAAAACTCAAGCTAAAAATTAACAATCCCCAGAATATAGTCCTAATCTAGATGTTAACTCCCAAAAGGCTCCATGATCAACTGGGGATCACTGAAAGTATCTCTCACAGAAGCTCACAAAGCACAGGTAATATATTAACGTTCTGAGAGGTGCTCCATCAAAGTAGTGTTTAATTTAGCCCCACATATCAGAACCTTCTTTTTAAAAAAAAAAAAAAAAGTCTCACTCTGTCGCCCAGGCTGGAGTACAGTGGTGCAATCTTGGCTCACTGCAACCTCCGTCTCCCAGGTTCAAGCGATTCTCCTGCCTCAGCCTCCTGAATACCTTGGACTACAGGCATGTGCCACCACAGCCAGCTAATTTTTGTATTTTTTAGTAGAGACGGGGTTTCGCTATGTTGGCCAGGCTGGTCTCGAACTCTTGACTTCAAGTGATCCGCCCACCTCGGCCTCCCAAAGTGCTGGGATTACAGGCGTGAGCAACCATGCCTGGCCTCCCAAACTTATTTTATTGATTGATTGATTGATTGATTAATTGAGACAGAGTCTTGCTCTGTTGCCCAGGCTGGAGTGCAGTGGCACAATCTCGGCTCACTACAAGCTCTGCCTCTTGGGTTCACACCATTCTCCTGCCTTAGCCTCCCGAGTAGCTGGGACTACAGGCACCCGCCACCACGCCCGGCTAATTTTTTGTATTTTTAGTAGAGACGGGGTTTCACCGTGTTAGCCAGGATGGTCTCGATCTCCTGACCTCGTGATCCGCCCCCCTTGGCCTCCCAAAGTGCTGGGATTACAGGCATGAGCCACCATGCCCGGCCCCCAAACTTATTTTTAATTACATTTTATTATGAAATATAATACATATAAACATGCGTGGTCCAAAGAACTTGAAAATCACCTATGTCCTACTACCCAGCTTAAAAAATAAAAACCTTCTGTAGGCCAAGATTGATAAAAACATAAAATAAAAATAAATAATACATTAAATTTTTTTTACCTTTTCCAGATCACAGATTTAAAAAGAAAAAATTTTAAAGAAACAGAAACCTCCCATGTGCCCCTCCTTATGCCATCTCCTGCAAGGAGGTTTAAACACTCCTAAATTTTAAGAATTTTCTTGTTAAACTTTGTTAACTGCTATATGCTTTTGAACTACATAAATTGTGATAGTGTATATATTTTGCTGCAACTTATTTTTTACTCAACATGTTTTTTAGATTCATCTATATTGCTGCACGTAGCACACTTAAATAACACTCAAGACAGGCTACAAATATTAATTTATCTCATCCTCATATCAAGCCTGTGTGATTGGGCAGGTACTATATTTGCAGATGAGGAAAATGAATCACAGTGAGGCTAGTGAACCAAAAGTTACAAAACTAGTGGCAGAGCTAGGATGTGAACCTAGACAGTGTACCTATAGATGCTCTTCACTGCCATACTCTGCTATTTTATTGGCTTGACCAATAATGGTGACATAAACTACTTTTGTGCTAGCCAAGTATCTAACATACAAACCTAGGAACAGAACTGCTAGGTCACAGGGTATGTGCATGCTGAACTTTACTAGATGAGGCCAAATTTTTCCAAAGTGATTGCAACAATTCACATTTCCACCAATAGTGAATAGAAGTCCTCTTCCTTTTTCCACATCTTTGCCAACACTACCACTATCAGTCTGATGGGTGTAAAAACAGCATTTCATTTAATTTGAATGTCCTTGTTTATTAAATAAGTTCTGCATTTTTTCATTTATGTGTTGACCATTCAGGCTTTTGCTTCTGTGAAGTACTCTTGCTTTTGCCAGTGTCTTTTGCTAAACCTAAGTTCTTTTTTTTTTTTTTTTTTTTTCCAGACAGAGTCTTGCTCTGTCACCCAGGCTGGAGTGCAGTGGCGCAATCTCGACTCAGTGCAACCTCCACCTCTCAGGTTCAAGTGTTTCTCCTGCCTTGGCCTCCCGAGTAGCTGGGATTATAGGTGCACACCAACCACACCCAGCTGATTTTTGTATTTTTAGTGGAGACGGGGTTTCACCATGTTGGCCAAGCTGATCTTGAACTCCTGACCTCAGGGGATCTGCCCACCTCCCACTCAGCTCCCAAAGAGCTGGGATTACAGGTGTTAGCCACCGCACCCGGCCAAGTTCTTAATTTTCTTATAAGCTTACTTAAGGCTGGGAGCAGTGGCTCATGCCTGTAATCCTAATGCTTTGGGAGACCAATGCAGGAGGATTACTTGAAGTCAGGTGTTTGAAGTCAGGAGTTTGAAACCAGCCTAGGCAACGTAGCAAGACCCCATCTCCACAAAAACAAAATTTAAAAATTAGCTGGGCGTGGTGGTGGACTCCTATAGTTCACGCTACTTGGGAGGCTGAGGCAGGAAGATCACTTGAGCCCAGGAGTTCAAGGCTGCAGTGAGCTAGGACTGAGCCACTGCACTCCAGCCTGGGTGACAAAGCGAGACCCCATGCCTAAAAAGAATAAAAATAAAAATAAATTTAAAAATGAAAAAAAATACTGGCCGTGCACAGTGGCTCACACCTGTAATCCCAGAACTTTGGGAGGCCAAGGAGGGTGGATCACCTTGAGGACAGGAGTTCAAGACCAGCCTGGTCAACATGGTGAAACCCCCATCTTTACTAAAAATACAAAAATTAGCCAGCATGGTGGCAGGTGCCTGTAATCCCAGCTACTCAGAAGGCTGAGGCAGGAGAATCGCTGAGCCCGGAAGGTGGAGATTGCAGTGAGCTGAGATCACGCCACTGCGCTCCAGCCTGGCCAACAAGAACAAAACTTTGTCTCAAAAATAATAATAATAATAATAATAATAATAATAATAATAAAATGTTTTAAATATTTTTTAAAACCTCGTATTTTCTTTTTCTTAAAGTCTTCCAAAAAGTCATCAGCTCATTCTCCTATACATTACCAAAAGTTTTGACCATTTTTAAAAAAGTCCTACTATGGGCTGGGCATGGTGGCTCATGCCTGTAATCCTAGCACTTTGCAAGGCCAAGGCGGGTGGATCACTTGAGGTCAGGAGTTCGAGACCAGCCTCCTGGCCAACATGGTGAAACCCCGTCTCTACTAAAATTACAAAAATTGGCTGGGTACAGAGGCGCGTGCTTGTAGTTCCAACTATTCGGGAGGCTGAGGCATGAGAATCGCTTGAACCTGGAAGGCAGAGGTTGCAGTGAGCTGAGATTGCGCCACTGCACTCCAACCTAGGTGACAGAGCAAGACTGTCTCTCAAAAAATAAATAAATAAATAAATAAAAACTACTCTGAAGAACACATTTTTGGAAATTTTGTTGTAAAATTTCTACTGATATAGAATATATTTACCACGTATTTTCAGCATATTTCTTTGTGCCCTTTTTCCAAACAGTATAAGAAACTTAAAATATTAATTCTATCTATTCTCTTCCACTGACATGTTATGAAGAATTTTGTTCCACCTTTTGTCTTCCTAAACTGTTTCTTTTGATTAACAGTTCTAGGTTTACAGGCCAGGCACGGTGGCTCATGCCTGTAATTCCAGCACTTCGGGAGGCCGAGGCGGGTGGATCACATGAGGTCAGGAGTTCGAGACGAGCCTGGTCAACATGGCAAAACTGCATCTCTACTAAAAATACAAAAATTAGCCAGGCATGGTGGCACACGCCTATAATCCCAGCTACTCAGGAGGCTGAGGCAGGAGAATTGCTTGAACCTGGGAGGCAGAGTTGCAGTGAACCGACATCATACCACTGCATTCCAACCTGGGCGACAGAGCAAGACTCTGACTCAATTAAAAAAAAAAAAGTTCTATGTTTACAGACAGACACTGAGGATATTTTCTACTATCTTCTGACCTCTACTGCCGCTGTGGCAAAGTTTGCTCTGTTTGATTATTTGCAGGAATGTTTTTTTACTCTAGTTGCTTTTAAGATCTTCTCTTTGGTAATCTTCACTGTACTTCCTGAATCTGAATGGTGATGTTTTTTGTTAATTCTTAAAATTCTACTGTCATCTCTCTGAATGCTGTCATCTCTCTGAATGTGCCTTTGTCCTTTCTCATCTCTCTACTCCCTCTACCTGAAACTCCCTTTAGATATTTTGAACTTTCTAATTCTAGTCCATGTTTCAACTTCTTTTGTACTTTTCATCTCTTATTTCTAGGATCTTCATTATTAGTTACCCTGTCAGATCTTCCAGTTCATTAATTGTTATCTTCAGCTCTGTTTAAACTTCACTCTAACTCATAGAGACAGGGGTCTCACTTTGTTGCCCAAGTTGATCTTGAACTCCTGGCCTCAAGGGATCCTCCTGCCTCAGCCTTCTGAGCAACTGAGACTATAAGCATGCATCCCTATACCCAGCTCATTCACTAAGTTTTTAAATTCCGTAACTATAATTTTTGTTTTTTCATAAAGTCTTGGACTTTTCTTAGAGTTCTGATTCCTTATTTTACATCCAATAGTTTAACCATTTTAAAGAGTATAATTCAGTAGGACTAAGTACATTCAAAATGTTAAATAACTATTACCGGTATAGTATCTATTTTCAGAACTTCTTCATTATGCAAACAAAAACTCTGTACCCCTCACTTTCAATTACGATTAAGACAACCAGACAGAAGATCAATAAGGAAACAGAGAACTTGAACAACACTATAAGCCATTGAACCTAAAAGATGTACACAGAAAACTCCACCCAACAACAGTAGATTACACAGTCTTCTCAAGTACACATAGAACTTTTTCCATGTTCTTTTATGTTTTTTTTTTCCCAGAGTAAACCATATGTTAGGCCACAAGTCTTAATAAATTTAAAAAGATTGAAATCTCACAATCTTTTCTAGTCAAAATGGAATGAAACTAGAAATCAACAATATCGCAAAACTACAATAGTCACAAATACATGAAAATTAAACATCACTCTTAAATAACTAATGAGTCAAAGAAATCACGAGGGAAATTAGAAAGTCACTTTGGACAAATGAAAACACAACCATACCAAAACCTATGGAATGCAGCAAAGGCAGTGGTTAAAATGAAATTTATTTATTTATTTCTCTTTTTTTTGAGATGCAGTTTTGGTCTTGTTGCCCAGGCTGGAGTGCAATGGCACAATCTTGGCTCACTGCCACCTCTGCCTCCTGAGTTCCAGTGATTCTCCTGCCTCAACCTCCCAAGTAGCTGGGACTACAGGCACACGCCATCACGCCTGGCTAATTTTGTATTTTTAGTAGAGATGGGGTTTCACCATGTTGCCCAGGCTGCTCTCAAACTCCTGACCTCAGGTGATCCACTCATCTCGGCCTCCCAAAGCACTGGGATTACAGGCGTGAGCCACTGTGCCCGGCCAGAATGATATTTATAGCTGCAAACACATGCAATTAAAAAAGAAGAAAGATCTCAAATCAAATTAGGAACTAGGCCTAACTATGCCTTATGCCATATGCCACTAGAAAAAAACAATACTCAAAGCTAGCAAAAGAAATAATAAAGATTATAGTGGGGAAAAATGAAATAGAGAATAGAAAAATACAGAAAGTCAATGAAACTAAAAGTTCTTCACCAAGATCAACAAAATTGACAAACTTTTGGCAAGACAGGTCAAGAATAAAAGAGAGGACTCACATTACTAGCAACAGAAATGAAACAGGCCTCATTACTACCAACTTTATAGAAATAAAAAGATTTATAAGAGAATACCATATACAATTGTACAACAACAAATTGGATAACCAAGATAAAATGGACAAATCTACCAAAACTGACTCATAAAGAAACAGAAAAACTAAATAGACCTATAAGTAGTAAGGAAATTGAATCAATAATCAAAAACTTCCCAAAACAGAAAAACCCAGGACATGATGACTTCACTAGTAAATTCTACGAAACATTTAAAGAAGAATTAAAGCCGGGTATGGCGGCTTATGCCTGTAAGCCCAACAATTTGAGAGGCTGAGGCAGGAGGATCACTTAAGGCTAGGAGTTCGAGACAAACTTAAGCAACAAAACCAGACCCATCTCTTTAAATAATTAAATAAAATAAAGAAGAATTAACACCAATCCTTCTCATAACTCTTCCCAAAAATTGACTGGGAGGTAACACTTCCTAACTCATTTTATGATGCCAGCATTACCAAAGCTAAAGACACTGTGAGAAAACAAAACTATAGACCAATATATCACTCATGACTATAGTTATAAAAATCCTCAACAAAATACTAGGAAAATGAATTCAGCAGCATAAGAGGATTATACATCATGACTAAATAAACTAAATCTCAGGAATTCAAAGACAGTTCAACATACCACATAACCACTGCAACTGATACCAAAAAAATGTTGACAAGTCAATACCCTGTAATGAAAAAACAATAAACTAGATTCTAGAAGGAAACATCAGCATAATAAAGGCCATTTATGAAAACTCATAGCTAATATCATACTCAACAGTGAAAGACTGAAAGGCTTTCCCTTAAGATCAAGAAAAAGATATCCACTTATTTTTTGAGAGACAAGGTCTCACTATGTTTTCCAGGATGGTCTTGAACTCCTCAGCACAAGCGATCTTCCCACCTCGGCCTCCCAAAGTACTGAGGTTACAGGCGTGAGCCACCACGCCTGGTCAAGGTGTCCACTTTTGCCACTTCTATTAAACATAGTACTGGAAGTTCTAGTGAGAGTAATTAGACATAAAAAAGGAAATTAAAGGAATCCAGATTAGAGAGTAAGAAGTAAGATTACCTCTGTTGGCAAATGACGTGATCTTATATGTGTAAAACCCTAAAGACTCCATACACAAAAAAACCTGTCAGTGAAGTAACACATTCAGCAAAGTTATAGGATACAAAATCAACATACAAAAATCAGTTGCACTTCTATACACTAGCAATGAACAATATAAAAAGGAAATTCTTTTTTTTTTTTTTTTTTTTTTTTTTTTTTTTTTTTAGTGACAAGGTCTCACTCTGTCACCCAGGCCGGAATGCAGTGACATAATCATAACTCACTGCAACCTCGAACTCCTGCGCTGAAGCAATCCTCCTGCCTCAACCTCCCAACTAGCCAGGACTACAGCCATGTGACACCACACTCAGCATATATATATATATTTACAGATGGGGTCTCACCATGTTGCCCAGCCTGCAGCCAAATAATTTTAAATAAAAATAAATTTTAGGCCAGACACAGTGGCTCATGCCTGTAATGCCAGCACCTTGGGAAACCAAGCCAGGGAGGATCATTTGAGCTCAGGAGTTCAAGACCAGCCTGGGCAACATAATGAGACTCTGTGTCTATTTTTTCGTATATATTTAAAAAATAAAAATAAATAGATTTTAGGTCAGGTGTAATCCCAGCACTATGGGAGGCCAAGACGGGTGGATCACCTGAGGTTAACAGTTTGAGACCAGCCTGGCTAACATGGTGAAACCCCATCTCTACCAAAAATACAAAAAATTAGCTGGGCATGGTGGCAGGTGCATGTAATCTCAGCTACACGGGAGGCCGAGGCAGGAGACTCCCTTGAACCTGGGAGGCAGAGGTTGCAGTGAGCTGAGATCATGCCGTTGCACTCCAGCCTGGGCAACAAGAGCAAAACTCTGTCTCAAAAAAAAAAAAAAAGATTGTAAAGCTTTTTTTCAATATCTCTGAAAGTAAAAGTCAACAACTTTTTAAAAACAGTGGCGGAATAAAACCAACTTAGTACACTGAACCAGCATTTTAAAAAAGAAATAAGTAAAAAAGTATCAGAATGAATTGCACAAAGAGTAAACAGTGTTTTTAAAACTTCTTTTTCATACATATAATGTATGGACTGGGTTTCAAGGTTTAAAAAAAAGTACATGTTACTATGTTTCACAAAATTTGAAAAACACCATCCTAGAGCAATAAGTCTTTTTCTTTTCTTTTTTGAGACAGGGTCTCGCTCTGTCTCCCAGGCTGGAAAGCAGTGGCACAATCACAGTTCACTGCAGCGTCCACCTCCTGGGCCCAAGCAATCTTCCCACCTCAGACTCCCAAGCAGCTGAGACCACAGTGTGCACCACTACACCCACAAAGAGACTCCATCTCTTTGTAAATGAGGTCTCCTTAGGTTATCCAGGCTGAATAAGTCTTAATTATAACTTCTGAGGAACACCAATAGCTAATTTGTTGAGAAATAATGATTTCTGACTCATTAATTGCTATAATTAAAATATTTTAAGAAATATTGATTTATTAAAAAAAGCTGCATAGGATACTTCTGAAGAGTACAGATCATCATGTAATCAAGTAACACAATATGAAAAAGGCTTGCAATCTGTTCTCTAAACACTGGATTCAAGACAATTTCCAATCTAATGCACAATGGAATAAGTCACTTCTCCCAATAAACCATTAATTAGGAAACGATAAAATTGTTCTTGCAGAAAGCTTTATTATTCATAATTTCCCTTAAATAGTGTTTCTAACCACCAAAGGGCACTCACTTCTTTCTAGATCTACAATGATGAAACTATAAAGAACCAGAGATGATTTTCCTACAAGGACAACATGGAAATTTTCAAAAAGCCCCGTTAAATCATCTGTTATCGGCTGGGTGCAGTGGCTCATGCCTGTAATCCCAGCACTTTGGGAGGCTGAGGTGGGCGAATCATCTGAGGTCAGGAATTCAAGACCAGCCTGGCCAACGTGGTGAAACCTCATCTCTAATAAAAATATTTTAAAAATTAGCCGGGCGTGGTGGCGGGCACCTGTAATCCCAGCTACTCAGGAAGTTGAGGCAGGAGAAATCACTTGAACCCAGGAGGTGGAGGTTGCAGTGAGCCGAGATCACACTATTGCACTCCAGCCTGGGCAACAGAGTGAGGCTCTGTCTCAAAAAAAAAAAAAAAATCTGTAATCTTGGATAAACCTTGTGTATACAAATATATTGCCATAAATGCTTTTATCATCCTGATTTTCAAAATAATCCATATTAAAAATTTTTTACAAAGACAGATTCTTCTAGTCTCACACGGGTTGCTAACTGGAGATTTTAGTCTATAAATGATATTGCAAATTATAACGTTAATCACAACGTTATTCTCTAAAATACTTTCTGTGGCACAATTATTCTGCAATAAAAGTTAATATGAATTTTCTTAAAAGCTAAATAAGAATCAAGATCTTTCATTTGGGTCATACACTTAACTATAATAAGACTTCCAGGCTGGGTGCAGTAGCTCATTCCTATAATCCCAGCACTTTGGGAGGCTGAGGCGGGAGGACTGCTTGAGCCCAAGAGTGTGAGACCAGCCTGGGCAACATAGGGAGACCTCATCTCTACAAAAAAATTTTTAAAAAATTAGCTGGGCATGGTGGCACTTGCCTATGGTCCTAGCTACTTGGGAGGCTGAGGCAGGAGAATGGTTTGAGACAAGGAGGTCAAGGCTGCAGTGAGCTTTTCTTTTAACCTGTCTCGAAAGAAAAAAAAAAGATTTCCAGAGTGTTTAAGAAGATTAAAATTTTAATAGCTTTAAAAATAAAGCAACTGGCCGGGCACAGTGGCTCACGCCTGTAATCCCAGCACTTTGGGAGGCCAAGGCGGGCAGATCAGCTGAGGTCGGGAGTTTGAGACCAGCCTGACCAACATGGAGAAACCCCATCTCTACTAAAAATATAAAAATTAGCCAGGCGTGGTGGCACGCACCTGTAATCCCAGCTACTCAGGAGACTGAAGCAGGAGAATTGCTTGAACCCGGGAGGCAGAGGTTGCAGTGGCCCGAGATCGCGCCACTGCCTCCAGCCTGCACGACAGAGCGAGACTCCATCTCAAAAAAAAAAAAACAAGCAAGCTATGGGACATACGCAATTCACACAGCAAATTCTTAAAGCTAAGATAGAAAATATTTACATTACGTCTAAAACTTGAGCAACTAATTTTTTTTTCTGTCTCACTCTCTTGTCAGGGCTGGAGTGCGGCAGCACGATCAGGGCTAACCATAGCCTCTACTTCCTGAGTTGAAGCGATCCTCCCGCCTCAGCATTCCAAACATCTGGGACTACAGGCATGAGCTACCGTGCCCAGCTAATGATTTATTTTTGTAGAGCCAGGGTCTTCCTATATTGCCCAGGCTACATCGCCAGTCTTGAACTCCTGGGCTCAAGCACTCCTCCTGCCTTAGCCTCACAAACTCCTGGGATTACAGATATGAGCCAACTCACCTGGCCCTAATTTTTCTCTTTTATTTATTTATTTTTTGAGATGGAGTCTCACTCTGTCACCCAGAGTGGAGTGGAGTGGCATGATTTTATCTCACTGCAACTTCCACCTCCTGGGTTCAAGCGATTCTCATGCCTCAGCCTCCCAAGGAGCTGGGACTACAGTCACACACCACCACACCCGGCTAATTTTTGTATTTTTTTGTAGAGACAGGGTTTTGCCATGTTGGCCAGACTGATCTCAAACTACTGGCCTCAAGTGATCTACCTGCCTCGGCCTCCCAAAGTGCTGGGATTACAGGCGTGAGCCACGACGCCCAGCCCCTAATTTTTGTTTTGTTTTGTTTTTTTTGAGACGGAGTCTCGCTCTGTCGCCCAGGCTGTAGTGCAGTGGCACAATCTTGGCTCACTGCAAGCTCCGCCTCCCAGGTTCACACCATTCTCCTGCCTCAGCCTCCCGAGTAGCTGGGACTACAGGCGCCCACCACCACACCCGGCTAATTTTTTGTATTTTTAGTAGAGACGGGGTTTCACTGTGTTAGCCAGGATGGTCTCGATCTCCTAACCTCGTGATCTGCCCACCTCGGCCTCCCAAAGTGCTGGGGTTACAGGTGTGAGCCGCCACGCCCGGCCTACCCAGCCCCTAATTTTTGATAGTTGAAGCATACATGCATAGTCACTATCAATTTAACATTTGCTTGTCTTCCTAACACTTACTCTTATTTGAAATTATCAGTTTATTTTTGTTTGCCCACCCCCAAACACCTACATGAATGTAAAGCTCTCATGTTGCTAACAAAATATTCCAAGCCCCTACAACAAAACACAGCACAAAAGAGATCTTCTAGTATTAGCTACACAAATAATAAATACCACGAAGAATAGGAAAGAAAGGCTTCCTCAAATACAAAGCTCTTTATCACTGGGAAGATCACTCATCAAGAGTAAGAGTTTGACATTATAAATCCATTCCAGAAACACATGGGCCAGGCATGGTGTCTCATGTCTGTAATCCCAGCACTTTGGGAGGCCAAGGCAGGAAGATGGTTTCAGCCCAGAAGTTCGAGACTAGCCTGGCAACACAGTGAGACCTCGTCTCTACAAAAAAATTTAAAAATTAGCCGGGCATGGTGACACATGCCTATACTTCCAGCTACTCAGGAGGCTGAGGTGGGAGAACAGCTTAAGCCCAGGAGGTCAAGGCTGCAGTGAGCCATGGTGATCTCACCACTTCACTCTAGCCTGGGCAACAGAGTAAGACCCCATCTCAAAAAAAAGGCTGGGCGCGGTGGCTCACACCTGTAATCCCAGCACTTTGGGAGGCTGAGGCAGGCAGATCACGAGGTCAGGAGTTCAAGACCAGCCTGACCAATATGGTGAAACCCCATCTCTACTAAAAATACAAAAATTTGCCAGGCATGGTGGCACGAGCCTGTAGTCCCAGCTACTTGGGAGGCTGAGGCAAAAGAATCACTGGAACCTGGGAGGCGGAAGTTGCAGTGAGCCAAGATCACACCACTGCACTCCAGCCTGGGTGACAAGAGCAAGACTCTGTCTCAAAAAAAGAAAAAAAAAAGATCCGGGGGAGGAGCCAAGATGGCCGAATAGGAACAGCTCCCGTCTACAGCTCCCAGTGCGAGCAACACAGAAGACGGGTGATTTCTGCATTTCCAACTGAGCTACCGGGTTCATCTCACTGGGGAGTGCCAGACAGTAGGTGCAGGACAGTGGGTGCAGTGCACCGTGTGCTAGCAGAAGCAGGGCAAGGCATCGCCTCACCCAGGAAGCATAAGGGGTCAGGGAATTCCCTTTCCTAGTCAAAGAAATCGGTGACAGACAGCACCTGGAAAATCGGATCACTCCGACCCTAATACTGCGCTTTTCCAACAGGCTTAAAAAACGGCACACCAGGAGATTACATCCCGCACCTGGCTCGGAGGGTCCTACGCCCACAGAGTCTCCCTCATTGCTAGCACAGCAGTCCCAGATCAAACTGCAAGGAAGCAGTGAGACTGGGGGAGGGGCGCCCGCCATTGCTGAGTTAGTTGTTTGATTAGGTAAACAAAGCAGCCCGGAAGCTCAAACTGGGTGGAACCCACCACAGCTCAAGGAGGCCTGCCTGCCTCTGTAGGCTCCACCTCTGGGGGCAGGGCACAGACAAACAAAAAGACAGCAGTAACCTCTGCAGACTTAAATGTCCCTCTCTGACAGCTTTGAAGAGAGTAGTGGTTCTCCCAGCATGCAGCTTGAGATCTGAGAACAGGCGGACTGCCTCCTCAAGTGGGTCCCTGACCCCCAAGTAGCCTAACTGGGAGGCACCCCCCAGTAGGGGCGGACTGACACCTCACACGGCTGGGTACTCCTCTGAGACAAAACTTCCAGAGGAACGATCAGGCAGCAGCATCTGTGGTTCACCAATATCCGCTATTCTGCAGCCACCGCTGCTGATACCCAGGCAAACAGGGTCTGAAGTGGACCTCTAGCAAACTCCACAAGACCTGCAGCTGAGGGACCTGTCTGTTAGAAGGAAAACTAACAAACAGAAAGGACATCCACACCAAAAACCCATCTGTACGTCACCATCGTCAAAAACGAAAGGTAGCTACAACCACAAAGATGGGAAAAAAACAGAGCAGAAAAACTGGAAACTCTAAAAATCAGAGCGCCTCTCCTCCTCCGAAGGAACACAGTTCCTCACCAGCAATGGAACAAAGCTGGACGGAGAATGACTTTGATGAGTTGAGAGAAGAAGGCTTCAGATGATCAAACTACTCCGAGCTACAGGAGGAAATTCGAACCAATGGCAAAGAAGTTAAAAGCTTTGAAAAAAAATTAGACAAATGGATAACTAGAATAACCAATGCAGAGAAGTCCTTAAAGGACCTGATGGAGCTGAAAACCAAGGCACAGAAAGCTACGTGACGAATGCAGAAGCCTCAGTAGCCGATGTGATCAACTGGAAAAAGGGTATCAGTGATGGAAGACGAAATTAATGAAATGAAGCGAGAAGAGAAGTTTACAGAAAAAAGAATAAAAAGAAACGAACAAAGCCTCCAAGAAATATGGGACTATGTGAAAACACCAAATCTACGTCTGATTGGTGTACCTGAAAGTGACAGGGAGAATGGAACCAAGTTGGAAAACACTCTGCAGGATATTATCCAGGAGAACTTCCCCAATCTAGCAAGGCAGGCCAACATTCAAATTAAGGAAATACACAGAACACCACAAAGATACTCCTCAAGAAGAGCAACTCCAAGACACATAATTGTCAGATTCACCAAAGTTGAAATGAAGGAAAAAATGTTAAGGGCAGCCAGAGAGAAAGGTCGGGTTACCCACAAAGGGAAGCCCATCAGACTAACAGCTGATCTCTCTGCAGAAACTCTACAAGCCAGAAGAGAGTGGGAACCAATATTCAACACTCTTAAAGAAAAGAATTTTCAACCCAGAATCTCATATCCAGCCAAACTACGCTTCATAAGTGAAGGAGAAATAAAATACTTCACAGACAAGCAAATGCTGAGAGATTTTGTCACCACCAGGCCTGCCTTACAAGAGCTCCTGAAGGAAGCACTAAACATGGAAAGAAACAACCGGTACCAGCCACTGCAAAAACATGCCAAATTGTAAAGACCATTAACGCTAGGAAGAAACTGCATCAACTATCGAGCAAAATAACCAGCTAACATCATAATGACAGGATCAAATTCACACATAACAATGTTAACTTTAAATGTAAATGGGCTAAATGCTCCAATTAAAAGACACAGACTGGCAAATTGGATAAAGAGTCAAGACCCATCAGTGTGCTGTATTCAGGAAACCCATCTCACATGCAGACACACACATAGGCTCAAAAGAAAGGGATGGAGGAAGATCTACCAAGCAAATGGAAAACAAAAAAAGGCAGGGGCTGCAATCCTAGTCTCTGATAAAACAGACTTTAAACCAACAAAGATCAAAAGAGACAAAAAAGGCCATTACATAATGGTAAAGGGATCAATTCAACAAGAAGAGCTAACTATCCTAAATATATATGCACCCAATACAGGAGCACCCAGATTCATAAAGCAAGTCCTTAGTGACCTACAAAGAGACTTAGACTCCCACACAATAATAATGGGAGACTTTAACACCCCACTGTCAACATCAGACAGATCAACGAGACAGAAAGTTAACAAGGATACCCAGGAATTGAACTCAGCTCTGCATCAAGCGGACCTAACAGACATCTACAGAACTCTCTACCCCAAATCAACAGAATACACATTCTTTTCAGCGCCACACCACACCTACTCCAAAACTGACCACATAGTTGGAAGTAAAGCACTCCTCAGCAAATGTAAACGAACAGAAATTATAACAAACTGTCTCTCAGACCACAGTGCAATCAAACTAGAACTCAGGATTAAGAAACTCACTCAAAACTGCTCAACTACATGAAAACTGAACAACCTGCTCCTGAATGACTACTAGGTACATAATGAAATGAAGGCAGAAATAAAGATGTTCTTTGAAACCAATGAGAACAAAGACAAAACATACCAGAATCTCTGGGACACATTCAAAGCAGTGTGTAGAGGGAAATTTATAGCACTAAATGCCCACAAGAGAAAGCAGGAAAGATCTAAAACTGACACCCTAACATCACAATTAAAAGAGCTAGAAAAGCAAGAGCAAACACATTCAAAAGCTAGCAGAAGGCAAGAAATAAGATCAGAGCAGAACTGAAGGAAATAGAGACACAAAAAACCCTTCAAAAAATTAATGAATCCAGGAGCTGGTTTTTTGAAAAGATCAACAAAATTGATAGACCGCTAGCAAGAATAATAAGAAAAGACAGAAGGATCAAATAGACACAATAAAAAATGATAAAGGGGATATCACAACCGATCCCACGGAAATACGAACTACCATCAGAGAATACTATAAACACCTCTACACAAATAAACTAGAAAATCAAGAAGAAATGGATAAATTCCTCGACACATACATCCTCCCAAGACTAAACCAGGAAGAAGTTGAATCTCTGAACAGACCAATAACAGGCTCTGAAATTGAGGCAATAATCAATAGCTTACCAACCAAAAAAAGTCCAGGACCAGATGGATTCACAGCCGAATTCTACCAGAGGTACAAAGAGGAGCTGGTACCATTCCTTCTGAAATTATTCCAATCAACAGAAAAAGAGGGAATCCTCCCTAACTCATTTTATGAGGCCAGCATCATCCTGATACCAAAGCCTGGCAAAGACACAACCAAAAAAGAGAATTTTAGACCAATATCCTTGATGAACATCGATGCAAAAATCCTCAATAAAATACTGGCAAACCAAATCCAGCAGCACATCAAAAAGCTTATCTACCATGATCAAGTGGGCTTCATCCCTGGGATGCAAGGCTGGTTCAACATATGCAAATCAATAAATGTAATCCAGCATATAAACAGAACCAAAGACAAAAACCACATGATTATCTCAATAGATGCAGAAACGGCCTTTGACAAAATTCAACAACCTTCATGCTAAAAACTCTCAATAAATTAGGTATTGATGGGACCTATCTCAAAATAATAAGAGCTATCCATGACAAACCCACAGCCAATATCATACTGAATGGGCAAAAACTGGAAGCATTCCCTTTGAAAACGGGCACAAGACAGGGATGCCCTCTCTCACCACTCCTATTCAACATAGCGTTGGGAGTTCTGGCCAGGGCAATCAGGCAGGAGAAGGAAATAAAGGGTATTCAATTAGGAAAAGAGGAAGTCAAATTGTCCCTGTTGGCAGATGACATGATTGTATATCTAGAAAACCCCATCGTCTCAGCCCAAAATCTCCTCAAGCTGATAAGCAACTTCAGCAAAGTCTCAGGATACAAAATCAATGTACAAAAATCACAAGCATTCTTATACACCAATAACACAGACAAACAAGAGAGCCAAATCATGAGTGAACTCCCATTCACAACTGCTTCAAAGAGAATAAAATACCTAGGAATCCAACTTACAAGGGATGTGAAGGACCTCTTCAAGGAGAACTACAAACCACTGCTCAATGAAATAAAAGAGGATACAAACAAATGGAAGAACGTTCCATGTTCATGGGTAGGAAGAATCAGTATCGTGAAAATGGCCATACTGCCCAAGGTAATTTATAGATTCAATGCCATCCCCATCAAGCTACCAATGACTTTCTTCACAGAATTGGAAAAAACTACTTTAAAGTTCATATGGAACCAAAAAAGAGCCCACATCACCAAGTCAATCCTAAGCCAAAAGAACAAAGCTGGAGGCATCACGCTACCTGACTTCAAACTATACTACAAGGCTACAGTAACCAAAACAGCATGGTACTGGTACCAAAACAGATATATAGACCAATGGAACAGAATAGAGCCCTCAGAAATAATGCCGCATATCTACAACTATCTGATCTTTGACAAACCTGACAAAAACAAGAAATGGGGAAAGGATTCCCTATTTAATAAATGGTGCTGGGAAAACTGGCTAGCCATATGTAGAAAGCTGAAACTGGATCCCTTCCTTACACCTTATACAAAAATTAATTCAAGATGGATTAAAGACTTAAATGTTAGACCTAAAACCATAAAAACCCTAGAAGAAAACCTAGGCAATACCATTCAGGACACAGGCATGGGCAAGGACTTCATGTCTAAAACACCAAAAGCAATAGCAACAAAAGCCAAAATTGACAAATGGGATCTAATTAAACTAAAGAGCTTCTGCACAGCAAAAGAAACTACCATCAGAGTGAACAGGCAACCTACAGAATGGGAGAAAATTTTTGCAACCTACTCATCTGACAAAGGGCTAATATCCAGAATCTACAATGAACTCAAACAAATTTATAAGAAAAAAACAAACAACCCCATCAAAAAGTGGGCGAAGGATATGAACAGACACTTCTCAAAAGAAGACATTTATGCAGCCAAAAAACACATGAAAAAATGCTCACCATCACTGGCCATCAGAGAAATGCAAATCAAAACCACAATGAGATACCATGTCACACCAGTTAGAATGGCAATCATTAAAAAGTCAGGAAGCAACAGGTGCTGGAGAGGATGCGGAGAAATAGGAACACTTTTACACTGTTGGTGGGACTGTAAACTAGTTCAACCATTGTGGAAGTCAGTGTGGCGATTCCTCAGGGATCTAGAACTAGAAATACCATTTGACCCAGCCATCCCATTACTGGGTATATACCCAAAGGATTATAAATCATGCTGCTATAAAGACACATTCACACGTATGTTTATTGCGGCACTATTCACAATAGCAAAGACTTGGAACCAACCTAAATGTCCAACAACGATAGACTGGATTAAGAAAATATGGCACATATATACCATGGAATACTATGCAGCCATAAAAAATGATGAGTTCATGTCCTTTGTAGGGACATGGATGAAACTGCCAACCATCATTCTCAGCAAACTATCGCAAGGACAAAAAACCAAACACCGCATGTTCTCACTCATAGGTGGGAATTGAACAATGAGAACACATGGACACAGGAAGGGGAACATCACACACTGGGGACTGTTGTGGGGTGGGGGAAGCGGGAAGGGATAGCATTAGGAGATATACCTAATGCTAAATGTCGAGTTAATGGGTGCAGCACACCAACATGGCACATGTATACATATGTAACAAAACTGCACGTTGTGCACATGTACCCTAAAACTTAAAGTATAATAATAATAAAATTAAAAAAAAAAGAAAAGAAAAAAAACCACACAACATATAATCTCAAGATTTAAAAAAATTCTACACTGGCCAGGTGTGGCAGTTCATGCCTGTAATCCCAGCACTCTGGGAGGCCAAGGAGGGTGGAACACTTGGGTCAGGAGTTTGAGACCAGCCTGGCCAACATGGTGAAACGCTGTCTCTACTAAAAATACAAAAATTAGCCAGGCATGGTAGCGTACACCTGTAATCCCAGGTACCCAGGAGGCTGAGGCACAAGAATTGCTTGAACCCAGGAGGAAGTTGCAGTGAGCTGAGACTGCACCACTGCATTCCAGCCTGGGCGACAGAGCAAGACTCAGTCTCAAAAAATGAAAAAACAAAAGTAAATAAAATAAAATTAAAAATACTGGCCAGGTGCGATGGCTCACGCCTGTAATGCCAGCACTTTGGGAGGCCGAGGCAGGTGGATCACCTGAGGTCAGGAGTTCGAGGCCAACCTGACCAACATGGTGAAATCCCATCTCTACTAAAATTACAAAAATTAAGTGGACATGGTGGTGGGCGCCTGTAATCCCAGCTACTTGGGAGGCTGAGGCAGGAGAATCACTTAAGCCCGGGAGGCAGAGGTTGTAGTGAGCTGAAATTGTGCCACTGCACTCCAGCATGGGTGACAAAGCAAGACACCATCTCAAAAAAAAAAAAAAAAAAAAACTATAGCACCCAAACAACAAGTATTTGTCAAAATAACTATTTTTAAATTTTTGGCTGGGCGCAGAGGCTCACGACTATAATCCCAGCAATCTGAAATGCTAAAGTAGGAGGATCACTTGAGCCCAGTTGCTCACTGGGCAATACAGCAAGACCCCATCTCAATTTAAAAAATGATAATAAAAAATAAATAATTTTATTATTGCCTGTCAGGATTTCTTAGATTTTTATAACATATATTACTATATGAATAACAAAAACTGTAACAATGATTTTAACCACAAAGACAAATCAAATACATCATAATTCAATTACAAAATAAAATTATGACTTTACTTTTCACTAAGTACCTTTTCTTGAAAGACGACAGCAGTTTCCAGCCCTGGCATGATGTCTAATAGGAGTCTGCAAGCTGCAGTGTTTAAAGGGGGCTCTCGGCTTGTCATCACATATGCATTCACCAGCTGTAAAGAAAAAAAAGAAATACTGTTCATCTAAAATTCAACCCAGTCAAATTAAGGACATCTAATAAAACCTCAACATATTCCCATTACTTTCTTAACGGGTATGAAAGAAGACTGTATGTAACTAATTAAACTTTTACTAATTAAACCTTTAATTATTATAAACACTTATGATCTTGCTGAGCCATGGTGATACCACACATAATTTCTTCTGCAGCTTTAAAGCCAAATCCCCCCAAAACAACTCAGCAATCATAGAAATTAAAGGTCAAACGCTGATGCCAGTGATGCACACTTGTAATCCCAGCACTTTGGGAAGCCAAGGCAGGAGGATCACTTGAGCTGAGGAGTTTGAAACCAGCCTGGACAACACGGCAAAACCCCATCTCTACCAAAAATACAAAAATTAGCCAAGCATGGTGGCACATGCCTGTAGTCCCAGCTACATGGGAGGCTGAGGTGGGAGGATGCCCAGAGCCCAGGATGTCAAGGGTGAAGTGAGCCCTAATCACCACTGCACTCAGGCCTGGGCAACGGTGAGACCCTGTCTCCAAAAAAACAACAACAACAACAACAGAACAAAAACAAAAAAAATGCCACAAATAAACCTATCCCCTTCCATATACACTTTAATGATTTTTTTTACAGACAGGGTCTCACTCTGTCACTTAGGCTGGAGTGCAGTGGCACAAGCATGGCTCACTGCAGTCTCGACCTCCCAGTCTCAAGTGATCCTCCAGCTTCAGCCTCCCAAGTAGCTGGGACCACAGGTGCACACCACCATGTCCATCTAATTTTTTCATTTTTAGTAGAGACGGGGCCTCATTATGTTGCCCGAGCTAGCCTCTAACTCCTGGCCTCAGGTGATCCTCCCACCTCAGCCTCCCAAAGTACTGGGATTACAGGCATGAGCCATCACATCTGGCCCCCACACCACTGCATATACACTTTTTTAAAAGCATAAGCAGGGCAATATGAGCTCCATATTCTTGACAATGGTTAATGAAAAACTCAAATTTTATAATAAATTATATATATAATACAATAATATGTATTAATAAAAGTCTCCATTTGGCACTTAGTATTTACTGAATCTCTAATATTAAGCGATACTATGTTCTGTGCTGGGCATATAACAGTAAATAATTATTGACACAGTCCCACCATCCCAAGATTCATTATCCAGGCTGAGTGTGGTGGCTCATCCCTGTAATCCCAGCACATTGGGTGGCCAAAATCTGAGGATGGCTTGAGCCCAGGAGTTCAAGACCAGCCTGGGCAACCCAGTGAAATCTTGTCTCTACAAAAAAATCAAAAAATTTGCCAGGCATGGTGGCACATGCCTGTGGTCTCAGCTACTCAGGAGGCTGAGGCAGGAGAATCCTTAAACATGGGAGGTCAAGGCTGCAGTGAGTGATCGTACTAATGCACTCAGCGTGAGATGCTGTCTTAAAAAAAAAAAAAAAGATGTGTAATTCAATAGAGGTGACAGTTGGGAAAACAAGTAATACCATGAGTAAAGGATTACCGAAGCCCCTAGGAGGGCACAAGACCCCTGAAGAAGAATCAGAGAAGGCTTAAGAGAAGAAGTGATTCCAAGCCGGGATGTAAAAGACGAGAAGGAAGTATCTAAGGAAACGTTGGAGGAGAGGAGGGCCAGAAGGCAAGAACTGAAACTGCAGAGAACAAAGTTCAGAGACAGATTTGGTTTTTACACCAAACTAAGAAACTTAAAATTTGTCCTGAAGGTAATAGAAAGCCATTAATGGATTTTAAGCAAGAGGGTACCATAATTTCTGGGCTATAAAGTGAAGAATGAATTAGAGGAGGACAAGACAAGAAGAAACCAGTGAAGATGTTATTTCAGTAACCAAGTGAAAAATTGTTGGCTAAACGGTGGTCTAGCTAAACTGGGGTCTGGTGACAAGAACAGAACTGGAGGGATTTGTGAAGTTTAAGGTGAAGGGAGTAATAACATCTGTAAGTTCACTGTATAAGAGAGCTTGGAGGCGTAAAGGACACTTTATAGCTGACTAGACAAGGACATCGTTACTGAGCTAGAGAACAAAAGAAACAGATTATGGAGCAAATGGTCAGACACGTAAAATTCGAGGTGTATATGGGAGACACCCAGAAGGAAATGTCTAGAAGTGATCTGAAACTAAGAAAGAGACAATGGTGATATAGAAATAAATCTAGAAGTCAACATAATACAGATAATAATAGCTAATACTGGCTGGGTGCAGTGGCTCATGCCCGTAAACCCAGTACTTTGGGAGGCCGAGGCAGGTGGATCACCTGAAGTCAGGAGTTTGAGACCAGCCTGACCAACATGGAGAAACCCCGTCTCTACTAAAAATACAAAAATTAGCCTGGCGTGGTGGTGCATCCCTTGTAGTCCCAGCTACTTGGGAGGCTGAGTCAGGAGAATCACTTGAACCCAGGAGGCAGAGGTTGCAGTGAGCCGAGATCACACCACTGCACTCCAGCCTGGGCAACAAAAGCGAAATTCTGTCTCAAAAAATAAATAAGCAAATAAATAAATGATAATACTAGCTAATACCTACTGGGCCTTCATCGTGTGCCAGGCTCTCTGCCAAGCACCTTCATGCTTAATTTCATTCAAGGAGTACAAAAAAGGTTTTAAATGCTATTAACTCCATTTTATAGACTAGAAAAATAAGGCTGCGGCTGGGTGCAGTGGTTCACGTCTGTAATCCCAGCACTTTGGGAGGCCAAGGTGGGTGGATAACTTGAGGTCAGGAATTTGAGACTAGCCTGGCCAACATGGTGAAAGCCCATCTCTACTAAACATACAAAAAAATAAGGCAGGTGTGGTTGGCAGGCACCTGTGGTCCCAGCTACTTGGGAGCCTGAGGCAGGAGAATCACCTGACCCCGGAAAGCAGAGGTTGCAGTAAGCCAAGATTGTGCCACTGCATTCCAGCCTAAGTAACAGAGCCAGACCCTGTCTCAAAAGGAAGAAAAGAAAAAGAAGGCAGTGAGAAAATAAAGCTTGAAGAGGCTTAAGTCTGTCAGTGAACTATGGAGCTGGATTTAAATCCAAAACATGGACCCCCAAAGCCCACGTTCTCAAGCATCATGCCATCCCACCTCCAAAAACAAACCTATCAGCCACAATTTGTTGAGCAATTACTATGTTCAGGAGCTGAGTAAAATATGTATATTCTTATTTACTCCTCACATCCTCCTCAAGATAGACAGAAAGCAACTTTCTATCCCTCTACATGCCCAATGCATACCCCACAGTGTCAGTGCAGAATCATGCTGTATGCATCACTCTTATTTTTCCATTGAAAAACTGAAGAGGGCCCCTATATTCTCAAATTCAAAATCATTTTGCCCAAGAATGAGCGTAGATACCTTGGGAGGCCTCACCAATATCAAAGTACATACCAAAGAGAAAGCATTATGGCCACAACCAGGACTTTGGCAAAAAACTCTACTCCCAACTTTGTCAAGGCCTTAGGAGAAGGCAAACTATTCACGAAAAAACAATAAAGATACAGCATCTACAGATGATAATCGCTGGAGAAAAGTAAGAAGCAAACCTACTGCATTCATGAAATCATCATTCTTGAAGAGTATTCTCAGCAAGTGGCCCAGCATACACTCTGGATCAGCTCGACCTACCAAGAGAAGAGGGGAGGAACAAACAAAGGAATGAGTAAGTCATCCCAGTCAAGCAACTTAGACCTCTGGAAAGGCACCTGGGTTGTTATAAGCACTAATAAAATGCCAGCAAAAATAATCAGAAACAAAAGATTATTGTGCTAAATTAGATTACATAAGAAACATGCTTTAGGCCAGGCGCAGTAGCTCATGCCTGTAATCCCAGCACTTTGGGAGGCTGAGGCGGGCAGATCACGAGGTCAGGAGTTTGAGAACAGCCTGGCCAACATGGCGAAATCCCATCTCTACTAAAAATACAAAAATTAGCCAGGTGCAGTGGCGGGCGCCTGTAATCCCATCTACTCGGGAGGCTGAGGCAGGAGAATTGCTTGAACCCAGGAGGCGGAGGTTGCAGTGAGCCAAGATTGCACCACTGCAATCCAGCCTGGGTGACAGAGGAAGACTCCGTCTCGAAAAAAATAAAAATAAAAAGGGACATGGATGAAGCTGGAAACCATCATTCTCAGCAAACTATTGCGAGGACAAAAAACCAAACACCTGTTCTCACTCATAGGTGGGAACTGAACAATGAGAACACTCGGACACAGGAAGGGGAACATCACACACCGGGGACTGTTGTGGGGTGGGGAGAGGGGAGAGGGACAGCATTAGGAGATATACCTAATGCAAATGACGAGTTAATGGGTGCAGCACACCAACATGGCACATGTATACATATGTAACAAACCTGCACGTTGTGCACATGTACCCTAGAACTTAAAGTATAATAAAAATATATATATAAAAAAAGAAACATAATTTAAAAATAACAACGTAAAAACTTGAGACACTGCTCTCTAGCCTTCCCATCTCCTAGCATACTGCCTATACAGCACTGTTGAATTAAACAAATGAGCACTAGATCCAGATGAGCATCACCAAGAGTATACAAGGTCTACAAAAGAATCATAAAGGAACCTAAGAGAGAGAAAACTTCTGACTCCCCATCCATAAAAAGGTAGGAAGCATGCTTCTATTGATGGGTGGCCTGGAGAAGACTGGCTCCAAGTCCAACCTCTCCTTCCACTACAATGACAACAGCAACAGAGATGCATGCTCAAACATGTAAGGACACCCTGGGTCAGGGTGACGGGGGTGAATTCCACCAAGCAATCACTAACCCTAAAGATACAATAACCTTGCCCATCTTAACTTAGCTCTTGTGGAAAGAAAGGAGGCCAGGGGCCTAGGATCAACTCAATGCATAGCCTAACGATAAAAGAATTAGTTGATGGAAGGGAGAATTACTGGTTTGTTGTTGTTGTGTTCTGAGATGGAGTCTTGTTCTGTCGCCAAGGCTGGAGTACAGTGGCTCAATCTTGGCTCACTGCAACCTCCACCTCCTAAATTCAAGCAATTCTCCTGCCTCAGCCTCCCGAGTAGCTGGGATTACAGGTGCCTGCCACCACGCTCAGCTAATTCCTGTATTTTTAGTAGAGTCGGGGTTTCACCATGTTGGCCAAGCTGGTCTCGAACTCCTGACCTCAGGTGATGTGCCCGCCTCAGCCTCCCAAAGTGCTGGGATTACAGGTATGAGCCATCACACGCGGCCTAGTTTGTTTTTAAAACAGAAACCTCTATTTTATTTCATTTCCTTTCTTTCAGAGCATTTAGAGAGGCAAATTTAGTCAAAACATACAATAGAGAATGAAGACAAGATGTGAGCTGCTGCTATGTTTTTACCAAGCTGTTAATTAGTATCTCAAAGTAATTCACAAAAAGAAAGAAACATCAGAGAAAAGTATCACAAAAACAAACAAGGACCGTAGTTACCTAATGTTAGCTGTTTATAAATCATGAAACTGAAATCCTTATTTTTAATAAAGAAATAATGCCACTGACAAATATTGCTTAATATTAAGAGGAAAAAATTGCTTTGTAAGCTCTACTGAAAAATGTCATATCTTTCTCTGTCTCTCCCTTCTTCCTCGTTGCCATTTAATCCATCTCCAGGCAATGACATTCAGCATGATTATCTATCTTTTAATGCTTTTCATAATCCTATGCATTAACTTAATTTCTGATTTCACATTCACTTTCATACTTCTTCATGCTCTGATTTGAGTTATTGAAGATGTGGGTTAAATGGTGAATATTCCTCTGTAGTCACAAGTAGGGATGTCCAGGACAACAGCACCAGATAACATCACATAAGCAACTAGACTCTCAATTTGAAATGCCTAGCTTACATGTGAGAACAAAAGTGTAAGAAATAGCAGTAAACCCTGGAACATTCAGGTGAATATACAATGTCCTTATTTTTATAACTCGCACTCATTCACATTCTTTTTCCACACACAAATTTTTTTTTTTTTTTTTTTTTTTTTTGAGACAGAGTTTTGCTCTTCTTGTCCAGGCTGGAGTTCAATGGCATGATCTTGGCTCACCGCAACCTCTGCCTCCTGGGTTCAAGCGATTCTCCTGCCTCAGCCTCCTGAGTAGCTGGGATTACAGGCATGCGCCATCATGTCTGGCTAATTTTGTATATTTAGTAGAGACGGGGTTTTTCCATGTTGGTCAGGCTGGTCGCAAACTCCCGACCTCAGGTGATCCTCCTGCCTCGGCCTCCCAAAGTGCTGAGATTACAGGCGTGAGCCACAGCGCCAGGCCAAAATTTCAGACTCCTCTCCACAAAGGACTGCTTCAGGCTATCAAGCTTATATGTACTATGGGCCCATGCATGACTTCAGCTTTGCCCACTGGTGATCTACCTTATAGTAAACATAAAATGGCAGTCTCAAGTCCCTCATAATTCTGTACCACTGTAGCAAATTCCATACCAAAGCAGGTGCTATCATGGCTTTAATTAGCCCAAAATTGGCCAGGCTCAGTGGCTCACGCCTGTAATCCCAGCACTTTGGGAGGTGGAGGCGGGTGGATCACTTGAGGTCAGGAGTTCAAGACCAGCTTGGCCAACATGGTGAAACCCCTTCTCTATTAAAAGTGCAAAACTTAGCCGACTGTGGTGGTGCATGCTTGTAATCCCAGCTACTTGGGACACTGAGGCACAAAAATTGCTTGAACCCAAGAAGCAGTGGTTGCAGTGAGCCAAGATCGTGCCACTGCACTGCCGGCTGGGCGACAGAGCAAGATGCCATCTCAAAAAAAAATAATAATAATAAATAAGCCCAAAATAAACCAAATTAACACGAGAAGGCATACTTTAGTTCTCAAGACACCAAAGCAGACATAAGCGTCAAGGTTCCAAATATCAACTTCCTAACTAAAAGCAGGACACTGAATGCTTTCTCAACTATATTTCCCCAACAGTAAAAGGATAATTATTTAGAGGATAATTATTATTAGAAAGATGAAGGCACAGAGAAGAACACCTTTTGTTTTTATGGTTTAAAAAAGTTGGTTGGGCACAGTGGCTCATGCCTATAATCCCAGCACTTTGGGAGGCCCAGGCGGGAGGATAGCTTGTGTCCAGGAGTTCGAGACCAACTTGGGCAGCAAAGCAAGACCCCATCTCTACAAAAAAATAAAAACTAAAAATCAGCCAGGCATGATAGCACACGCCTGTAGTCCCAGCTACTCAAGAGGCTGAGGTGGGAGGATCGTTTGAGCCAGGAGATCCAGGCTGCAGTGAGCTATGATCATGCCACTGCACTGCAACCTGGGCAACAGAGTGAGTACCCATCTCCAAAAAAGAAAAAGTCTGAAAGGAAGACAATTTTTCTTTTTAATTCTTTGTCATCATATCAACTGAGTTAACTAAAGTACACCTACTTCTGTTCCTTTAGGTTAGTTATGTGATATTCGATTGGCAAATATCAAAAATATTTCCAATTTTTTCCAGAAATTTATTTTTCCTCACTAGCTCCACCTTGAGCAACATTTTAACAAATAAAAGGTCTTAAAACTTACCACAAAAGACGCTATTTCAATTCAAAAATTTTCCCATAAGCAATTTTTCTTTTTTAGAAAAGAAAAAAAAGACCCTCGCTTTAATAAAAGTGTCTTAAAAGAAAAAAAAAAGACCCACACTTAAGAGCACAAATCTTACCAGGATGTCGATCATCAAATGGGTCTGGATCCCCTTTACGATACTCTTCAGTTTCTTTTTCAATCAATTGAGACATCCTAGCACAAAGGAAACAAGGGGTCAACTCTGGACAAGCATAAAAAAATGGACCACCACTACAACAGTCAATTCAACGGTCAAGGTAGAAAATAAAAGCAAAGTTAGAAAAAGACTATTTCTTCTGATGTACATAGAAATCTACACAATTATCTCATAAAAGAGTTTCCTCTCCCAAACTCATTCTTTTTTTTTTTTTTTTGACAGTCTCGCTCTGTCGCCCAGGCTGGAGTGCAGTGGTGTGATCTTGGCTCACTGCAAGCTCTACCTCCTGGGTTCATGCCATTCTCCTGCCTCAGTATCCCGCACAGCTGGGACTGCAGGCACCCACCACCACGCCCGGCTAACTTTCTGTACTTTTAGTAGAGACGGGGTTTCACCATGCTAGCCAGGATGGTCTCGATCTCCTGACCTCGTGATCCACCCGCCTCAGCCTCCCAAAGTGCTGGGATGACAGACGTGAGCCACCACACCTGGCCCCCAAACTCATTCTTATATAAACTTTCCCTTCTTCAAAAAATAACATTACCTTCACCTCAGAAACCAAAAATGTAGGACTCATCTTTAAAATCTTCCTTTTCTTGCTGGGCATGATGGCTCACGCCTGTAATCCCAGCACTCTGGGAGGCCGAGGCAGGAGGATCACCTGAGGTTGGGAGTTCAAGAACAGCCTGAACAACATGGAGAAACCCCGTCTCTACTAAAAATACAAAATTAGCTGGGCGTGGTGGCACATACCTGTAATCCCAGCTAGTAGGGAGGCTGAGGCAGGAGAATCACTTGAACCTGGGAGGTGGAGGTTGCGGTGAGGCAAGAGATTGCGCCACTGCACTCCAGCCCGGGCAACAAGAGTGAAACTCTGTCTCAAAAAAAAAAACCTTCCTTTTCTCCTCCCTCTCCCACAACAATTTCTGTTAGCTCTACTACAAGGTACTTCCTGACTCACATCACTTCTCTAATTCTTGACCACTCCTATCCTCATCCAGACCACCATCATCAACTACCTGGATTACCTCTAATGGTCTTTTTACCAGTCTCCTTGCTTCCTGCTTCCATGTCTGATCTGATGCAATTCATTCTCCAACTTCCAATGACTTACCACAATACCCTGAATTAAATCCAAGTACTACTATGGCCTGCAATTATCTGGCTTCTGCCTGCTGCTTCCTGACCACTTCTTCCACTCCTCCACCCTCCTGCATTAACCTTCGGTCACTGTTCTTCAAAGAGCCCAATTTCACTCCTGTTTCAGGGTTACAGTGCTATTAACTCAGCTGGTAACATTTTTCCCACCATCTAAGCCTCCACCCCTGCCCCAAGTAACCGTTCATCTGCTTTCTCTCACTACAAGTGAGTTCTGCCTGATCCAGAATTTGTTTTTTTTCTTGTAGAGATGGGGTCTTGCTATGTTGCCCAGGCTGGAGTCTAGTGGCTATTTACAAGCATAAACATAGCACACTACAGCTTCAAACTCTTGGCCTCAAGCAATCCTCCTGCCTCAGCCTCCCAAGTAGCTGGGTCTATAGGCACGCAACACTGTGTCTGGCTTGTTTCAGACTTTCACATAAATTGAACCATATAATCTTTTTACATCTAACTTTCACCTAGCATGCTTTGAGAGTCATCCATGTTGCTGAATGTATGAAAAGTTCTGTTTCATTAATGCATTTTTTTTTTTTTGAGATGGAGTTTCACTCGTTGCCCAGGCTGGAGTGCAATGGTGCTATCTCAGCTCACCACAACCTCCGCCTCCCAGGTTCAAGCGATTCTGCTGCCTCAGCCTCTTGAGTAGCTGGAATTACAGGCATGCACCACCATACCTGGCTAAGTTTTGTATTTTTAGTAGAGATGGGGTTTCTCCATGTTGGTCAGGCTGGTCTCGAACTCCTGACCTCAGGTGATCTGCCCGCCTCAGCCTCCTAAAAGTGCTGGTTATAGGCGTGAGCCACCACGCCCGGTTATTCATGCATTATTTATAAAACAAGAAAAATGGCTGGGCACAGTGGCTCATGCCTGTAATCCCAACACTTTGGGAAGCCAAGGTGGGCCGATCACCTGAGGTCAGGAGTTCGAGACCAGCCTGACCAACATGGAGAAACCCCATCTCTACTAAAAATACAAAATTAACCGGGCACGGTGCCACATGCCTGTAATCCCAGCTACTCAGGAGGCTGAGGCAGGAGAATCGCTTGAACCCAGGAGGCGGAGGTTGTACTCCATTGCACTCCAGCTTGGGAAACAAGAGCAAAACTCTATCTCAAAAAAAAAAAAAACAAGAAAAATTACTATCTGGGTGACCTAAGACTGACACTCTATAATAATGACAAGCCAATACAAGACTATCATACTCTCCATCTAACATGCTCTGTCCTAAATCAAACTCTCCTATGTGCTTATTTCCAGGACACTATACTTTCTAGTCTTTTTTTTTTTTTTTTTTTTTAAGAAACAGGGTCTAGCATGGGCGACAGAATGAGACTCCATCTCAAAAAAAAAAACAAAAAACAAAACACCAAAAACCAGAAAAAAAAAACAGGGTCTCACTCTGTTGCTCAGGCTGGAGTGCAGCAACACGACTCATGGCTCACTGAAGCCTCAACATCCCAGGCTCAAATGATCCTCCCACCTCAGGCTCCTGAATAACTGGGACTACAGGAACACCACCATGCCCGGCTAACTTCAAAAATTTTTTGTAGTTGGGGATTTGCTCCCCAGGCTGACCTCGAACTCCTGGGCTCAAGCCCACCCTGGCCTACCAAAGTCCTGGGATTACAGGCATTGAGCCACCACACCCAGCCTTGCTAGTCTTTTTTTTTTTGAGATGGAGTCTCGCTCTGTCACCCAGGCTGGAGTGCAATGGCACGATGTCGGCTCACTGCAACCTCTGCCTCCCACGTTCAGGCGATTCTCCTGCCTCAGCCTCCTGAGTAGCTGGGATTACAGGCATGTGCCACCACGCCCAGCTCATTTTTGTATTTTTTTTTTTGGTAGAGACAGGGTTTTGCCATGTTAGTCAGGCTATCTCAAACTCCTAACCTCAAGTGATCCACCCGCCTTGGTTTCCCAAAGTGCTGGGATTACAGGTGTGAGCCACCACATCTGGCCCCTTCCAGTCTTAAGAATTAAACTCTCCTGGCCGGCGCCGTGGCTCATGCCTGTAATCCCAGCACTTTGGGAGGCTGAGGCGGGCGGATCACCTGAGGTTGGGAGTTCGAAATCAGCCTGACCAACATGGAGAAACCCCGTCTCTGCTAAAAATACAAAAAATTAGCCGGGCATGGTGGTGCATGCCTGTAATTCCAGCTACTCGGGAGGCTGAGGCAGGAGAATCGCTTGAACTCAGGAGGCGGAGGTCGCGGTGAGCCGAGATCGTGCCATTGCACTCCAGCCTGGCCAACAAGCGCAAAACTCTGTCCCAAAAATATAACTAAATAAATATAAAAGAGTTAAACTCTCTGCAAAAATTACTGGTCCACTCTAATCAAGCTTCATAAGTATTTCTGCTTTTTCTTCCTTTCCCTCTAAACTCTGAAACCTCTCTTTAACACAAAGGGCAATCACACAAAATAATGTATGTGTACTTGTTTTTTTTGTTGGTGATGGTTTTTTTTTTTTTAATGTTTTTTTAAGAGACAGGGTCTCACTGTCTCTCAGGCTGGACTGCAGTGGCGCAGTGGCACAATCGTACCTCACTGCAGCCTCAAACTTCTGAGCTCAAACAATCCTCCTGCGTCAGCTTCCCAAGTAGGTGGGACTACAGGTGTCAATCAGCATGCCTGGCTTTTTTTTTTTTTTTTTTGAGATGGAGTCTCACTCTGTCGCCCAGGCTGGAGTACAGTGGCGCAATCTCAGCTCACTGCAACCTCCGCCTCCCAGGTTCAAGCAGTTCTCCTACCTCAACCTCCTGAGTAGCTGGGGTTACAGGTACATGCCACCATGCCCGGCTAACTTTTGTATTTTTAGTAGAGATGGGGTTTCACCATGTTGGTCAGGCTGGTCTCTAACTCCTGACCTCATGATCCACCTGCCTCGGCTTCCCAAAGTGCTGGGATTACAGGCGTGAGACACTGCACCCAGCCTTATACCTGGCTATTTTTTAAATTTTTTATATAGATAGCATCTTGCTATGTTGCCCAGGCTGGTCTTGAACTCCTGGACTCAAGCAATACTTCCACCTCAGCTTCACAAAATATACTTAGAATTATATATTGTAAAATCTACTAGTATCAAAAAAGAAAAAAAAAAACAAAAAGATCTACTAGTATCCCCAGTTGAAACTAAGAAATATAACAGAGAAGTTAAAAATATGGCCTCTGGGCCAGGCACAGTGGCTCATGCCTATAATCCCAGCACTTTGGGAGGCCAAGGTGGGAAAATCACTAGAGGTAAGGAGTTAGAGACCAGCCTGGACAATATAGTGAAATCCCCCCCATCTCTACTAAAAATTTAAAAACTAGCCAGGCATGGTGGCAACACATCCTGTAGTCCCTGCTACTCAGGAGACTGAGACTGGAAGACGGCTTGAGCCCAGGAATTCAAGGCTGCAGTAAGCTATGATAAAACTGCTGCACTCCAGGGCCCGGCGTGGTGGCTTACGCCCGTAATCCCAGCACTTTGGGAGGCTGAGGTGGGCAGATCATGAGGTCAGGAGATCAAGACCATCCTGGCTAACACGGCGAAAGCCCGTCTCTACTAAACATACAAAAAATTAGCCGGGCACGGTGGCAGGCGCCTGTAGTCCCAGCTACTCAGGAGGCTGAGGCAGGAGAATGGCGTGAACCCAGGAGGCGGAGCTTGCAGTGAGCCGAGATTGCGCCATCGCACTCCAGCCTGGGCGACAGAGCGAGACTATGTCTCATAAAAAAAAAAAAGGTGGCTTTTGGAGCCAGATTTTCAGGGTTCAAATCTGAGCTCTTCCACAGTGTGAGACACTCTCGGTAAGTTATTTAACCTCTCTGTGCCTCAAGATAATAGTCTCTACGTTACAGAGTTTCCCTGGGTTTCAGTTAATTAGAATAAAACCTGACAAGTAAGAGCTCTTTAGGTGTTAATTGTGGGGTTTTTTTCTTCTGTTTAGTCTTCTCATTTTCCAAGAGTAATTGGCATCATAAAAACTGGGAATCGGGCCAGGCGCAGTGGAGCACTTTGGGAGGCTGAGGCAGGTGGGTCACTTGAGGTCAGGAGGTCAAGACCAGCCTGGCCAACAGGGTAAAACCCATCTCTAGTAAAATACGAAAATTAGCCAGGCATGGTGGCGGGCGCCTATAATCCCAGGTACTCAGGAGGCTGAGGCAGGAGACTCACTTCAGCCAGGGAGGCAGAGATTGCAGTGAGCCAAGATCGAGCCACTGCACTCCAGCCTGGGTGCGAGTGAGACTCCATCTCAAAACAAACAAAAAACTGAGAATAAAAAATAGGAAAAACAGTTAATTTAGGGTAGCTATTGACTGGGATGAGGCAGGAGGGTGCAATCTGGTACTCAAGTTCTACTATAACTTGATCTCGATAATGGTCTTACAAAAAAAAAATCCATCTAGCAGAGTACTTTACAGTATATAAATTATATCTCAAAAAAAAAAAAAAAAAAAAAAAGGCCAGGCGTAGTGGCTCACGCCTGTAATCCCAGCACTTTGGGAGGCTGAGGCGGGCAGATCACGAGATCAGAAGATCAAGACCATCCTGGCTAACACGGTGAAACCCTGTCTCTACTAAAAATACAAAAAAATTAGCCAGGTGTGTTGGCGGGTGCCTGTAATCCCAGATACTCAGGAGGCTGAGGCAGAATAGCGTGAACCCGGGAGGCGGAGCTTGCAGTGAGCTGAGATCGCACCACTGCACTCCAGCCTGGGCAACAGAGCAGACTCCGTCTCAAAAAAAAGACCAGCCTGGCCAACGTGGTAAAACCCTGTCTCTATTAAAAAAAACACAAAAAATTAGCCGGGCTTGGTGGTGGGCACCTAATCCCAGCTACTTGGGAGACTGAGGCAGGAGAATTGCTTGCACCTGGGAGGCAGAGGTTGCAGAGCCGAGATCACACCACTGCACTCCAGCCTGAGCGACAGAGTGAGACTCCATCTCAAAACAAAACAAAAAAAAGCCCACTCGCACAGCTTGGACCAAAGCCAGCCCCTTTCAACAGAATCAAGTCAAAGGCTAATAAAAGGATGAATTCAAGTTACAAAATGACATACACTGTTCTTACGAAACTGTCAAAAGATCATAAAAAGGTCAATAAAAGAGCAGACAGGCCTAAAATTCATTTGCTCTTCATGGAATATACTAAAACACCCAAACCTGCAGCCAGATGAGTGAAGAAAAAAAAAAAACAAAAAACCCTAGAACTATTTTAGAAAATATCCAGTAAAGAGACCCACAATTTGGTGAAGGAGGGAAGTTACCCCTGATTAAAATAAAATAAACTGACCAGCCTGGGCAACCTGGCAAAATCCTGTCTCTACAAAAAAAAAAAAAAATACAAAAATTAGTGGAGCATGGTAGCATGCACCCCAGCCACTCAGAGGGCTGAGGTGGGAGGATCACTTGAGTCCAGGAGGTTGAGGCTGCAGTGAGCTATGATCACAACACTGTACTCCAGCCTTGGGGGGAAAAAAAAACAACACCGGAATTGGAGTCAAAACCCAGGATTCTAACCTAAGTTTCCACTGCCTCGCTATGCAGTTTTTTGCAAGTAAATCTGAGAATGTCTATCATTTAATGATGTATCTTTCAGAGATACTGAGTGACAAATAAGGAAGGTGAAGTTCAGATAAGTGCCTCTTACAGTTCTGACACCAAAAAAAGTCCTCAAATATTTGTTGAGTGGAATGAACTGATTCACTCATTTTCTTTCCATTCTGATAACCCCTTTAATATTTACAAACCTTCCCATTCCAGTAGCTTTTATATATATATATACACACACACACAAACCATGCTGCCTGATTTGGAACTTCATCATTATATACTATTTTGTGCTACTATGCATTGTTCCTTATCTGTTAGTTTTTGTTGTTGTTGTTGTTGAGACAGAGTCTCTCTTGCCCAGGCTGGAGTGTAGTGGCACAATCTCAGCTCACTGCAGCCTCGACCTACCTGGCTCAAGCAATCCTCCTACCTCAGCCTCCTGAGTAGCTGAGACTACAGGCACGTGCCACCACGCCTGGCTAATTTTTGTATTTTTTGTAGAGACAACAGTCTCACCATGTTGCCCAGGCTGGTTTTGAGCTCCTGAGCTCAAGCAATTCACCTGCCTCAGCCTCCCAAACTGCTAGGATTACAAGTGTGAGCCACCATGCCAGGCCTCCGTTAGTCTTAGTTGCTTCCCAGGTAGTTATCTCCTTGAGGACAGCCCCCCTCTATTTTAGGCTTTGCATGGCTGAAGAGCATAGCATAGTGAAAAAGTTGAGGATAAAATATGATAATGTAAAATAATGTTGAAAATAAAACATTAAGTACTTTTAGTATAAGTGCTCAAAGAATATTTCTTGAACAAGTGAATGAATCCACATAACCATCCTCATTAATGACTCTCCTCCTTTCACAGCCACATCAATTATACACATGTTAACAGCACAATATTTAAATTCTCTAATTCACTGTGGCTGCATTTCAAGTATCTTGTTTAATAGTTGGTGTTTAATTATTCTTTTTTTGTTTTGTTTTTTTAATTAAGACGGGGTCTTACTATGTTGCCCAAGCTGGTCTTTAACCTGTGGCCTCAAGCGATCCTCCTACCTCAGCCTTCCGAAGTGCTGGGATTAGAGGCATAAACCACTACATCTGGCCTAACTTTCTTAATCTCCAATGCCTCTACCAGTTAAAATCCAGTTTCTGCCAGTCAGCAATAATCCTGTTCCTTAAAAAAAACTGGTATTTTCACATGTTCCCCATGTATTAAAAGCAATTAGGAACAATACATTTATCCCCATTTAAACTTTCATAATATTATAGTTCTTTCTCCATAAAAAGAGATCACTGCACAAACAAAAAGATTTTTTTAACAGTTATGATACTGAAGAGGAGACGTTAAGGATCCCCACATTCCAGTGACCTTCTCCTTAGAAAACCCATGAGCACCCCTCCCCAGCCTTTACTTTTCACTTTTTCTCCATCTTGACACATTTATTAAATAAAATTATATACCATACAGTTATTATGAACCAGGCAGTGGACAAATCATCATTTGAGGAGACACCAATAAAAAGACATAGTCGTAGGCCAGGCATGGTGGCTCACGCCTATAATCTCAGCACTTCTGGGAGGCCGAGGCAGGTGGATTGCCTGAGTCCAGGTGTTCAAGACCAGCCTGGGCAACATAGCGAAAACCTATCTCTACTAAAAATACAAAAAATTAGCCAGGCAGGGTGGTGTGTGCCTGTAGTCCCAGCTACTCCAGAAGCTGAGGTGGGAGAATCAACTAAGCCCAGGAAGTTGAGGTTGCAGTGACCCGAGATCACGCCACTACACTCCAGCCTCGGCAACAGAGGGAAATCCTGTCTATTATAGCTGGGCACGGTGGCTCACGCCTGTAATCTCAGCACTTTGGGAGGCCGAGGTGGGCAGATCATGAGGGCAGGAGATCGAGACCATCCTAGCTAACACGGTGAAACCTGAAACCTCATCTCTACTAAAAAATATAAAAAATTAGCCCAGTGTGGTGGCGGGCACCTGTAGTCCCAGCTGCTCAGGAAGCTGAGGCAGGAGAATGGTGTGAATCTGGGAGGCAGAGCTTGCAGTAAGCCAAGATCGCGCCACTGCACTCCAGCCCAGGCAACAGAGCGAGACTCCGTCTCAAAAAATAAAATAAAATAAAATAAAATTATAGTACAATGTGGTATAATGGGGGAAAATTAAAATACATACATATGAATGACAGGAGTATTAAAACAAAGTGGTGGCCAGTATGGTGGTTCACACCTGTAATCCCAGCACTTTGGGAGACCAACGTAGAAGGAACATTTGCAGTGAGGAGTCTGAAAACAGCCTGAGCAACATAATGAAACCCTGTCTCCACCAAAAAAATTAAAAAATAAAAATTTAGCAGTGAGCTATAATCATACCACTGCACTCTATCCTGGGTAACACAGTGAGACCCTGTCACTAAAAAAAAAAAAAAAAAAAAATTTTTTTTAATGATGGGGAGCCCAAACCTACCTATGAAAGTCAAAGTCAGTGAAGGTTTTACAGACATGATTCTTGAACTACTTCTTCTAAGGACTAGGCCTGCCATGCAGACATGCCAAGGAAAGGCATTTCAGGCCAAAGAAATACCAAGTGTAAAGGCACAAAGACATTAAAAAATACGTTAATCCAGCCGGGCAGGGTGGCTCATGCTTGTAATCCCAGCACTTTGGGAGGCTGAGGTGGGCGGATCATGAGGTCAGGAGTTCGAGACCAGCCTGGCCAACACAGTGAAACCCCATCTCTACTAAAAATTCAAAAATAAGCTGGGCGTGCGTGGTGGTGGGCGCCTGTAATCCCAGCTACTCGGGAGGCTGAGGCAGGAGAATTGCTTGAAGCCAGGAGGCGGAGGTTGCAGTGAGCCAAGATTGTGCCACTGCACTCCAGCCTGGGCGACAGAGCTAGAGTCTGCCTCAAAAAAAAAAAAAAAAAAAAAGTTAATACTTACAGAAAGAGACTAATACTATGAGGGAGAAAAAAGAGGCCATCCTCCTTTTTCTCATCCTGTGGGGCTACTTATGATGTGATGCCATTTACAGTGGGCTGGGATTACAGGTGTGAGGCACCAAACCCAGCACCCCTTGATTTGTTTTAATACTCCTATCATTCATGTGTATGTATTTTAATTTTCTGCCATTATACCACACTATACTAGAACCGTTTTTTTTACACGTGTTTCCTCACTAAATTGTAAAATTCTTGAAAGCACATACTATGTCTTTTTATTGGTGTCTCCTCAAATGATGATCTACCCACTGCCTGGTACTTAATAACTGTGTGGTACATAATTTTATTGAAAAAATCTGTTAAGGTAGAAAGAGTGAAAAGTAAAGGCTGGGTAGAGGTGCTCATGGGTTTTCTAAGGAGAAGGTCACTGGAACGTGGGAATCCTCAACATCCCATCCCCAATATCATAGCTGTGAAAACAACTTTTTATGCATTGATTTCTTACTTTTTACAGCGAAAGAACTACAATATTATGAAAGTAAGCCACATCATAAATGGCCACATAGGCCACACTAAAAACTTTACATTTTACTCTGTAGGAAAAAGGAAGTCGGAGAAGAATGTAGGTATGAATGAAGGTAGGAAAATCCTATTTGTGTATGAGAAAAAGGAATCTTTCAGCAAGGGGGAGGATGTATTAAAAGAGGGTAAACTGGAGGGTAAACTTATAAGGCACACTGCTTAATGGGCCAGTCAAGACATGAGCAATACCTAATGCAGGCCAGGCGCAATGGCTCACTCCTGTAATCCCAGCACTTTGGGAGGCCGAGGTGGGTGGATCACCTGAGGTCAGGAGTTCAAGACCAGCCTGGCCAACATGGCAAAACCCTATCTCTACTAAAAAAAACAGAAAAATTAGCCGAGCATGGTGGCTTATGCCTGTAATCCCAGCTACTCCAGAGGCTCAGGCAGGAGAATCACTTGAACCTAGGAGGTGGGGGTTGCAGTGAGCCAAGATCGCACCACTGCCTGGGGCAGAGAGCAAGACTCCGTCTCAAAAAAAATGAAAGGTAAAATATGCCGGGCACAGTGGCTCACGCCTGTAATCCCAGCACTTTGAGAGGCCGAGGCAGTCAGGTCACTTGAGGTCAGGAGTTCGAGAACAGCCTGGCCAACATGGCAAAACCCCACCTCTACTAAAAATACAAAAATTAGCCAGCGTCGTGGCGGGCACCTGTAATCCCAGCTACTCAGGAGGCTGAGGCAGGGAGAATTGCTTGAACCTGGCAGGTGGAGGTTGTGGTGAGCCAAGATCATGCCAATGCACTCCAGCCTAGGCAACAGAGTGAGACTCCATCCCCCCAAAAAATAAAAACAAAAAAAGTTTTTCAGTTTAAAACCATTCAGTTTAAAACCAAGGTAGGGAATAAAAAAAGCATTAAGTTATGAATAAATGAGGAGACACACAGAAATGAGGATGATAAGCTCAATTTTGGACATGGTCTGTTTCAGGTATCTGTAGAAGAGCCAAGTAGGCCAGCACTGTGGCTTCGCCTGTAATCCCAGCACTTTGGGAGGCCGAGACAGGAGGATTGCTTGAGCCCAGATGTTCAAGACCAGACTGGGTAACACAGGGAGACCCTCCCTCTACAAAAAATTTAAAAATTAGTCAGGTGTGGTGGTGCACACCTGTGGTCTCATCTAGTAGGGAGGCTGAGGTAAGAAGATGGCTTGAGTCCAGGAGATCAAGGCTGCAGTGAGCTGAGATCATGCCACTACAGCCTGGTGACAGAGTGAGACCCTGTCTCCAAAAAAACAGAGCCAGAAGAGCCAGGTAAAGATATATTCACCAGGACGGGCGCAGTGGCTCACACCTGTAATCCCAGCACTTTGGGAGGCCAAGGCAGGTGAATCACCTGAGCTCAGGAGTTCAAGACCAGGCTGGCCAACATGGTGAAACCCCGTCTCTACTAAAAATACAAAAATTAGCCGGGTGTGGTGGCGTGCACCTGTAATCCCAGCTACTCGGGAGGCTGAGGCAGAAGAATAACTTGAACCCGGGAGGCGGAGGTTGCAGTGAGCCGAGATCGTGCCATTGCACTCCAGCCCAGGAGACAGTGCAACACTCCATCTCAAAAAAAAAAAAAAAAAAAAAGATACATTCACCAAACAGTTGGGAAATGAGTCTAATTTTTTTTATTTTTATTTTTTTAATTTAAAAATATGCTGGGCATGGTGGCTCACACCTGTAATCCCAGCACTTTGGGAGGCCAAGGCAGGTGGATCACCTGAGCTCAGGAGCTCAAGACCAGCCTGACCAACATGGTGAAACCCCGTCTCTACTAAAAAGATACAAAAATTAGCTGGGCGTGGTGACAAACGCCTGTAATCCCAGCTACTCAGGAGGCTGAAGCAGGAGAATTGCTTGAACCCAGGAGGCGGAGGTTACAGTAAGCTGAGATCACGCCATTGCACTCTAGCCTGGGCAACAAGAGCAAAACTCCGTATGAAAAAAAAAAAAAAAGCCAGGCTCAGTGGCTCACGCCTGTAATCCTAGCACTTTGGGAGGAGGCCAAGGCGGGTGTATCACCTAAGGTAAGGAGTTCGAGACCAGCCTGATCAACATGGTGAAACCCCGTCTCTACTAAAAAATATAAAAAGTAGCCGGGCATGGTGGTGGGAGCCTGTAATCCCAGCTACTTGGGAGGCTGAGGCAGGAGAACCCCTTGAACCCAGGAGACGGAGGTTGCAGTGAGCCGAGATCACACCATTGTACTCCAGCCTGGGCAACAAAGCAAAACTCTGACTCAAAAAAAAAAAATTAAATTAAATTAAATAAGAAAATTAAACAGCTTCAGGAAGTAGGGAGATAAAGACTAAATCTGAGGAAAGAAAAAAATTGATTTAGAATTTACAGTCTAGGTGAAAATGTTCCTATGCTATTCTCCACACCAATTTTTGCTTCTTTTTAAACTAGTTTGTGTGTGTGTGTGTGTGTGTGTGTGTGTGTGTGTGTATGAAGAAATCTAGCGTATGAGTTGTGTCCGAGGTTTTTTATTAAACTAGGTTTTAAAAAAGTTATTCATACCTGGTAAGGATAGGTACCATGTCCTGCCCACTGCCATGTTCCTTTTCCCACTGCTCCAGCAGGGTAGTGAGCTCAGCTTTGGAGTCCACATGTACCACTACTGTAGTCATGGCTTTGCCTAAGGAAGCAAAAATAAAAATAAAAAAGACAACCAATAAATGAACACAAGCAAATAAAAGTGAAGAAGGGGTAGAAAAGGACGAGAAGGCAAGAGAAAAAATTAAAAAGGGAAATTTAACCCCTTGAACCCTTTGGATTTATTTGTGGTACAGCAGAAAACTCGGGATACTCATCAAGCCTAGATACCCATTCAGTAGTGATGAACAAGTACTTTCGCCTTTCTCAGCCTCAGCTTCAACTGTCAAATGAGGCAAGAAGCTGGATCAAAACAGTGATTCTTAACCTTTTGAGGAGTCCCTTTGAAAATGAGACAAAAAATATGGTACCTTTCCCTCATCAAAAATGCATTTACCACCAGGCATGGTGGCTCACACCTGTAATCCCAGCACTTTGGGAGGCTGGGGCAGGTGGATCACCTGAGGTCAGGAGTTCGGGACCAGCCTGGCCAACATGATGAAACCCTGTCTCTACTAAAAATACAAAAATTATCTGGACATGGTGGCAGGTGACTGTAATCCCAGCTACTTGGGAGGCTGAGGCAGGAGAATCACTTGAACCTGGGAGGTAGAGGTTGCAGTGAGCCGAGATCACACCATTGCACTCCAGCTTGGGCGACAGAGCAAGACTCCGTCTCAAAAAGAAAAAAAAATAGATTTACCTAATGCCTACCTGTAATATATACAATAATCCCAGGCCTAGATCTCTGAGGTCTAAAACTTTGTGCTTACATTTTTTTAAGCACAAAATGTGGCCAAAACTACTCCCAAAATATTTTGCTCGTTAGTCCTTTGAGGGAAGTTCTATCAAAGATAAACAGCATGGCACACTCCTGTTTAATTTTTTCTTTTTTTTTTTTTTTTTTGAGATGGAGTCTCACTCTGTCACCCAGGCTGGAGTGCAATGGCACAATCTCGGCTCACTGAAACCTCCACCTCTCGGGTTCAAGCAATTCTCCTGCCTCAGCCTCCCGAGTAGCTGGAATTACAGGCGCCCGCCACCATGCCTGGCTAATTTTTGTACATTTAGTAGAGACGCAGTTTCACCACGCTGGCCAGGCTAGTCTCAAACTCCGTTTTTTGTTTTGTTTTTTTTTTGAGACAGAGTTTCACTCTTACTGCCCAGGCTGGAGTGCAATGGCACAATCTCGGCTCACTGCAACCTCTGCCTCCCGGGTTCAAGCAATTCTCCTGCCTCAGCCTCCCAAGTAGCTAGGATTACAGGCATGCACCACCACGCCCAGCTAATTTTTGTATTTTAGTAGAAACAGGGTTTCACCATGTTGGTCAGGCTGATCTCGAACTCCTGACCTCAGGTGATCCACCCGCCTCAGCCTCCCAAAGTGCTGGGATTACAGGCGTGACCCACCGCGCCCAGCTCTGTTAATTCTTAAAGAGAAGGCCAAGAAATGAAATGGACACTACTGCCAGCATGAAAGTGGAGAAGGAACACTATAAAACTCATTTATCCTTCAAGCTTCCTAACCTCTCTCACAGCTGATTTCCTGGAAAGAAGAGGCTAGAAGAGAGGCAGAGAAGGTTGGCTGGGTTGAGTGGTTCAAACTAGGAATGCAGAAGGGCAGGGAGCTGAGGTGAGCTTTGGAGGACCAAATAAGACACCCACATATGAGAGGCTTATAAGGGGATCCAAAAGGGATAAATGAGACGCAAATGTTTGACAGGTTATGGCATCAACTTCTTTATAAAAGTAGCCTTAAAATCAAAATGTCATATTCTGCCACGCAAAATGCGTATCTTCTCAGAAACAGCAACCATTCCATAAAGAGTTTCACATCAGACAGGAATTACTAGCTGATCTAAAATGAACTCTTCTAAAGATATCTACCATAAAACCAAAAGAAATACATGTAAAAGATGATATCATTATTGCATTGCATTATTGCATTGTATTATAAAATGCAAATATTTATGTTTTAATCAAGTAGATGCAATTCCAATAGTAGTGATTCATGTCACCTGGATTACACATAACTCCAAAGGAAAATACCTGCCCTACCCCAAAAATTGAACAAAATCAAAAAGATTATTTATTTTTTTTTTTTTTTTTTTTTTTTTGAGGCAGAGTTTTGCTTTGTCGCCAGGCTGGAGCGCAGTGGCGCCATCTCGGCTCACTGTAACGTCTACCTGCTGGGTTCAAGCGATTTTCCTGCCTCAGCCTCCCAAGTAGCTGGGACTACATGCTTGTACCACCACGCCAGCAAATTTTTTGTATTTTTAGGAGAGACGGGCTTTCACCGTGTTAGCCAGGATGGTCTCAATCTCCTGACCTCATGATCTGCCTGCCTTGGCCTCCCAAAGTGCTGGGATTACAGCTGTGAAAACCACACCCGGCAGATTCTTTTTTTTTTTTTTTTTTTTTAAGGATCTCACTCTGCCTCCCAGGCTTGAGTGCAGTAGCGCGGTCCCAGCTCACTGCAGCCTCAACCACCTGGGCTCAAGTGATCCTCCCACCTCAGCCTCCAGAGTAGCTGAGATTACAGTATGTGTTGCCATGCCCAGCTTATTTTTATTTTTATTATTTGTTCAGGTGGGGTCTCACTGTTGCCCAGGCTGGCCTCAAACTCCTGACCTCAGGTGATCCTCCTGCCTTAGCCCCCCAAAGTGCTGAGACAACAGGTGTGAGCCACCACACCCCGCCATATTTTCAGACTTTCTAACCAAAGCCACAAAAAGGAAATGCTGTAGGTGTGACAGACTAATATGGACTTCTGACTTCAACCTGAGAAAACTCAGGTTGCATATTTTACTGCTATCTACTAACTATACATACGTTGTTATTTTTATTTTTATTTTTTTGAGATGGCATCTTGCTCTGTCACCCAGGCTGGAGTGCAGTGGCACGATCTCGGCTCACTGCGACCTCCATCTCCCAGGTTCAAGTGATTCTTCTGCCTCAGTCTCCCGAGTAGCTGGGACTACAGATACACGCCAGCATGCCCGGCTAATTTTTGTATTTTTAGTAGAGATAGAGTTTCACCATATTGGCCAGGCTGGTCTCGAACTCCTGACCTCATGATCCGCCTGCCTCGGCCTCCCAAAGTGCTGGGATTACAGGCATGAGCCACTGTGCTTGGCCTCGATAAATATATTTTTAAAACAAACTTTTTTTCTTTTCTTTTCTTTTTTTTTTTAAGACAGAGTCACACTCTGTCGCCAGGCTGGAGTGCAGTGGCACAATCTCAGCTCACTATAACCTCCACATCCCGGATTCAAGCGAGCGATTCTCCCACCTCAGACTCCCAAGTAGCTGGGATTACAGGCGCACACCACCACACCCAGCTAATTTTTGTATTTTTAGTAGAGACAGGGTTTCACCATGTTGGCCAGTCTGGTCTCGATCTCTTGACCGCGTGATCCGCCCACCTCAGCTTCCTAAAGTGCTGGGATTACAGGCGTGAGCCACTGTGCCCAGCCAAAACAAACTTTTTATGTGGAGTAATTTTAGATTTACAGAAAAGCTGCAAAGATAGTACACAGTGTTCCCACATACCTCTCACCCAGTTCAGTTTTCCCTCATGTTACCATATTATAGTGGTACACTGTCAAAATTAAGAAACCAACATTGTTACATTATTATTAACTAAACTCCAGACCTGATTCAGATTTCACCATTTTTCAAATCATGTGCTTTGTTCCATGATCTCATCTAGGATACACTGCATTCAGCTGTCATGTCTATCTACTGTCCTCTGGTCTATGATAGATAGTTTGGGGATTTGTTTTTGTTTTACATGACCTTGACAATCTTGAAGAGTACTAGCCAGGCTGGTAGAATGTGGCAACAATTTAACCAATTCTTTCTTCCTTTTTCTTCTCTCCTCTTTCTCTCTCTCTCTCCTCTTTCCTCTCCCTTTTTTTCTTTTTTAAAGACAGGGTCCCCCTCCTATGTTGCCTAGGCTGGTCGTGAACTCCTGGGCTCAAGCAATCTTCCTGCCTCAGCCTCCCAAAGTGCTAGGATTACAGGGACAAACCACCACGCCCAGCCTACCAAACTATTTATTTATTTATTTATTTATTTATTTATTTGGAGACGGAGTCTTGCTCTGTCGCCCAGACTGGAGTGCAGAGGCGTGATCTTGACTCACTGCAACCTCCACCTCCTGGGTTCAAGCGATTCTCCTGCCTCAGCTTCCCGAATAGCTGGGGCTACAGGCACGCGCCATCATGCCCGGCTAATTTTTGTACTTTTAGTAGAGACGGGGTTTCACCATGTTGGCCAGGCTGGTCTTGAACTCCTGACCTCACACAACCCGCCTGCCTCGGCATCCCAAAATGCTGGTATTACAGGCATGAACCACTGCACCAGGCCTACCAAACATTTAAAGAAGAATTAACACCAATCCTTCTCAAACTTCTCCAAAACCTGAAGAGGAAAGATACTTCCTAATTCATTCCATGAAACCATCATTACTGATACCAAAGCCAAATAAAGATATCACAAGAAAAGAAAGCTACAGCCTGATGTCCTTTATGACTGCAGACATAAAAATCCTCAACAAAATACTAGCAAACAGAATCCAACAGCATATTAAGAAAATTAAGGCCAGGCACATGGCTCACGCCTGTAATCCCAGCACTTTGGGAGGCCAAGGCGGGTGGATCATGAGGTCAGGAGTTCGAGACCAGCCTGGCCAACATGGTGAAACCCTGTCTCTACTAAAAATACAAAAATTAGGCCTGGCACGGTGGCTCACGCCAGCAGTTTGGGAGGCCAAGGCAGGCAGATCACCTGAGGTCAGGGGTTCCAGACTACCCTGGCCAACATGGCGAAACCCCGTCTCTACTAAAAACACAAAAATTAGCCGGGCATGGTGGCACGCACCTGTAATTCCAGCTACTTGGGAGGGTGAGGCAGGAGAATCGCTTGAACACAGGAGGCAGAGGTTGCAGTGAGCCAAGATCGCGCCACTGCACTCCAGCCTAGGTGACAGAGCAAAACTCCGTCTACAAAAAAAAAAAATTATCCGGGCGTGGTGGTGTGCGCCTGTAATCCCAGCTACTCAGGAGGCTGAGGTAGGAGAATTGCTTGAACCTGGGAGGCGGAGGTTGCAGTAAGCCAAGATAGCACCACTGCATTCCAGTCTGCGCGACAGGGCGAGACTCCGTCTCGGGTGGGGCAGGGGGAGTAACACTCAATAAACTAGGAACGGAAGAGACCTTCTAGAACATGATAAAGGGGATTATGAACAACACTACACTCCATGGTGAAAGACTGAAAGCTTTGCCCCAAAAATCGGAAACCAGACAACAATGTCTGCCTTTGCCATTTCTATTAAAACACTGTACTGGAGTCCTCCGCCTGGCGTGGTGGCTCACACCTGTAATCCCGGCGCTTTGGGAGGCCAAGGCAGATAGATCACTTGAGAACAGGAGTTTGAGACCAGCCTGGCCAACATGGTGAAATCTCGTCTCCAGTAAAAATAAAAAATTAGCAGGGCATGATGGGGCACACCTGTAATCCCAGGTATTCAGTAGGCTGAGGCATGAGAATTGCTTGAATCGAAGAGGCAGACGTTGCAATGAGCCACAAGATTGTGCCACTGCAGTCCAGCCTGGGCAACAGAGTGAGACTCTGTCTCAAAAAACAAAACAAAAAAACCACACTCTACTAGGGTCCTAGGCAGAGTAATTAGGCAAGAAAAAGAAATATAGGCTGGGCAAGGTGGCTCATGCCTGTAATTTCAGAACTTTGGGAGGCCAAAGCGGGTGGATCAAGAGGTCAGGAGTTCGAGATCAGCCTGGCCAACATGGTGAAACCGCATCTCTACTAAAAATACAAAATTTAGCTGGGCATGGTGGTGTACACCTGTAATCCCAGCTTCGGGGGAGGCTGAGGCAGGAGAACAGCTTGAATCCAGGAGGCAGAGGTTGCAGTGAGCCAAGATTGCACCAGTGCAATCCAGCCTGGGTGACAGGTAAGACTCTGTCTCAAAAAAAAAAAAAAAGTGTGTATGCATGTGTGTGTGTGTGTGTGTGTATATAGATAGATAGATAGATAGATAGATGGTATCCAAGTTGAAAAGGAAGAAGTAAAATTATCTTTATTCCTAGATGACATAATCCTGTATACAGAAAATCCTAAAGAATCCACATAAAAATTATTAGAATAAATGAATTCAGCAAAGTTGCAAGGTACAAGAGCAACACACAAAAATCAGTTGTACTGCTATACACTAGCCAAAAAACAATATGAAAGTAAATGAAGAGAACAATTTCATTTACAATAGCACCAAAAATAATAAAATAATTAGAAACAAATTTAATTTAAAAGGCACAAGGCCGGGAAGGGTGGCTCACACCTGTTAATCCCAGAACTTTAGGAGGCCAAGGTGGGTGGATTGCTTGAGCTCAGGAATTCAAGTCCAGCTGGGGCAACATGGCAAAACCTAGTCTTTACAAAAAAGGCAAAAAATTAGCCAGGCATGGTGTGCACCTGTACCAGGTATGCACCTGTACTCCCAGCTACTCGGTAGGCTGAGGTGGGAGAATCACCTGAGCCCAGTAAGTTGAGGCTGCAGTGAACCAAGATCGCACCACTGCACTCTAGCATTGAAGACATAGCGGGACCCTGTCTCAACAACAACAAAAAAGGCACAAACACAAGACTTGTATGCTGAAAACTACAAAACATTGCTGGAGTCAATTCATGATGACCTAAATTTTAAATAACCTAAATAAACAAAAAGACATTCTGTGTTCATGGATTAGAAGGGTTAGTATCAAGATGGTAATACATTCCAACGTGGTCTACAAATAAAATGCAATCGCTATCAAAATCCCAATGACAAACCAGGCATGGTGGCTCACGCCTGTAATCCCAGCACTTTGGGAGGCCAAGATGGGTGGATCACCTGAGTTCAAGAGTTCAACACCAGCCTGGCCAACATGGTGAAACCCCATCTCTACTAAAAATACAAAACATTAGCTGACCATGGTGGCAGACGCCTGTAATCCCGGCTATCTGGGAGAATGAGGCAAGAGAACCACTTGAACCCAAGAGGCAGAGGTTGCAGTAAGCCGAGATCGTGCCACTGCACTCCAGCCTGGGAGCAACAGAGAGAGACTCTGTCTCAAAAAACAACAACAACAAAAACAACCCAATGACATCTTTTGCAGAAATGGACATGCTGATTCTAAAATTCGTATGTAATTGCAAGGAAACCTGAATAGGCACAACAATCTTGGAAAAAAAAAAAAAAAAAACAAAGTCGGGGTCAGGCGCAGTGGCTCACACCTGTAATCCCAGCACTTTGGGAGGTCGAGGCAGGTGGATCACAAGGTCAAGAGATCGAGACCATTCTGGCCAATATGGTGAAACCCCATCCCCAGTAAAAATACAAAAATTAGCTGGGCGTGTTGGCACGCACCTGTAATCCCAGCTACTGGGACAGCTGAGGCAGGAGAACCGCTTGAACCTAGGAGACGGAGGCTGCAGTGAGCCAAGATTGCGCCACTGCACTCCAGCAAGGCAACAGAGCGAGACTATGTCTCCAAAAAAAAAAAAAAAAGTTGGAAAAATCACACTTCTGATTTCAAAACTTGCTACAAAACTATAGTAAATGGAACAGCATGGCACTGACATAAGGATCAACACAGAGACAAATACAATAGAATTGATAATCCAGCAATAAGCACTCACATCTATGATCAATTTTCAACAAGGGTACCAAGACCATTCAATAGGAAAAAAGTAATTTCAATAAGTAGTGCTGCCCAGGTGCAGTGGCTCATGCCTGTAATCCCTGCACTTTGGGAGGCCAAGACAGGCAGATAACTTGAGCAGGAGTTCGAGACCAGACTGGCCAACATTGTGAAACCCCATCTCTACTAAAATACAAAAATTAGCCAGGCATGGTGGCGCGCCTGTAACCCCAGCTACTCAGGGGGGCTGAGGCAGGAGAACTGCTTGAATCCAGGAGGCGGAGGTTGCAGTGAGCTGAGACAGCGCCACTGCCCTCCAGCCTGGGCGACAGAGCAAGACTCCATCTCAAAAAACAAACAAACAAAAAAGTACTGATGAGACTTGGCACAGTGGCTCACGCCTGTTATCCCAGCACTGTGGGAGGCCGAGGTGGGCAGATCACGAGGTCAGGAGATCAAGACCATCCTAGCCAACATGGTGAAACCCCATCTCTACTAAAATACAAGAAATTGGCCAGGTGTGGTGGCACACACTGGTAGTCCCAGCTACTCGGGGGGGCTGAGGGAGGGGAATCGCTTGAACCTGCGGGAGGCGGAAGTTGCAGTGAGCCGAGACTGCACCACTGCACTCTAGCCTGGTGACAGAGCAAGACCCGTCTCAAAAAAAAAAAAAAAGTAGTGAGACAATTGGATATTATCCCACAAAACAGCGAAGTTGGATCTTTGCCTCACAGTATATGCGAAAATGGGCCGAGTGCTGTGGCTCATGCCTATAATCCCAATACTTTAGGCAGATCATCTGAGGTCAGGAGTTTGAGACGAGTATGGCCAACAAGTTGAAACCCCATCTCTACTAAAAATACAAAAAAGAGCTGGGCATGGTGGCAGGTACCTGTAATCCCAGCTACTCGGGAGGTTGAGGCAGGAGAATCACTTGAACTCGGAGGGGACGGAGGTTGCAGTCAGCCGAGATTACCCCAATGCACACCGGCCTGGGCAAAAGGAGTGAGACTTTGTCTTAAAAACAAAAAAAAGGCCAAGAAACGCATGAAAGATACTCAACATCAGTCACTAGGAACTGCAAATCAAAACCATAATGAGATATCATTTCTCACCTACTAACATGACTGTAGTTTAAGAAATGAGAAAATATAAGCATTAGCAAGCATGTGAAGAAACTGGAACACATATTGCTTGTAGAAATGTAAAAGGGTGGCCCCGGGCGCGGTGGCTCATGCTTGCAATCTCAGCACTTTGGGAGGCCGAGGCAGGCGGATCGCGAGGTCAGGAGACAGAGACCATCCTGGCTAACATGGTGAAACCCCATCTCTACTAAAAATACAAAAAATTAGCTGGGCGTGGTGGCAGGCACCAGTAGTCCCACCTACTCGGGAGACTGAGGCAGGAGAATGGCGTGAACCCGGGAGGTGGAGCTTGCAGTGAGCCGAGATCGCGCCACTGCACTCCATCCTGGGTGACAGAGCAAGACTCCCTCTCAAAAAAATAAATAAATAAATAAAAGAAATGTAAAAGGGTATAGTAGTTATAAAAAACAGTTTGGGACTCTCTCAAAAAGTTGCAGGTTTTTTTTTTTAAGTCACATGTAGAATTACTATACGACCCAGCAATTTCACTACTAGATATATACCCAAAAGAACTGAAAACAAGGCTGGGTGTGGTGGCTCACACCTCTAATCCCAGCACTTTGGGAGGCCAAGGCGGGCAGATCTCCTGAGGTCGGGAGTTTAAGACCAGCCTGACCAACATGGAGAAACCCCATCTCTACTAAAAATACAAAATTAACCAGGCATGGTGGCACATGCCTGTAATCCTAGCTACTGGGGAGGCTGAGGCAGGAGAACCGCTTGAACTCAGAAGGCAGAGGTTGAAGTGAGCCAAGATTACGCCATTGCACTCCAGCCTGGGCAATGAGCGCAAAACTCCATCTCAGGGGAAAAAAAAAAGGAATTCAAACAAAGACTTATACACAAATGTTCTTGGTAGCATTATTCACAATAGCCAAAAAGTAGAAACAACCCAAAAGTCCATCATCAGATGAAGAGATAAACAAAATGTGGTATATGCATACAATGGAATATTCAGTCATAGAAATGAATGAAGTAGTAACATGCTACAGATGTGGAAAAACCTTGAAAACAATAAGAAAGCAGACACAAAAGGGCACATATTGTATGATTCTATTTATATAAAACATTGAAGGCTGGGCATGGTGGCTCACACCTGTAACCCCAGCACTTTGGGAGGCCAAGGCGGGTGGATCATGAGGTCAACAGTTCGAGACCAGCCTGGCCAACATGGTGAAACCCCCGTCTCTACTGAAAGTACAAAAATTAGCCGGGCGTGGTGGCATGCGCCTGTAGTCCTAGCTACTCAGGAGGCTGAGGCAGAAGCATCGCTTGAACCTGGGAGGCGGAGGTTGCAGTGAGCCAAGATTGCGCCACTGCACTCCAGCCTGGGCGACAGAGCGAGATTCCGTCTCAAAAAAAAAAAAAAAGTTGAAATAGGTAAATCAATATACAGAAAGCTAACTAGTAGTTGCCAAGGACTTGAGGAAAGGGGAAAATGGGCAGTGACTGCTAAATGGGTATGAGGTTTCCTTTTTTTTTTTTTTTTGAGATGGAGTCTCACTCTGTCGCCCAGAGACTGGAGTGCAGTGGCAGGATCTCGGCTCACTGCAAGCTCCGCCTCCCGGGTTCATGCCATTCTCCTGCTTCAGCCTCCCGAGTAGCTGGGACTACAGGCACCGGCCACCACACCCGGCTACTTTTTTGTATTTGTAGTACAGACGGGGTTTCACCGTGTTACCCAGGATGGTCTCAATCTCCTGACCTCGTGATCCACCCGCCTCAGCCTCCCAAAGTGCTGGGATTACAGGTGTGAGCCACCGCGCCCGGCCGAGGTTTCCTTTTAAGGTGATAAAAATATTCTAGAACTAGAAAGAGATAATGGTTGCACAACACTGTGAATCTACAAACGCCACTGATTTGTACACTTCAAAATGGGTAGTCGTTAATTTTATGCTACGTAAATTTACCACAATTTTTTAATGAGAAAAGAAATGATCCAGAAGAGACTGCTTCTTAGATAACTTAAGCAGTTAGCCTACTAGAGCACATAAAGACATGATTTTTTAAAAAACACTACCTCTAATAAAGATTAATTCAAGGGCATTAAAACACTAAAATTTTATATTTTTAAAATTTTTTAATTTTTATTATTTTGTAGAGACAGGGTCTCACTATGTTACCCAGGCTGGTCTCAAATTGCTGGGCTCAAGCAATCCTCTCCACTTGGCCTTCCAAAGTGCTAGGATTGTAGACATGAGCCACCATGCCTGGCCTAAAACACTAAAATTTTAGAGTTCAACTTAGAAACATATACATATATACTTCTGGTATCATTTTCAGAACTTCCAACTAATCTATGCCTGAAGATAATTATAACTTTGGGAATAACCATTTGCCCAAGGAAAATATAAACCTTAGTGAGACCTTGTCTCTATTATTTAAAAAAATAAAAAATAGGCCAGGCGTGGTGGCTCACGCCTGTAATCCCTGCACTTTGGGAGGCCAATGCGGGTGTATCATCTGAGGTCAGGAGCTCGAGACCAGCCTGGCCAACATGATGAAACCCTGTCTCTACTAAAAATACAAAAAATTAGCCGGACGTGGCAGCAGGCGCCTGCAATCCCAGCCACTCGGGAGGCTGAGGCAGGAGAATCGCTTGAACCCGGGAGGCAGAAGTTGCAGTGAGCCGAGATTGCACCACTGCACTCCAGCCTGGGCGACAAGAGCAAAACTCCATCTCAAAAAAAATATTAAGAATAATAAAGAATAAAAAAATATAAAGGCAAGGCGTGGTGGCTCACACTTGTAATCCCAGCACTTTGGAAGGCTGAGGTAGGAGGATCACTTGAGCCCAGGGGTTTGAGACCAGCCTGGGTAACAGTAAGACCTTGTCTTTATTATTTAAATACATAAATAAAGGAAAATATAAACTTGTAACAGACTAAATAAAGGAAAATATAAACTTGTAACAGACTTAACTAATAATAGCAATGTGAATTAACATAGTATCAATGAAAGCAGTCAGCAACTGAGTGTGGTGGCTCACACCTGTAATCCCAGCACTTTGGAAAACCTAGGTGGGCAGATCGCTTGAGCCCAGGAGTTTGAGACCAGCCTGGACAACATGGTGAAATCCTGCCTCTATGAAAAAAATTTAAAAATCAGTAGTAGTAGTACTTACTTCAATGTTCGTTTTTTTGTGTTTGTTTTTTGTTTTGTGAGACGGAATCTCGCTCTGCTGCCCAGGCGGGAGTGCAGGGACACAATCTTGGCTCACTGCAACCTGTAGTCCCAGCTACCTGGGGAGGCTGAAGCAAGAGAACTGCTTGAGCCTAGGAGGTGGAGGCTGCAGTGAGCCATAACTGCACCACTGTACTCCAGCCAGAGCAAAAGTGCGAGACCTTGTCTCAAGGAAAAAAAAAAAAGGCCGGGCACAGTGGCTCACACCTGTAATCTCAGCACTTTAGGAGGCCAAGGCAGGCAGATCACCTGAGGTTGGGAGTTCGAGACCAGCCTGACTAATATGGAGAAACCCTGTCTCTACTAAAAATACAAAATTAGGCCGGGCGCAGTGGCTCACGCCTGTAATCCCAGCACCTTGGGAGGCCGAGGCCGGCAGATCACAAGGTCAGGAGTTCGAGACCACCTGGCCAACATGGTGAAACCGCATCTCTACTAAAAATACCAACAAAATTAGCCAGGCATGGTGGCACACGCCTGTAATCCCAGCTGCTCCGGAGGCTGAGGCAGCAGAATCGCTTGAACCCAGGAGACAGAGGTTGCAGTGAGCCGAGATCGCGCCACTGCACTCCAGCTTGCACAACAAGAGCAAAGAAAACAGTCATCTTCACCTTGTTATGCCCAAGACAATAAGGGTGCATTACTCAAGTTCTTAAGTGAGTTCCTTTAAGTGCTATGAAGAAATGATGGTCTGTCCAATGGTGACACGGTAGTTACCAATTAGTGAATATCTAGTATGGGACAGACATTGAGCTAAGTAATTTACCATACTTACATTATTCTGAATTTTCACAACCATCCTACCCTTTTTCACACATGAGGAAACTAGCTCAGAGAGGTCCCCAAGACCAGCTAGTACTAGGTAGAAAAAAGGTTTCAAGGATTCAAATCCCAACTCTGCTGACATACCTGTGAAGTCTTGGTTATTTAACTTCTCCAAATCTCAATTTCCTTATCTGCAAGATGGAAACAGTTGTTGTGCGGGGTTAAATGACAATATTGTCCCCATGATGGGATAATATAAAGCCTCAAGAAATACTTATGTAAAATTTTCTTATCCTAACAAGCATCTGCTAGGGTATTTAGGGATGACAGGCCTGCAACTTATTTTCAAATGATTCCACAAAATATATATATAGATACCACACACACAAATAGAGAAAATATGGCATAATATTAACAACTGTTTGCCAGGCACTATGGCTCATGCCTGTAATCCTAGCACTTTGGGAGACTGAAGTGGGTGGATTACTTGAGGCCAAAAGTTCAAGACCAGCCTGGCCAACGCGGCAAATCCCCATCTCTACAAAAAATAAAAAAATTAGCCAGGCGTGGGGGCACACACCTGTAATCCCAGCTACTCCAGAGGCTGAGGCATGAGAATCGCTTGAACCTGGGAGGCAGAGGTTACAGTGGGCAAAGATCGCACCACTGCACTCCAGGCTAGGTGACACAGGAAGACTGTCTCAAAAAAAATAAAAATAGGCGGGCACGGTGGCTCACGCCTGTAATCCCAGCACTTTGGGAGGCCTAGGCGGTGGATCACGAGGTCAGGAGTTCATGACCAGCCGGACCAACATGGTGAAACCCCGTGTCTACTAAAAATACAAAAATTAGCTGGGCATGGTGGCACGCGCCTGTAGTCCCAGTTACTCGGGAGGCTGAGGCAGGAGAATCGCTTGAACCCGGGAGGTGGAGGTTGCAGTGAGCCGAGATTGCACCACTGCACTCCAGCCTGGGCAACAGAGCAAGACTCCGTCTCAAAAAAAAGAAAAAAAAATTTTTTTTAAATTGACAGGCACAGTGGCTCAAGCCTGTAATCCCAGCAATTTGGGAAGCCAAGTCGGAAGGATTGCTTGAGGTCAGCTGGGCAACATTTTGAGACACAGTCGACACAAATATTTAAAAATTAGCCAATCATGTTAGCCTGTGACTGCGGTCCTAGTTACTCAAGAGGCTGAGGCAGCAGGCTCCTTTGAGCCCAGGAGTTGTTGGAGGCTGCAATGAGTTATGATGACACTCGAGACCATCATGGCTAACACGGTGAAACCCTGTGTCTACTAAAAATACAAAAAATTAGCCGGGCGTGGTGGCAGGCACCAGTAATCCTAGCTACTTGGGAGGCTGAGGCACGAGAATGGCGTGAACCTGGGAGGCGGAGCTTGCAGTGAGCTGAGATCGCGCCACTGCACTCCAGCCTGGGCAACACAGTGAGACTCTGTCTCAAAAAAAAAAAAAAAAAAAAAAAAAAAAAAAAGCCAGCGCAGTGGCTTACATCTGTAATCCCAGCACTTTGGGAGGCCGAGGTGGGCAGATCACGAGGACAAGAGCTTGAGACCAGCCTGGCCAATATGCTGAAACCCCATCTCTACTATAAATACAAAAATTATCCGGGCGTGGTGGCGCGTGCCTGTAGTCCCAGCTACTCCGGAGGCTGAGGCAGGAGAATCACTTGAACCTGGGAGGCGGAGGTTGCAGTGAGACAAGATCGCGCCACTGCACTCTAGCTGGGGCAACAGAATGAGACGCTGTCTCAAAAAAAAAGAAAAAAGAAAAAAAAAAAAAAAAGAGTTATCACACCACTGCACTCCAGCCTAGGCTACAGGGCAAGATCCTGTATCTAAAAAAACAGGCCAGGTGTAGTGGCTCATGTCTGTAATTCCAACACTTCGGGAGGCTGACCAGGGAGGATCACTTGAGTTCAAAACCAGCCTGGGCAACATACTGAGACCACTGTCTCTATAAAAAATAAATGAATAAAAATAAAAAATTTTAAAACTGTATAATAGGCAGAACAGTAAAACACTGTACTCAGCAACTACGCAAGAGATACTAAGTACAAAATGATTTCCCTACATTCCCCAAATTCTCTATTATCTCTTTAACATCCAAAAATATATACCCACTCAAAAATGGGTAATGAATAAATGTTATATAGAAAACCCAAATGGTCACATCATTAAGAAAAATACTAAATAGATCCTAAAATCTAAATATACACATTTACATAAACATTAAAGGTAAACTCCAGTAAGCTGGAAAAAGAAAATGCAGGATGATATTACCAATTAACCTCTCATTCTGTACATTAACGATGCATTTTGAACAGGAAGATGCTACTAATATAAAAAATTAAGACATGTAAACTAATTAAAAGGCTTCATCAAAAAAACAGGGTAAGGAAAAACCAAGACCAACATGACATGGCCAAGGACGAGTCATTTGTGACTCAAAAATAGCTAAATACAAACACTCCAAAACTATTTCCTCAACAAATGGAAAACCAGAGCGCTGCCACCGCAGTAAGAGGAAACCAGACAGAAAACCGTCTAAGAAGTGAAGTTGTTAAGCAAACGCTTCTGACACCCCAGTTGAAAACTACTATAACCCCCGGAAATAGACTCCAGGGAAGCTTCGCGGGCACTCTGAGGTTTGACTCCAGGCTGCGGGACCCGCACACCTCTCTTTCCAACCCTTCCCTCTTTCATGGGGATGGGAGGAGCGCCCGGAAAGCTCCGCCCCCGTCGCACGGTCCAAGAGGCAGGCGGGTGCAGGGAGAGGTGGCACGAGGCCGAGAGACGGGAGAGCCCGCCCAGGTGACTGGAGCTGGAGGCGGAGACACAGTCCGGGAAGGGGCCCGCCGTATAGTACGGAAGATGGAGCCCCGCAAGCCCGTACGGAACAGAGACTAGGAGGATTGGAAGGAAAAAGAAAACAAGGGAAATGAAATGCGCCCCTCCTCCAGGTAGGGGCGGACACACCCCGCCCCCCCACTCCGGGCGGAAGAGTTACTCTCGGGAAGCTTCTCGTGGGGAGTGGAGGAAGAACGTGGAGGCCCCGCCCCCAGGACAAGAATCAGGAGGAGGAAAAGTCCTGTCAGGCCCCGGGCCCAGCCTCCCGGCAGACCGGCCCGCCCCCTCCTCGCCGGCGGCCCAAGCAGGTGCCGCCCCTCCCCCAAGCCCGGCGCCCACTCTGCCGCCCGGCCAGCCGCGCGACCTGCTTCCTCGCGCCCCTCCCGTAGAGTCGCCTCCCTCCATTTCCCACTCACCGTCCGAGGCGGCTCCGCCGCTGCCCCCCCCCGACCCCGCCAGTGGCCACAGTTCACACACACACAGCCTCAGGTCCCGCACTCACTCTCCACTCACACACACACACAGCGCGACCACGGCTCCACAGCGGCCCACATATTATGCGTCACTCGCGCGCTACGTGCACCGCGCGCGCGCGCTCGCGCCTACTTGGCGCGAGGACCGCGAGCAAGGGGCGGGAAGAGAACGCCTGCACGATCGGGGAAAAAAAAAAAAAAAAAAAAAAAAAAAAAAAAAAAATCGAAGAGCCCCGGGGACGCCTGGGAAATGAAGTTCCGCGTCTAGGGGCGGGCCCACCAGTCCCAATTGACGCATGAGCTCTTCGCCTGGCGCATTGACTTCTGGATTTGTAGTTTTTTTGGATAAATGCGAACTGCTGAGTACTCATTGGCTGCTTCGGAAGGCGGAAGTGAAAAGTGAGGGAGCCAATCCTTCTAAGACAGTACTGTAATCGCCTGATACTTTTTCAGTGTCTTGTTCTGACCTGTGTGCGCAAAGAGCCTCTGTTTTATTTGGCCATTTGCCTTATCTTACCTAGAACATACCGTGATCTAAGAAAATATTTCTCATAAACATATCAGAAATCACAGCACTCATTAAATCAGAAGGCACTGGTTGTTTTTTGTTTGTTTTGTTTTGTTTTTTTGAGACAGAGTCTCGCTCTGTTGCCCAGGCTGGAGTGCAGTGACGATCTCAGCTCACTATGACCTCCGCCTCCCGGGCTCAAACAGTCCTCCCACCTCAGCCTCCAGCTGAGACTACAGGCGCATGCCACCACACCCAGCCAATTTTTGTTTCTGTTTTGTATGTGCGTGTTTGGTAGAGACATGGTTTTGCCGTGTTGGCCAGGCTGTTCTCGAACTCCTGGGCTGAGTTCTCCCAGCCTCTTTTTTCTCTGTCTTTTTTTTTTTTTTTTTTTGACAGGGTCTCGCTCTGTCATCCACGCTGGAGTGCAGTGGCGCGATCACAGCTCACTACAGCCTCAATCAACCTCCTGGGCTCAAGCTATCTTCTCACCTCAGCCTCCCAAGTAGCCGGGGCTACAGGTGTGCACCACCACACCCGGCTAATTTTTAAAAATTTTTGTAGAGACGAAGTCCCACTGTGTTGTCCAGGTTGGTCTTGAATTTCTAGGCTCAAACGATTCTCCTGCCTCGGCCCCCCGAAGTGTTGGGATTACAGGCATGAGCCACTGCACCCAGCCTCTGTCTTTTTGTTCAAGACCTAGCCTGTAAGAATCAATAGATACTTATTGCCAGGTTATTATACGTGAGGCAGAGAAGTGAAAAATCAAAAGCTCATAGATTAAGGCAGGACTGACCTCACAGGTCACTTAATTCAATTTCTTCATGTTGTTGGGAAAAATGAGGCCCAGAGGGAGTGAGCGACTTGCCCAGCATCACACAACCAATTAACAGCAGAACCAGAGGACTCCTTACTCTGACCAGCAGTCCCTCTTGTGGGGCATAGAAGATAAACATGACCCACAGTTGAGCAGAATCTCGACCTGACAAGATCCTACCCAGCGTTCAAGGCCTTATGCAGCTCATTATCTCTCCGGGAATGCTGAGCAAGTCTCCGTGCATCTCCATGAGTCTTCACGGCAATACTGTCACATGAATACAAGACACAGCAAGCCTGCTGCTATGCTCAGGCTCGACAGCTAGTAAGGATCCTGAATCCTGGGTCCCTTGGTTTCATTCCCCACTAGATCCCATTTCCCTCTTTCCAGAAAAGGGACCATCCTCCTTCTCTTAAATGTGTAACTTGGAGCTACTGCTCCAAGCAGAGATTCTCTAATATGTGCTGGGAGCGCCACAGACATGTCACCTTTCTTCACTTCTTTCTCCTGCCACAACACACAGGTCCCTTCTCTGTGCTTCTGGAACTCTACCTCTGTCAGTAATGGCCAGTACCATTTCTTTCAACTTCAGAGCATGCTGGGCCCTGAGCCAAGTGTTCCAGCCACACTCTCTCATTTAACCCTCACTACCCTGCCACACACACAGGGAAGATATGGTTAATCACCTTTACAGATGAGAAATCTGGACCCAGAGAGGTAGAACAAGGAATGGAACCCACATGCCATTCCTCCAGCACTCCTTCAGGTGACTTTCCTGCCATGCCTCCCTGGGCCATGAACCTAAAATGTATGAGGATGGGACATTTAAGCCTTGGATATCTCCCCTCTGACTATGGTCTAGCCGGCCCAGTGGTGACTTCTCCGCTGGCTGGGGTCCTAAGAGGCAGAGCCCTTAGGGGAGCTCAAGGCTTAGCTCACGCGCTCCTGGCACTGCCTCAGTCTGCCACCAGATGGCACTGCTTCATTTCAGAAACCCAACCTGGTCAGAGCACTGTGGCTCATGCCTGTAATCCCAGCACTTTGAGGGGCTGAGAATCTCTTGATCCCAGGAGTTCAAGACCAACCTGGGCAACATAGAGAGACACCCCCACCCTCACCCTTGCTCCACTGTCTCTACAAAATATCTTAAAAATTTGCCGGACGTGGTGGTGCATGCCTGTAGTCCCAGCTATTTATGAGGCTGAGGTGGGAGGATTGCTTGAGCTTGGGAGGTTGAGGCTACAGTGAGCTGTCATTGTGCCACTGCACTCCAGCCTGGGTGACAGAGAGAGACTCTGTCTCAAAAAAAAATTTTTTTTTAATTTTTTTAAAAAACAAACCCAGCCTGGGGCCCTGGGTTGGTGATGGGAGCAAGAAGCATTAAGAAGGGGCTTTGGAGAAGCCAGGGCCTAGGAGGCAGGGGAAGCAGGGGAGGAGACAAACAAGGCCTCTCCAGCAGCCACGCCCTCAGGAATCTGCACTCTTAACTCCTGCAGCCTCCTCTACCCCTGCCAACACCTCCCCCTCCCCAACATGCACATAGCCACACACCTGCAGACACCTTCAAACACCTCCTTCCCACTTCTGGGAAAAAGAAGAGGGAGCACCCAGGCTTTCCCAACTGCACACGCATTCCAAGTGTGCTTGGTGGCATATTTCACAGATACCCACATGTGCCAGATATACAAGCATGCACACTGTGCATTAGGCACCCAGTCCTCACAACAAATACTTTCACATCTAAGCATATGCACACACAAAGCTACAGACAATCCAGGCCCACACACCTGGCTTGGTTGTGGCACATGGGTCCTGCACCATTGGGAGGAGATTTATTGACCTCTTTGGTAGGACATCTCTGGACTCCGTCTCACCTTGCTCTGCCTGTTCCACCCCCTGCTCCATGGTGTGCCCAAGAAAGAGGAAGCCCCATCTGAAAGAGTGAGGAGTGCTTTGGGGGCTGCCCAGCAGCAGAGAAAAGGTAAGAAGAGCCCAGCCCTGGCCCCAGGACCAAGGCCTACAGATTAGCATGCTCTACCTACTCCCACCTCCAAGCACACCCACTCCCTGGGTAGGAAGATGGACAGCACCAAGTCCTCTAGGCTTCAAGCTTCTCCTTCATTCTCCTCCTTCTCCCGCTCCCATCCTTCTATGAGCTTTTCACTCCCAGCACCTCCTTCTAGGCTTACCCAGGTGCTCCCACAAGCCCATCCTCACCCTGGTGCCACCCCACAACTCCTGCGCTTCCTCCAGCAATTCCCTTCCCTGGGGCTGGGAAGTGAGGTCAGCTGTCCCATATCCACCCCTGCTCTCCTGTTGGCTAGACAAGACTGCTACTGCAAGTGTCCAGCAGTGTCGCAGGAGCCACCAATTAGAGGCTTAAGGCTACCAGGCTTTGGGAACACCAGCCTGGACAAAGAGGAAATCCCAATCATTCACTGGGTACCCTACTCCTGCCTGGTGGCCCCTGTACCCCACCCCCAGAAAATGAGGAGAGGGAACGCCACATCATTTCCCAAAGGGTGTGTAATTATGTCTGATTACATCCACATCCACTACTCTCACTTTACAGAGAAAGAAACAAATTCCACAAAGTCAACAACTTAAGTGCCCACATCGATCAGTGGGCACAGATAAAGAGGAGATAAAAAAGCAAGCATACCTAGCCTCTTTTGCCTCAGGTTCCTGGGGTTGGAAATCCTTCCAGGAGGAAGAGTGGAGTCAACATTGGGGAGAGAGTCTGTATTGGCCTTGGCTCCAAGCTCTCAGAAGCCCCTGAACATTTTTTTTTTTTTTTTTTTGAGATGGAGTCTGGCTCTGTCGCCCAGGCTGGAGTGCAGTGGCACAATCTCAGCTCACCGCAAGCTCCGCCTCCTGGTTCAGGCCATTCTCCTTCCTCAGCATCCTGAGTAGCTGGGACTACAGGCGCCCGCCACCACGCCTGGCTAATTTTTTATATTTTTAGTAAAGACGGGGTTTCACTGTGTTAACCAGGATGGTCTCGATCTCCTGACCCCGTGATCCGCCCGCCTCTGCCTCCCAAAATGCTGGGATTACAGGCGTGAGCCACCGCGCCTGGCAACCCCTGAACTTTTATTTATTTATTTATTTTGAGATGGAGCCTCACTCTGTCCCCAGGCTGGAGTGCAGTGAAGCAATCTCGTCTCACTGCAACCTCTGCATCCTGGGTTCAAGTAATTCTCCTGCCTCAGCCTCCTGAGTAGGTGGGATTACAGGTGCCCGCCACAACACCTGGCTAATCTTTGTATTTTTAGTAGAGATGGGGTTTCACCATGTTGGCCAGGCTGGTCTCGAACTCCTGACCTCAAGTGATCCACCCACCTTGGCCTCTCAAAGTGCTGGGATGACAGGTGTGAACCACCATGCTTTGGCCACTCCTGGATTTTTAGAAAGACCATTCTACAGGATTCAGGGAATAGACCATTCTACAGGATTCAGGGATCTCTGGCCTGACCCATTTGAAGGTACTCTGGAGACTGCTGGGGCAGACCCTCATGATGACTCAGGTCAGAAAGAGTTTACCACTCTATCAGTTATTTCATTTCAAGAAGGCCTGGGCCTGGCACGGTGGCTCACACCTGTAATTCCAGCACTTAGGGAGGCTGAGGCAGGTGGATCATTGAGCCTAGGAGTTCAAGACCAACCTGGGCAACATAGTGAGACTCTATCAGTATAAAAAATAATAAAAATAAAAATAATTCTTACAGCCAGGCGTGGTAGCTCACGCCATAATCCCAGCACTTTAGGGGGGCAAGGCAGGTGGATCACCTGAGGTCGAGAGTTCGAGACCAGCCTGGCCAGCATGACAAAACCCCATCTCTACTAAAAAATTACAAAAATTAGCCAGGTGTGGTGGTGCATGCCTGTAATCCCAGCTACTCAGGAGCCTGAGGCATGAGAATTGCTTGAACCCAGGAGGCGTAGGTTGCAGTGAGCCGAGATCACACCACTGCACTCCAGCCTAGGCAACAGAGTGAGATTCTGTCTCAAAAAATAATAATAATAAAAATAAAATTAATAATAATTTTTTAAATTAAAAAAAGAGAGGGCCTACAGAAGAATGGCTTTGTTGAATGGAACAAATTCAAAGGTCAGAGACCCACCACACCAACCGAAGTAAATACTTCTACCATGGGCGTATCCCTCTTGGAGATGTTGCCAGATACAGCCTGGGGTACCCAGTTAGGCCTGGGAGCCAAAGTCATCAAGACGGGAGTTTCTAGGTGTAGAGGGTGTCATGGGCTCTTACCGTGGGGAAGTTCTTCATCCCTTAGAGGTGGCGATGTCTCTGTGTGAAAAGTCTCATGATGTTCCTGAGGGGAGCCCCCTCTGCCCTGCTCCTGCTTCAGCAGGTCCAGGCTTCTGACAAGATAGCCTTTTGTGAAGTCACAAAGCTGGTTGCCTCCCCACAGGACCAGGGACCAGGACAACCAGGGACTAGTGGGCATGACTTTAGGGGAGAAGGGACTTCACAAGCAGCCTGTAGGCTCTGGAGAGGGGTGTGGGGTCTGGAGGGGCTCACTGGACCAGTCTCAGGCTGTAGTGGGTGAGGAGGGTTATTGGAGACTCAGGATGGGATCAGTTTCTCATGTCTCAGTCATCGCCAAAAGATAAGAACAGTTGGGGCCTGAGCCTGTATTCCTTGACCATTATCCCATCCGTTGAGACCCTAGGGCCAGAGGAGCACCCTTGCCCCTTTTGAATATATATAAGGGTCCTGATCACTGATGTTCTGGGTCATCCCTGGAAAAAGGAGGTTAAGGCCCCTGAGCCAGGGACCAGATCTTCTCCTCAGTGCCATCCCTCTGTGACCATTCAGTTTCTTTTCTTTTTTCTTTTTCTTTTCTTTCTTTTTTTTTTTTTTTTTTTTGAGATGGAGTTTCACTCTTGTCGCCCAGGCTGGAGTGCAGTGGTGTGATCTTGGCTCACTGAGACCTGCACCTCCCGGGTTCAAGCGATTTTCATGCCTCAGCCTCCTGAGTAGCTGGGATTACGGGTGTCCGCCACCACACCTGGCTAATTGTTGTATTTTTAGTAGAGACGGGGTTTCACCATGTTGGCCAGGCTGGTGTCGAACTCCTGACCTCAAACGATCCACCTGCCTTGGCCTCCCAAAGTGCTGGGATTACAGGCATAAGCCACTGCACCTGGCCTGACCATCCATTTTCTACCTGTTTCCTGGGCAAGCACATTCTGCCAAATTCTGCTACATTGAAAAGTGGCCCTGGTAGCCTTGGGGCACCCCTACCTGTTGGATTACGCAGAGGAAGAAGAGTGTCAAGAGAAGAAAGTGGAGCGCTCAGTGCCCACTCTCTCCAGAGGGTAGAGACTCCCACCTCCTGAAGAGGCAATTCAGGGGAGAAAACAGAAAACAACCCGGGGAGAAAGTGTCATTCCACAAAATGTGGAAACTCAGTTACTGCCTTGGAAGGTCACACTTCGTAAGCGGGGCATGGGGGCAGCCACTGAATGGAAACCTTGTTTTAAAAACAAGTTGCAAGGCATGGGTGGCTCACGCCTATAATCCCAGCACTTTGGGGGGCCGACGTGGGCAGATCACCTGAGGTCAGGATTTCAAGACCAGCCTGGCCAACATGGTGAAACCCCGTCTCTACTAAAAATAGAAAAAATCAGCTGGGCACTCCTGTAATCCCAGCTACTCGGGAGGCTGAGGCAGGAGAATCGCTTGAACCCCAGAGGCAGAGGTTGCAGTGAGCCAAGATCATGCCACTGCACTCCAGCCTGGGCGACAGAGAGAGACTCCCTCAAAAAAAAAAAGAAAAAAAGAAAAAAAAGAAAATCAAATGAACAAAAATGTGTCTTAAGTTAGGATTCCCGAGCCCTTGCCCTGTGCCTGGCCCTGTACCCTGTGTCTTCAGTGCTGCGGAGAATGCAGCACAGACCCTGCCCTCAAGGCTTACAGTCTAAGGCCTGAATGACTATGCCCAGCTCCCTCCCTTAAAATGAAGGCTGCTATTCCCAGAAGTCAGGGGCAGCCTGGAACCCAAGAGCCTTGTATCCCTGTCCAGGGCATTACATTTCATGAAGGCAAGAACAGACCAAATCCTGTGGACTTTTGGCAGGTAAGCTAAGACAGCATCTCACTGCCTCTCAGGGTCTGCAGGTCTGGGTCTTGGTGTCATTAATTCTGTTGAGAGTTGCTCACCACCATGTGTCTCCTCCAGACCAAGGAGACATCTTGGCTATTTTGTATTCAAGCCATGCCTCCACTGAGGGTTTCTGCTGTCTGCTCTATGGAGCCAGCAGGCATCCTGTGGGACAGGTCTGGTGTGAGGTACAAGAGACTAGAGGTGACCCTGGGCAAGTTTCCTCATACATCCCCCATAAGGAGGGCTTTACTAGATCTATGATTTTCTTTCTTTCTTTCTTTCTTTTTTTTTTTTTTTTTTTTTTGAGACAGAGTCTTGCTCTGTTGCCCAGGCTGGAGTGCAGTGGTGCGATCTTGGCTCACGGCAACCTCCACCTCCCCGGTTCAAGTGATTCTCCTGCCTCAGCCTCCCGAGTAGCTGGGCACACGCCACCATGCCCAGCTAATTTTTGTATTTTTAGTAGAGATGGGGTTTTGCCATGTTGGCCAGGCTGGTCTTTAACTCGACCTCGTGATCCACCCACCTCGGCCTCCCAAAGTGCTGGGATTACAGGCGTGAGCCACTGTGCCTGGCCTAGATCCATGATTTTCAAATTATATTAGTATTATGATTTTACCACAGAGTCTTTTTAGTCCCACTGAAATCTTGTATACCTCTTCATTAAGTAGAGAAAAGGAATGATGCAAGGGATTCTAGGTCATGATGTGGCAGAAAAACTCCTAGTGTTACAAGGAATGCAGTTTAAAAACCATGCACCAGCCGGCTGAGCACGATGGCTCATGCCTGTAATCCCAGCATTTTGGGAGTCCGAGGCGGGCAAATCACAAGGTCAGGAGTTCAAGACCAGCCTGGGCAATACGGTGAAATCTCTCTACTAAAAATACAAAAAAAATTAGCCGGGTGTGCTGGCGGGTGCCTGTAATTCCAGCTACTCCGGAGGCTGAGGCAGGATAATTGCTTGAACCTGGGAGGCGGAGGTTTCAGTGAGCAGAGGTCGAGCCACTGTACTCCAGCCTGGGCGACAGTGTGAGACTCCGTCTCAAAAAAAAAAAACCATGTACCACATGGCTTCCAGACCCTTTCAGGTGCTGTGAATCTGTGACTGCAAAGTCCAGATTATGAAAGATGGGAACAGGACAAAGAATGCCACATGTAGTGGCCACCTCAAGAGTTCTGCTCTGAATATTTCCGCTGCAACTACTCATTCCTGGTTCCAGTTCAGCTTATTTCCAGCCACCAGCGTGTCCCCAGCCCACCTCTCACCTGGCCCTCTGCTCCTACCTTTGTTCCTCTCTTGCAGGCTCTGAAATCAGCATCTAGGCCTTAGGGGCTCAAAGCCCACATGGGTTCTAAGTCAGGAGTACAACAGTCACCTCTCTGTACCTGAATCCAATAGGCAGGAGACAGGAGGCTTTCTCCAGGTAACATTCATCTTTGCCTAACTCTCTTCCGAGATCCCTGTAGTCTCTGGAATTGTCCTGGTCCTTTTTTGGATGCAGGGCATATTTGATTTCATGGGGCTGCCAACCTCACCTGCCAGAAGATGCTCAGGACAGCCAGGATGCAGTATAAAACCTGCCCTCTCCAATTTCTTTTCTCCTAAGATACAGATCAGAGGGAAGACGGGCAAGATGGGCTTCCCACCCCACAAGGCAGGCATGTCTGAATTCTATGAGCTTTTGTTTCAAATAATTTATGAGAAGCATCAGGGCCTTGGCTCATTCTAAGAGCAAGTCAGGAGAGCAGAGTTATGGTGCCGTGAGCCTTGTTGCAGGGAAAGGGAGCTGCATTATAGCTGAGAGCAAAGGCTGCTCTCTGCCTTGTGGCTAGCAAGGCATGGCAAAGAAAAGCGGACATTCCCTAGGGCCAGGCATGGTGAACGAACAAGACAAGCTGACAGGCTAGTACAAGGTTCTCAACCCTGGCTGCAATTCAGATCACCTGCAGAGCCTTTATGAACCTCTAGTGTCAAGACCCTACCCCAGTTCAATTAAGTCAGAATCTCTAGGGCACAGGCAACAATGTTTTCCAAAGCTCCCCAGATAACGAATACTCCACTAAGGCAGAGAACCTCTGGTCTAGGAGGAAAGACTGGCATTAAACAGGATGTGGGCGGGCCGGGTGTGGTGGCTCACTCCTGTAATCCCAGTACTTTGGGAGGCTGAGGCGGGCAGATCACCTGAGGTCAGGAGTTCAAGACCAGCCCAGCCAACATGGTGAAACCCTGTCTCTACTAAAAATACAAAAATTAGCTGGGTGTGGTGGCAGGTGCCTGTATTTTTAGTCTCCACTAAAAATACAAAAATTAACCAGGCGTGGTGGCAGGCACCTGTAATCCCAGGTACTCAGGAGGCTGAGGCGGGAGAATCATTTGAACCTGGGAGGCAGAGGTTGCAGTGAGCCGAGATTGCGCCATTGCACTCCAGACTGGGGGACAAGAACAAGACTTTGTCTCAAAAAAAAAAAAAAAAAAAACAGGATGTGGGCATGATGACCTTTACCCTGAGGTGGGGCCTAGAGGCCTAAAATGTGGGGTGTGGTAAGCTGGACCTTTCTGCTCCTGGAGGCCACAGGGCTCCTTCTTACCCACCCCTGCACATCCTCCATACACATCCCACACACACACCCAGCACCTATTGTGGGGAAAGCAAAACAGAAGGCTCAGGAACCCAGCTCCAGGGAGGGGAAGAAGCATGCACTCTAGGTTAGAATCACGACCCTGAACTCTCTAGTTGTGTGGCCCTGGCAACCTTTGAGCCTCAATTCCTCCTCTGTAAAATGGACATAGTAGGCCGGGCACGATGGCTCATGCCTGTAATCCCAGCACTTTGGGAGGCCAAGGGGGTGGATCACTTAAGGTCAGGAGCTCAAAACCAGCCTTTCCAACATGGTGAAAGCCTGTCTCTACTAAAAATACAAAAATTAGTTGGGTGTGGGTGGCGTGTGCCTGTAATCCCAGCTACTTGGGATGCTGAGGCAGGAGAATTGCTTGAACCTGGGAGGCGGAGGTTGCAGTGAGCCAAGATCACGTCACTGCACTCCAGCCTGGGCAACAGAGCAAGGCTCTGTCTCAAAAAAAAAAAAATGGAGGTAGTAATACCTGCTTTGAGGGTGGTTGCAAGGAGGGCAACGGGAAGCACTGGCTTACAGAAAGGGCTCCAGAGATGAAGCTGCTAGCAGCAGCAACCACAGCCCCAGCTCCCTCTGTCAGCTTGGACAAAGCTCTAATGATCATCCACCCAGTCCCCTTGTTTTTCACGTGAAGACCTCAGTGTCCAAAGGAGAGAGGTTTGCTCCAGACACGCAGCCAGCAAGAATCTTAATCTCCCAGGCAGCTTCACATCACAGCAGTTTTTTTGTATTGAACTTTAGCTTTCATCTCTCAGCAAAACTCCTAAAATTACTATAGGGGCTTCTTCTCTCTCTCTGTCTTTTTTTTTTTTTTTTTTTTTTTACTCTGTCACCCGGGCTAGAGTGCAGTGGCACGATCATAGCTCGCTGCAGTCTCAACCTACCAGGCTCAGGCAAATCTCCAACCTTAGCCTCCCTAGTATCTAGGACTACAGGCACACGCCACCATGCCCAGCTAGTTTTTTTTATATATTGTTTATTTTTTGTAGAGACAGGGTCCCACTGTATTGCTCTGATTACAGGTGTGAGCCACCCTACCCAGCCTACTGGGGCTTCTAAAGCAGCAAGCAGGGATTTAAAAATACCTTTAGGCTATCTTATCTGAGATGCCTGATTGATCCTTGAAGTAGAAGGTGTGTTCAGCCAGTCTGACCACTTGGCTCCAGTCCCCTTTGATGTTCCTGATACAGAGAAGAAGGTTCATTACCTCAGTGGCAAGGGTGTGGCCATCCCAAGGCTGATGATTACATAAGAAGATGCCACTCTGCCTGGGCTGAGGTTAGGAAGTGGGTAGGGTAGGTAGGGAAGAGAGATGCTGGGTTTTCCATATAAGCCTTTTTTGTATTCTTTGACCTTTTTTTTTTTTTTGAGACGGAGTTTCGTTCTTGTTGCCCAGTCTGGAGTGCAATGACGCGATCTCGGCTCACCGCAACCTCCTCCTCCTGAGTTCAAGCGATTCTCCTGCCTTAGCCTCCTGAGTAGCTGGGATTACAGCCTAATGCCACCATCATACCCGGCTAATTTTGTATTTTTAGTAGAGATGAGATTTCTCCATGTTGGTCAGGCTGGTCTCAAACTCCCAACCTCAGGTGATCCGCCCACCTTGGCCTTCAAAAGTGCTGGGATTATAGGCGTGAGCCACCGCGTCCGACATATTCTTTGCCTTTTAAGCCACTGAGTATACATGGCTTTTTTTTTCTTTTTTGAAACAGAGTCTCACACTGTCACCCAAGGTGGAGTGCATGGCACAATCGCAGTTTACTGTAGCCTTAATCTCCATGCTCAAGTGACCTCCCACCTCAGCCACCCAAGTAGCTGGGAATACAAATGCATGCCACCATGCCCAGCTAATTTTTGTATTTTTTGTGGAGACAAAGTTTCGCCATGTTGCACAGGCTGGTCTCGAACTCCTGGGCTCAAGCAATCCGCCTGCCTCAGCCTCCCAAAGTGCTGGGATTACAGGCATGAGCCACTGCACCTGGCTGAGCATGTACCACTTTAATAAAAATAAAATTACACTGAAAAGTAAAGCATAGGCCAGGTGCAGTGGCTCGTGCCTGTAATCCCAGCACTTTGGGAAGCCAAAGCAGGCAGATCACCGGAGGTCAGGAGCTTGAGACCATCCTGGCCAACATGGTGAAACACCATCTCTACCAAAAATACAAAAATTAGCCAGATGTGGTGGCAGGCTCCTGTAATCCCAGCTACTTGGGAGGCTGAGGCATGAGAATCGCTTGAACCCAGAAAGTGGACTTTGCAATGAGCTAAGATCGCACCACTGCACTCCAGCCTGGGGGATAGAGCGAGACTCTGTCTCCAAAAAAAAAAAAAAGAAAGAAAAGAACAGTAAAGCTATACATGTCACTATATATTTGTCAAAACCTATAGATATACAACACCAAGAGTGAACCCTAATGTAGACTATGGATTATGGTCGATAATGATATATCAGTGTGGGTTCATTGATTGTAACAAATGTACCACTCTGTTGTAGGATGTTGATAATGGAGGAGGACGTGCATGTGTGAGAGCAGGGGCATATGGGAACTCTGTACTTTCTGCCCAATTTTGCTATTAACTTAAGATTGCTCTAAAAAAAAGTAGTACAGCTGACTCTTGTGTGGGGGTTAGGGGTGCTGACCCCCCACCACAGTAGAAAATCCATGTATAACTTTTTTTTTTTTGAGACAGTCTTACTGTGTCACCAAAGGCTAGGGTGCAGTGGCACAATCTCAGCTCACTGTAACCTCCGCCTCCCAGGCTCAAGCGATTATCCTGCCTCAGCCTCTCAAGTAGCTGGGATTACTGGTGCCCACCACCATGCCTGGCTAATTTTTGTAGTTTTAGAAGAGATTGAGTTTCACCATGTTGGCCAGGATGGTCTCCAACTCCCGACCTCAGGTGATCCGCCTGCCTCGGCCTCCCAAAGTGCTGGGATTACAGGCATGAGCCACTGCACCTGGCCCCGTGTATAACTTTAGATTCCCCCAAAACTTAGCTACTGATAGCTTACTTTTGACCAGAAGCCTTACTGCTAGCATAAATAGTCAATTAACACATATTTTGTATGTTGTATGTATTATATTCTGGTTTTTCTTTTTTTTTTTTTTGAGATGGAATTTCGCTCTTATTGCCCAGTCTGGAGTGCAGTGGCACAATCTCGGCTCACCGCAACCTCTGCCTCCCAGGTTCAAGCAATTCTCCTGCCTCAGCCTCCCCAGTAGCTGGGATTACAGGCATATGCCACCACATACCGCTAATTTTTGTATTTTTAGTAGAGACGGGGTTTTGCCATGTTGGCCAGGCTAGTCTCGAACTCCTGATCTCTGGTGATCCGCCCACCTCAGCCTCTCAAAGTGCTGGGATTACGGGCATGAGCCACCAAGCCCGGCCTATATACTGTATTGTTAGAATAAAGTAACTAAGGAAAATAAAATGGTGGCTGGGGCCAGGTGCGGTGGCTCAGGCCTGTAATCCCTGCACTTTGGGAGGCTGAGGTGGGTGGATCACCTGAGGTTGGGAGTTTGACACCAGACTGGCAAACATGGCAAAACTCTGTCTCTACTAAAAACACAAAAATTAGGTGGGCATGGTGGCAGGCACCTGTAATCCCAGCTACTCAGTAGGCTGAGGCAGGAGAATGGCTTGAACCCTGGAGGTGGAGGTTGCAGTGAGCGGAGATGGTGCCACTGCACTACAGCTTGGGTGACAGAGCCAGAAAGAAAAAATAAATAAATAAAAAAGAAGGAAAAGGAAATGGCAGCTCTGGGAGGCTGAGGCGGGAGGATCCCTTGAGGCCAGAAGTTTGAGACCAGCCTGGGCAACACAGCAAGACCCCGTCTCTACAAAAAGGAAAGAGAAAGAAAAAGTTAAGAAAATCAAGCCAGGCATGGTGACCCTCCTATAGTCCCAGATACTCAGGAGGCTGAGGCAGGAGGATCTGAGCTCAGGAGTTTGAGGCTGTATGGCAACATAGTGAAACCATGGCTGTAAAAAAATTAAAGGAAGGAAGGAAGAAAGGAAGGAAGGAAGGAAAGAAAGAAATTCATAAGAGAATATATATTTACAGTACTCTATTGATCAATATCATAAGTTTACATTATCTGTTTACAATGATGTCCGACTGAAATGAGGGGTAACCACAGCCGCAAACCTCAATTAAGGAATTCAACTTTTTCTTGTAATGTCATGACTTTTCTCTGCTTCTTGGGAGCGTTTCCAGCATCAGTAGTGGTACTTCATATGGGTCCCATGGTGTTATTCGAAGTTTACGGTATTGCACTTAACAAGATGAAAAATACAAGAGAATTGAGGGAGGTCACTTTTAGTGCTATACACAATTTACTGGAGAGACAAATCGCTCATGTGATAATTAGCAGCACATGATGTTTTAAGCTTCAGCTCACAACAGCAACAGGAAGTGGCTAGGAAATTATTGCAGTAGTACAGTACATACTACAGTTAATTTTATGCAGTTATGATTTATTTATTTATTTATTTATTTATTATTTAATTATTTAAGACTGGATCTTCTCTCTCTATCATCCAGGCCGGAGTATGGTAGTGCAACTATGGTTCACTGCAGCCTCAATCTTTTGGACATGCTCAATCCTCTTGCCTCAGCCTCCCTAGTAGCTGGGACTATAGGCACACACTACCACGCCCAGCCTGTGTGTGTGTGTGTAGAGATGGGCTCTGCCTACATTGCCCAGGCTGGTCTCAAATTCCTAGGCTCAAGTGATCCTCCTGCCTTAGCCTCCCAAAATGCGTTCATTACAGGCATGAGCCACTGCACCCAGCCAATTATGATTTAACACTGCATCTTTACATTCGTTCACATTTCTCTTGGCTGTAAATGGTGCTATATACAGTCTTTAAGTGTTTGTACATATAAGGTTTTGTTTTGTTTTGTTTTGTTTTTTTGAGATGGAGTCTCGATCTATTGCCCAGGCTGGAGTGCAGTGGCGCAATCTCGGCTCACTGCAATCTCCGCCTCCAAGGTTCAAGTGATTCTCGTGCCTCAGCCTCCCAAGTAGCTGGAATTACAGACGTGTACCACCACGCCTGGCTAATTTTTGTATTTTTAGTAGAGACTGGGTTTCACCATGTTGGCCAGGTTGGTCTCGAACTCCTGACCTTAGGTGATCCACCCACCTTGGCCTGCCAAAGTGCTGGGATTACAGGCTTGAGTCACCACGCCTGGCCTTGTAAGTTTTCATAAATTTTAACTTCTTATTTTATTTTATTTATTTTTTATTTTTTTGAGATAGAGTCTTGCTTGGCTCATTGCAAGCTCTACCTCCTGGGTTCCAGTGATTCTCCTGCCTTGGCCTCCCGAGCAGCTTGGATTACAGGTGTGCACTACCACGCCCTGCTAAAAATTTTAACTCTTTTTTTTTTTTTTTTTTGAGACAGAGTCTAGCTCTGTGGTCCAGGCTGGAGTGCAGTGGCACAATCTGGGCTCACTGCAAGCTCCGCCTCCCGGGTTCACGCCATTCTCCTGCCTCAGCCTCCCGAGTAGCTAGGACTACAGGCGCCTGCCACCACGCCTGGCTAATTTTTTGTATTTTTAGTAGAGACGGGGTTTCACCATGTTAGCCAGGATGGTCTCAATCTCCTGACCTCATGATCCACCCACCTCGGCCTCCCAAAGTGCTGGGATTACAGGCCACTGCACCCGGCCTAAAAATTTTAACTTTTTATAACAGATTTGTGAATATGTTATGGTGGTAAATGAAAAAATAAACTCATATCTACATGTATTTTATGCATTCATGATATAACTTTTTCTTAAATTTTAAAAATATTTCTAACCTGTAAGGTTTATCTGCAAGTTTTTTAAATTGTTGCACCAAAAATTTTTCCAATGTATTTATTGAAAAACATTTTTGTATAAGTGGACCTGCACAATTCTTTTTTTTTTTTTTTTTTTTAATTGAGACAGAATTTCGCTTTTGTCGCCCAGGCTGGAGTGCAATGGTGAGATCTCCGCTCACGGCAACCTCTGCCTCCCATGTTCAAGCGATTCTCCTGACTCAGCCTCCAGAGTAGATGGGACTACAGGCATGCGCCACCATGCCCGGTTCATTTTTGTATTTTTAGTAGAGATGGGGTTTCACCATCTTGGCCAGGCTGGTCTTGAACTCCTGACCTCAGGTGATCCACCCGCCTTGGCCTCCCAAAGTGCTGGGATTACAGGCGTGAGCCACCACACCTGGCACAATTATTATTATTTTTTAATTTTGTAGAGGCCAGGAGTGGTGGCTCATGCCTGTAATCCCAACACTTTGGGAGGCCAAGATGAGTGTATGGCTTGAGCCCAGCATTCGAGACCAGCCTGGGGAACATAGCAACATTAGCTGGTGTGATGGCACACACCTCTAGTCCCAGCTACTTGGGGTACTGAGGAAGGAGGATTGCTTGAGCCTGGGAGGTGGAGGTTGCAGTGAGCCGAGATTGCACCATTGCCCTCTAGCCTGGGTGACAGAGCCAGACCCTGTCTCAAAAAAAAAAATTTCTTTTTTTTGGTAGAGACGGGGTCTCAACTGTGTTGTCCAGGCTGGTCTCAAACTCCCAGCCTCAAGCCATCTTCCCACTTCGGCCTCCCAAAGTACTGGGATTACAGGCATGAGCCACCGTGTCCAACTAACCCTCACAGTTCAAATCTGTGTTGTGTTGTTCAAGGGTCATCTGTATATTTATAAATAAATACTCACGCATGCAGAGAATAGTGCCCATCCCATGGGGTTTGCAAGGATTACATGAGCTAAGGGATGTGAAGGGCTTAGCCTAGCCCAGATGAGTGTTCAATATGAGTTGGCTTTTTCTTTTATTGCCATCTCTGTCCCATGGTTCCCTCTCAGCTGCTATTCATGGGAGGGAGATGGTAGGAACAGGTCCCTCTTGCCCTTTATCTCAGTATGCTGAAGCATCAGAGGCTTTGTCACTAGCTCAGGCACATGGCTTAACTGGTGATGCTACAAGCCAGGCCTCTGGTGACAGTTACTAATCCCTGTTGGGGCCAGAATTCTGCACTCAGCCCAGACTTCTGAGAGGAAGTAAGCACCTACTTTGTGCCAGGTCCTATGTTCAGCCTTCAAAGTATTCTCTCGACAGTCTAACAAGGTAGGGTAGGCATTATGCTCTATTTTAAACAGATGAGTAAGATGAGGCCCAGAGAAGTTAAATTACACATTCAAGGCTACTCAGCTACAAGAACAGTCCAGGCAGAGTTTCTGCTCTCCTCTATCAAAAAGGAGGCACAGAAGTGAACATTCCACCAGCACCCCAAGGACACTCCCCGACCCCACAACCTCAGCAGCCTAATGGAAAGGCCACCTTGGAGGACTGCCTCTTCTTCCCAGGGGGGCTGGAGTAGCTTGGTGGTTCCACCAGGTCTGTTTGGACACTTGCCCTGGGGAAGAATGAGAAAGCATTGGCTGGGTGCGGTGGCTCACACCTGCAATCCCAGCACTTTGGGAGGCTGAGGCGGGTGGATCACCTGAGGTCAGGAGTTTGAGACCAGCCTGGCCAACATGGTGAAACCCTTCGCTACTAAAAATACAAAAATTAGCCAGGCGTGGTGGCGCACATCTGTAATTCCAGCTACTCGGGAGGTTGAGGCAGGAGAATCGCTTGAACCCAGGAGGCAGAGGTTGCAGTGAGGTGAAATTGAATCACTGCACTGCTGCCTGGGTGACAGAGCAAGACTCCGTCTCAAAAAAAAAAAAAAAAAAAAGAAAGAAAGAAAGAAAGAAAGAAAGAAAGAAAGAAAGAAAGAAAGAAAGAAAGTATCCCAATCCGGCCGGGCACAGTGGTTTACGCCTGTAATCCCAGCACTTTGGGAGGCCGAGGTGGGCGGATCACAAGGTCAGGAGATCGAGACCATCCTGGCTAACATGGTGAAACCCTGTCTCTATTAAAAATACAAAAAATTAGCTGGGCGTGGTGGCAGGCACCTGTAGTCCCAGCTACTCGGGAGGCTGAGTCAGGACAATGGTGTGAACCCAGGAGGCGGAGCTTGCAGTGAGCCGAGATTGCGCCACTGAACTCTGGGCAACAGAGCAAGACTCCGTCTCAAAAAAAAAAAAAAGAAAGAAAGAAAGTATGCCAATCCTCTCCTTAGGGGCCTGGGGCTGGGGCTGCTGGAGCGAAAGACCTGATTCTCCACAGACTCCAAGAGGTTTTCTCTTCCATTCCCCTGATCTCTCCCTTGCTCCTCCATCTAGCCACATTCAGTTTTCTTTTTTTTTTTTTTTTTAGTTTTTCTTGCTTGTTTCCATCATCATCATCATCATCATCATTATTATTGTTGTTGTTGTTTTGTTTTGGAGATGGAGTTTTGCTCTGTCACCCAGGCTGGAGCACAGTGGTGTGATCTCGGCTCACTGCAACCTCTGCCTCCGGGGTTCAAGCAATTCTCCTGCCTCAGCCTCCTGAGTAGCTGGGACTACAGGCGTGTGCCTCCCAGGTTCAAGTGATTCTCCTGCCTCAGCCTCCCGAGTAGCTGGGATTACAGGCATGCACCATCACGCCCTGCTAATTTTTGTATTTTTAGTAGAGATGGAGTTTCACCATGTTGGCCAGGCTGGTCTTGAACTCCTGACCTCAGGTAATCCACCCGCCTCGGCCTCCCAAATTGCTGGGATTACTGGTGTGAGCCACCATGCCCAGCCCCTTTTTAAAATTACTTGATTTAGGGCCAGGCGCAGTGGCTCACGCCTGTAATCCCAGCACCTTGGGAGGCTGAGGCAGGTGGATCACCTGAGGTCAGGAGTTCGAGATCAGCCTGGCTAACATGGTGAAACCCCATCTCTACTAAAAATTAAAAAAATGGCCAGGCGCGGAGGTACGCGCCTGTAATCCCAGCATTTTGGGAGGCCAAGGCGGGCGGATCACGAGGTCAGGAGATGGAGACCATCCTGGCTAACACAGTGAAACCCCGTCTCTACTAAAAACACAAAAAATTAGTCAGGCGTGGTGGCAGGCGCCTGTAGTCCCAGCTACTTGGGAGGCTGAGGCAGGAGAATGGTGTGAACCCGGGAGGCGGAGCTTGCAGTGAGCCGAGATTGCGCCACCGCACTCCAGCCTGGGCGACAGAGCAAGACTCAGTCTCAATAAATAAATACATAAAATTTAAAAAAAAATTAGCTGGGCATGGCAGCAGGCGTCTGTAATCCCAGCTACTCAGGAGGCTGAGGCAGGAGAATCGCTTGAACCTGGAGGCAGAGTTTGCAGTGAGCCAAGATCGCGCCATTGCACTCCAGCCTGGGCGACAAGAATGAGACTTCGTCTCAAAAAAAAAATTAAATTATTTGATTTAATTTAATTTATTTATTTGGAGACAAGATCTCTCTCATCCAGGCTGGAGTGTAGTGGTGTGATCTTGGCTCCTGCAGCCTCCACCTCTCAGCCTCAAGCAATCCTTCTACCTCAGCCTCCCAAGTAGCTGGGACTGCAGGCATGTGCCACCACGCCTGGCTAATTTTGGTCTTCCTTGTAGAGACAGAATTTTGCCACGTTGCCCAAGCTGGTCTCGAACTCCTGGGCTCAAGCGATCTGTCCCCCTTGGCTTCCCAAAGTGCTAGGATTACAGGTGTGAGCCACCACACCTGACCCAGTCCTCCCACTTTCAATTTAGGCCACCACCATCTCCCCAAAGGGGCCATTGTAGAGTTTCCCCATCCCCAGGCTTCTACTCTTAGTGCCCTTATGGTCCATTTAAATTGCAATTTGTCTTAGACTTTCATGTGGCTTACAAGTTCCCATGTGGCCCTGGCCCCATCTCCAGCCTTGCCTCTTTGCACCTTATCCTGGAGTTCCCATCTCTTGGCCTTTGCCTATGCTGTTCCCCTTGCTCAGAATCCTCTCCTGTATCTTTCACCCAGCCCCAACTTCTGGCCCTGGCCTGTCCTGTCTGTTCCCTTCTGTCCTTTACCTCAGCATAGGTTGGGAGCCTGCCTGGCTACTCTTGCCTCAATAAGGACCATTGTAATAGTATCCAGAACGCTTGAAGCTCCTATAAGCAAAACAAGGAGCCGATTGTAAGGATTGTAAAGAACTGATTGTATGGGGGTGTTCTTTAGACTCCACAGCCAACAACCCTAGTCCTTTCCTCCTCCCTCCTCTGGGACTCTCAGCCCAATGCTTTCTGCCTGGTTGCTTCATAGCTCCCTGCATCTTTGAAACTTGACTCAAAATCCTGGGATATAGAATAGAATTGGCCCACCTGTAATGAGGTAATCTCCCTGGGCCACTCAGCTACTGGTAGGGAACTAAGACTCACAAGACACACAGGGTCTCCAAGCCTCAATCCTGAGTGGGTAAGCAGTTTTACAGAGGGGAAGATGGGCTAAAAAGACCCCAAAGGTGTCTCCTATAGCTCCTTCAGGGAGTATTTACCTTGTGCTCCCCTCTTGCAGTGGTGTAACTACCACTGCCTGCTGCTGTTCTAACTCCTCCAATGGACATTTAGGCTTAGGACAGAAGCCAAGTGGTATAAATCCATCTCCAGGACCAAAATGAAATTTACCCAAAAAGTATTTGTGGGGTGAAGTGCAAAGAAAGCACAGAAAAAGGGCTGGCCTTCAGGTTCTTGGAGCCATCACAAAACAGGTCATGTTTGGGCTGGGCATTAGAGGGAGTAGATTTACTAGCTGGGAGGGAAAGATGACCCTCTGGCTTGAACTGGACCAGTCACACATTACTGTGCATCCAACCCATTGGGTGACTGCTATGGGATTAGGATAAGGCCTGGAAATGGGTGAGGAGTGGCCAAAGGAAGGATTTGACTCTTAAGTGTCTGAGCCAAATATTTCCTTTTCTGAACCCCCCTTCTCACAGGAGTTAAGGCTGTATTATAATTATGTTTGTTGGCCGGGCGCAGTGGCTCATGCCTGTAATCCCAGCAGTTTGGGAGGCTGAGGCAGGTGGATCATTTGAGCTCAGGAGTTCAAGACCAGCCTGGCCAACACGGTGAAACTCTGACTCTACTAAAAATACAAAAATTAGCCAGTCATGGTGGTAAGTGGCTGTAATCCCAGCTACTCAGGAGGCTGAGGCAGGAGGATCGCTTGAACCCAGGAGGTGGAGGTTGCAGTGAGCCGAGATTGTGCCACTGCACTCCAGCCTGGGCAATGGAGTGAGACTCCATCTCAAAAAAATGAAATTATGTTTCTGCACCTGTTTCTCCCAGGGGCCTTAGGGACTGTGAGGTTTTCATCTCTGTATAACAAATCCCCTGGGTCTGTTGGGTGAAACTGAATCACCAGATGGTGAATGTGTGGGCAGTAGCAACCCTAATAACCTTTTCAATACATGCTCACAGAAGCCAATCCTTGTCCAGATTTTAGGGCTACTGCAGTAGACTGACCTGGTCCCATCTGGAGCAATCAGACACAATTCCAGTAAGAATGGGATGCTACAATCTAGATAACTGCAAAAGTGCAGCTCAGTCTGGGGAACCCAGCTTACCTTATGTAATTGCTTTTTTTTTTTCGAGACAGGGTCTTGCTATGTTGCCCAGAGTACGGTGGCATAATCAAACCTCACTTCAGCCTCAAACTCCTGGGCTCAAGCAATCCTCCCATCTCAGCTCCCCCAAGTAGCTGGGACTACAGATGTGCACCATCACACCCAGCTATTATTTTTATTTTTGGTAGAGATGGGGTCTCACTATGTTGCCTAGGCTGGTCTTGAACTTCTGGGCTCAAGGGATCCTCCTGCCTCAGCCTCCGAGAGTGCTGGGATTATAGGCATGAGCCACCATACTTGGCCCATTTAGCACTTTAAAAAGTGTTTATAGGCCATTTCCCAATTTCTCGCCACTGTAAGCATGTTATTCCTGTTTTACAGATGAAGAACCTAGCTCAGGGAGGTTAAGTAGTTTGACCAATGTCACAAAGCATGTGAAAAAAGCTAGTCCCTCCCTCCCATCCCTAAGGAAGATCCTTTCATTGCTTTGAGGGAGTTATGGCCCCTCCTAAACATCCTAAGTTCTCTCCAGACCTCAGAGCCTTATCAGTGGGAATCATTGCCCTTTCCTTCCTCAGAGAAACAGAAATTGTGTGCCTGCTATGCAGAAGGCATCGTCCCTCCTCCCTTACAAACACCTGCTCTCAGAAAAACACCAGCACCAGCATAGTGAGACCTCGTCTCTACAAAAAAAAAAAAAAATTAGCCAGATGTGGTGCTGCACACCCGTAGTTCCAGGTACTCAGGAGGTTGAAGAGAGAGGATCAATTGAACCCAAGAGGTCAAGCCTGCAGTGAGCTATGATCATGCCACTATACTCCGGCCGGGGTAATGAAGACCCTGTCTCTGGAAGAAAGAAGGAAAGAAAGAAAGAAAGAACGAGTGAGAGAGAGAGAGAAAGGAAGGAAGGAAGGGAGGGAGGGAGGGAGGGAGGGAGGGAGGGAAGGAGAGAGAAAGCACCAGCATAACAGTCATTTACCTCTGAAGTAAGTAAAGTAAATGCACCTACTTTCTCACTGTGTAACATATGCTTTATTTGAATTCACAGATCTGGGTTCAGTTTATGGTTCCACCAGTTACTGGCTGTAAGATCTCAGGTAGCTCAATCACTCTGAGCTTCAGTTTCCTTTTCTTTAAAACTATGGTAAAATTCATATAACATAAAGTCATTTTAAATGAGGAATTAGGTGGCATTCAGTACATTCACAGTGTTATGCAACCACCACCTTATCTAGTTTATTTCTTTTTTGAGACGGAGTCTCACCCTGTCGTCCAGGCTGGAATGCAATGGCGCAATCTCGGCTCACTGCAACCTCCACCTTCTAGGTTCAAGCGATTCTCCTGCCTCAGCCTCCCAAAAAAAAGTAGATGATATTACAGGCATGCACCACCGGGCCTGGCTAATTTTTTTGTACCTTTAGTAGAGACAGGGTTTCGCCATATTGACCAGGCTGATCTTGAACTCCTGACCTCGTGATCTGCCTGCCTTTGCCTCCCTAAGTGCTGGGATTACAGGCGAGAGCCACTGTGCCTGGCTTTTTTTTTTTTTTTTTTGAGGAGTCTTGCTCTGTCCCCCAGGCTGGAGTGCAGTGGCGTGATCTCGGCTCACTGCAACCTCCGCCTCCCGGGTTCAAATAATTATCCTGTCTCAGCTTCCCGAGTAGCTGGGAGAATAGGCCCACGCCACCATGCCTGGCTTTTTTGTATTTTTAGTAGAGATGGGGTTTCACCATACTGGTCAGGCTGGTCTCGAACTCCTGACCTCAGGTGATCCAACTGTCTCGGCCTCCCAAAGTGCTGGGATTACAGTCATGAGCCACTGCTCCAGCCTCTATCTAGTTTCAAAACATTTTCATCACCCCAAAATAAAATCCTGTACACGTTTTTTGTTTTACATTTTTAAAATTTAATTTAAATTTTAATTTTTTTGAAACAGGATCTTGCTCTGTCACCCAGAGTGGAGTGCAGTGGTAAGATTACAGCTCACTGCTGTCTCAAACTCCTGGGTTCAAGTGACTTTCCCACCTCAGCCCCAAAATAGCTGAGAGTACAGGCACGTGCCACCACATGTGGCTAATTTTTAATTTTTTTTTTTTTTTTTTTTTTGAGACAGAGTCTTGCTCTGTCACCCAGGCTGGAGTGTAGTGGCAAAATCTCGGCTCACTGCAAGCTCCGCCTCTCGGGTTCACACCATTCTCCTGCCTCAGCCTCCTGAGTAGCTGGGACTACAGGTGCCCACCACCATGCCCAGCTAATTTTTTGTATTTTTAGTGGAGACGGGGTTTCACTTGTTAGCCAGGATGGTCTCGATCTCATGACCTCGTGATCTGCCTGCCTCAGCCTCCCAAAGTGCTGGGATTACAGGCGTGAGCCACCGCGCCCTGCCAATTTTTAAATTTTTTGTAGAGATAGGCCAGGCTGGTCTTGAACCCTTGGGCTCAGGTTTTCCTCCCACCTCGGCATGAGCCACTGCATCCAGCACTTTTCACTTTTTGGATAATGTCTGTGATTTCCCAACCTTTAAATTTTGATAAAGTCCAATTTATCTATTTTTATAATGCTTTTTTTTTTGAGATGGAATTTTGCTATTCTTGCCCAGGCTGGAGTGTAATGGTGCGATCTTGGCTCACTGCAACCTCTGCCTCCCAGGTTCAAGCGATTCTCCTGCCTCAGCCTCCTGAGAAGCTGGGATTACAGGTGTGTGCTACCATGCCCGGCTAATTTTGTATTTTTAGTGGAGATGGGGTTTCTCCATGTTAGTCAGGCTGTTCTCCAACTCCCGACCTCAGGTGATCTGCCCACCTCGGCCTCCCAAAGTGCTGGGATTACAGGCGTGAGCCACTGCCCCCAGCCTTTATAATGCTTTTTTATTGTGACAAAATATATGTTACAAAATTTACTTTAGATTTTTTTTAAATTTTTTTTATTTTTATTAATTTTTTTTTTAGACAGAGTCTCTCTCTGTTGCCCAGGCTGGAGTGCAATGGCGAGATCTTGGCTCACGGCAACTTACGTCTCCCAGGTTCAAGCAATTCTCCTGCCTCAGCCTCCTGAGTAGCTGGGACTACAGGTGCACACCACCATGCCCGGCTAATTTTGTATTTTGGTAGAGACAGGGTTTCACCACGTTGGTAGGACTGTTCTCAAACTCCTGACCTCAGGTGATCCACCCACCTCGGCCTCTCAAAATGCTGAGATTACAGGCGTGAGCTACTGAACCCAACTCATTTTAGCTATTTTTATTCATTTATTTATTTTTCTCAAGAGGGAGTCTTGTTCTGTTCCCCAGGCTGGGGTGCAATGGTGCGATCTCGGCTCACTGCAACCTCTGCCTCCTGGGTTCAAGCGATTCTCCTGCCTCAGCCTCCTGAGTAGCTGGGACTACAGGCACGTGCCACCATCCCTGGCTAACTTTTTGTATTTTTAGTAGAGTCGGGGTTTCACCGTGTTGGCCAGGCTGGTCTCAAACTCCTGACCTCGTGATCTGCCCACCTTGGCCTCCCAAAATGCTGGGATTACAGGTGTGAGCCACCATGTTCAGCCCATTTTACCTATTTTTAAGTGTACAGTTTAGTGGCGTTACATTCATATTGTGCAATCATCATCACCATCCATCTCCAGAACTTTTTCATCTTCTCAAACAAAGTCTGTACCTATTAAAGA